>NC_000015.10:18667477-18979846 GCF_000001405.40 Homo sapiens
AGGCCTATGGTGAAAAAGGAAACATCTTCAAATAAAAACTAGACAGAAGCATTCTCAGAAACTTATTTGTGATGTGTGTCCTCAACTCACAGAGTTCAACCTTTGTTTTGATACAGCAGTTTGGAAACACTCTTTTTGTAGAATCTACAAATGGATATTTGGAGACCTTTGAAAATTTCGTTGGACACGGGAATATCTTCATATAAAATCTAGACAAAAGCATTCTCAGAATCTTCTTTGTGATGTTTGCATTCAACTCATAGAGTTGAACATTCCCTTTCATACAGCACGTTTGAAACACACTTTGTGGAGTATGTGGAAATGGACATTTCGAGCACTCTTAGGCCTAAGGTGAAAAGGGAAATATCTTCAAATAAAAACTAGTCAGCAGCATTCTCAGAAACCTCTTTGTGATGTGTGTACTCAACTAACAGAGTTGAACCTTCCTTTTCACAGAGCAGTTTGGAAACACTCTTTTTGTGGCATTTGCAAGTGGATATTTGGATAGCTTTGAGGATTTCGTTGGAAACGGGAATATTTTCATATAAAATCTAGACAGAAGCATTCTCAGAATCTTCTTTGTGATGTATGCCCTCAATTCACAGAGTTGAACCTTTGTTTGGATACAGCATTTTGGAAACATTCCTTTTGTAGAATCTGCAAGTTGATATTTGGATAGCTTTGAGGATTTCGTTGGAAACGGGAATATCTACATATAAAATCTAGACAGAAGCATTCTCAGAAACCTCTTTGTAATGCTTGCATTCAACTCATAGGTTTCAACATTCCCTATCATAGAGCAGGTTTGAAACACTCTTTTTGTAGTATGTGGAAGTGGACATTTGGAGCGCTTTGAGGCCTACCGTGAAAAAGGAAATATCTTCCCATAAAAACTAGACAGAAGCATTCTCAGAAACTTGTTTGTGACGTGTGTATTCAACTAACAGAGATGAACCTTTCTTTTTACAGAGCAGCTTTGAAACACGCTTTTTGTGGAATCTGCAATTGGAAATTTCGATAGTTCTGAGGATTTCGTTGGTAACGGGATTACAAATAGAAAGTAGACAGCAGCATTCTCAGAAACTGCTTTGTGATGTTTGCATTCAAGTCACCTAGTTGAACATTCCCTTTCATAGAGCAGGTTTGAATCACTGTTTCTGTCGTATCTGGAAGTGGATATTTCGAGCGTTTTCAGGCCTAAGGTGAGAAAGGAAATGTCTTCAAATAAGAACTAGACAGAAGCATTCTCAGCAAACTTATTTGTGATGTGTGTCCTCAACTAACAGAGTTGAACTTTTCTTTTGACACAGCAGTTTGGAAACACTCTTTTTGTAGAATCTACAAGTGGATATTTTGAGAGCATTGAAAATTTCGTTGGAAACGGGAAAACCTTCATATAAAATCTAGACAGAAGCATTCTCAGAAACTTCTTTGTAATGTTTGCATTCAACTCATAGAGTTGAACATTCCCTTTCATACAGCAGGTTTGAAACACTCTTTTTGTAGTATGTGGAAGTGGACACTTGGAGCGCTTTGAGGCCTACGGTGAAAAAGGAAATATCTTCCCATAAAAACTAGACAGAAGCATTCTCAGAAACTTGTTTGTGACGTGTGTATTCAACTAACAGAGTTGAACCTTTCTTTCTAGAGAGCAGCTTTGAAACACGCTTTTTGTGGAATCTGCAATTGGAAATTTCGATAGTTCTGAGGATTTCGTTGGAAACGGGATTACAAATACAAAGTAGACAGCAGCATTCTCAGAAACTGCTTTGTGATGTTTGCATTCAAGTCACCTAGTTGAACATTCCCTTTCATAGAGCAGGTTTGAATCACAGTTTCTGTCGTATCTGGAAGTGGATATTTCGAGCGTTTTCAGGCCTAAGGTGAGAAAGGAAATGTCTTCAAATAAGAACTAGACAGAAGCATTCTCAGAAACTTATTTGTGATGTGTGTCCTCAACTAACAGAGATGAACCTTTGTTTTGATACAGCAGTTTGGAAACACTCTTTTTGTAGAATCTACAAGAGGATATTTTGAGAGCATTGAAAATTTCGTTGGAAGCGGGAAAACCTTCATATAAAATCTAGACAGCAGCATTCTCAGAAACTTCTTTGTGATGTTTGCATTCAACTCATAGAGTTGAACATTCCCATTCATACAGCAGGTTTGAGACACTCTTTGTATAGCATGTGGAAATGGATATTTGGAGCGCTTTGAGGCCTATGGTGAAGAAGGAAATATCTTCCCAAAAAAACTAGACGAAAGCATTCTCGGAATCTTGTTTGCCATGTGTGTACTCAACTAACAGAGTTGAACCTATCTTTTGACAGAGCAGTTTTGAAACACTCTTTTTGTGGAATCTGCAAGTGGATATTTGGATAGCTTCGAGGATTTCGTTGGAAACGGGAATATCCTCATTTAAAATCTAGACGGAAGCATTCTCAGAACCTGCTTTGTGATGTTTGCATTCAACTCACAGAGCTGAACATTCCCGTTCACAGAGCAGGTTTGAAACCCTCTTTCTGTACTATCTGGAAGTGGACATTTCGAGCGCTTTCAGGCCTATGGTGAAAAAGGAAACATCTTCAAATAAAAACTAGACAGAAGCATTCTCAGAAACTTATTTGTGATGTGTGTCCTCAACTCACAGAGTTCAACCTTTGTTTTGATACAGCAGTTTGGAAACACTCTTTTTGTAGAATCTACAAATGGATATTTGGAGAACTTTGAAAATTTCGTTGGACACGGGAATATCTTCATATAAAATCTAGACAAAAGCATTCTCAGAGTCTTCTTTGTGATGTTTGCATTCAACTGATAGAGTTGAACATTCCCTTTCATACAGCACGTTTGAAACACACTTTGTGGAGTATGTGGAAATGGACATTTCGAGCACTCTTAGGCCTAAGGTGAAAAGGGAAATATCTTCAAATAAAAACTAGTCAGCAGCATTCTCAGAAACCTCTTTGTGATGTGTGTACTCAACTAACAGCAGTTGAACCTTCCTTTTCACAGAGCAGTTTGGAAACACTCTTTTTGTGGCATTTGCAAGTGGATATTTGGATAGCTTTGAGGATTTCGTTGGAAACGGGAATATTTTCATATAAAATCTAGACAGAAGCATTCTCAGAATCTTCTTTGTGATGTATGCCCTCAATTCACAGAGTTGAACCTTTGTTTGGATACAGCATTTTGGAAACATTCCTTTTGTAGAATCTGCAAGTTGATATTTGGATAGCTTTGAGGATTTCGTTGGAAACGGGAATATCTACATATAAAATCTAGACAGAAGCATTCTCAGAAACCTCTTTGTAATGCTTGCATTCAACTCATAGGTTTCAACATTCCCTATCATAGAGCAGGTTTGAAACACTCTTTTTGTAGTATGTGGAAGTGGACATTTGGAGCGCTTTGAGGCCTACCGTGAAAAAGGAAATATCTTCCCATAAAAACTAGACAGAAGCATTCTCAGAAACTTGTTTGTGACGTGTGTATTCAACTAACAGAGTTGAACCTTTCTTTTTACAGAGCAGCTTTGAAACCCTGTTTCTGTGGAATCTGCAATTGGAAATTTCGATAGTTCTGAGGATTTCGTTGCAAACGGGATTACAAATAGAAAGTAGACAGCAGCATTCTCAGAAACTGCTTTGTGATGTTTGCATTCAAGTCACCTAGTTGAACATTCCCTTTCATAGAGCAGGTTTGAATCACTGTTTCTGTAGTATCTGGAAGTGGGTATTTCGAGCGCTTTCAGGCCTAAGGTGAGAAAGGAAATGTCTTCAAATAAGAACTAGACAGAAGCATTCTCAGAAACTTATTTGTGATGTGTGTCCTCAACTAACAGAGATGAACCTTTGTTTTGATACAGCAGTTTGGAAACACTCTTTTTGTAGAATCTACAAGAGGATATTTTGAGAGCATTGAAAATTTCGTTGGAAGCGGGAAAACCTTCATATAAAATCTAGACAGCAGCATTCTCAGAAACTTCTTTGTGATGTTTGCATTCAACTCATAGAGTTGAACATTCCCATTCATACAGCAGGTTTGAGACACTCTTTGTATAGCATGTGGAAATGGATATTTGGAGCGCTTTGAGGCCTATGGTGAAGAAGGAAATATCTTCCCAAAAAAACTAGACGAAAGCATTCTCGGAATCTTGTTTGCCATGTGTGTACTCAACTAACAGAGTTGAACCTATCTTTTGACAGAGCAGTTTTGAAACACTCGTTTTGTGGAATCTGCAAGTGGATATTTGGATAGCTTCGAGGATTTCAGTTGGAAACGGGAATATCCTCATTTAAAATCTAGACGGACAAGCATTCTCAGAACCTGCTTTGTGATGTTTGCATTCAACTCACAGAGCTGAACATTCCCGTTCATAGAGCAGGTTTGAAACACTCTTTCTGTACTATCTGGAAGTGGACATTTCGAGCGCTTTCAGGCCTATGGTGAAAAAGGAAACATCTTCAAATAAAAACTAGACAGAAGCATTCTCAGAAACTTATTTGTGATGTGTGTCCTCAACTCACAGAGTTCAACCTTTGTTTTGATACAGCAGTTTGGAAACACTCTTTTTGTAGAATCTACAAATGGATATTTGGAGACCTTTGAAAATTTCGTTGGACACGGGAATATCTTCATATAAAATCTAGACAAAAGCATTCTCAGAATCTTCTTTGTGATGTTTGCATTCAACTCATAGAGTTGAACATTCCCTTTCATACAGCACGTTTGAAACACACTTTGTGGAGTATGTGGAAATGGACATTTCGAGCACTCTTAGGCCTAAGGTGAAAAGGGAAATATCTTCAAATAAAAACTAGTCAGCAGCATTCTCAGAAACCTCTTTGTGATGTGTGTACTCAACTAACAGAGTTGAACCTTCCTTTTCACAGAGCAGTTTGGAAACACTCTTTTTGTGGCATTTGCAAGTGGATATTTGGATAGCTTTGAGGATTTCGTTGGAAACGGGAATATTTTCATATAAAATCTAGACAGAAGCATTCTCAGAATCTTCTTTGTGATGTATGCCCTCAATTCACAGAGTTGAACCTTTGTTTGGATACAGCATTTTGGAAACATTCCTTTTGTAGAATGTGCAAGTTGATATTTGGATAGCTTTGAGGATTTCGTTGGAAACGGGAATATCTACATATACAATCTAGACAGAAAGCATTCTCAGCAAACCTCTTTGTAATGCTTGCATTCAACTCATAGGTTTCAACATTCCCTATCATAGAGCAGGTTTGAAACACTCTTTTTGTAGTATGTGGAAGTGGACATTTTGAGCGCTTTGAGGCCTACCGTGAAAAAGGAAATATCTTCCCATAAAAACTAGACAGAAGCATTCTCAGAAACTTGTTTGTGACGTGTGTATTCAACTAACAGAGTTGAACCTTTCTTTTTACAGAGCAGCTTTGAAACACGCTTTTTGTGGAATCTGCAATTGGAAATTTCGATAGTTCTGAGGATTTCGTTGGAAACGGGATTACAAATAGAAAGTAGACAGCAGCATTCTCAGAAACTGCTTTGTGATGTTTGCATTCAAGTCACCTAGTTGAACATTCCCTTTCATAGAGCAGGTTTGAATCACTGTTTCTGTCGTATCTGGAAGTGGATATTTCGAGCGTTTTCAGGCCTAAGGTGAGAAAGGAAATGTCTTCAAATAAGAACTAGACAGAAGCATTCTCAGAAACTTATTTGTGATGTGTGTCCTCAACTAACAGAGTTGAACCTTTCCTTTGACACAGCAGTTTGGAAACACTCTTTTTGTAGAATCTACAAGTGGATATTTTGAGAGCATTGAAAATTTCGTTGGAAACGGGAAAACCTTCATATAAAATCTAGACAGAAGCATTCTCAGAAACTTCTTTGTAATGTTTGCATTCAACTCATAGAGTTGAACATTCCCTTTCATACAGCAGGTTTGAAACACTCTTTTTGTAGTATGTGGAAGTGGACATTTGGAGCGCTTTGAGGCCTACGGTGAAAAAGGAAATATCTTCCCATAAAAACTAGACAGAAGCATTCTCAGAAACTTGTTTGTGACGTGTGTATTCAACTAACAGAGTTGAACCTTTCTTTTTACAGAGCAGCTTTGAAAACCTGTTTCTGTGGAATCTGCAATTGGAAATTTCGATAGTTCTGAGGATTTCGTTGGAAACGGGATTACAAATAGAAAGTAGACAGCAGCATTCTCAGAAACTGCTTTGTGATGTTTGCATTCAAGTCACCTAGTTGAACATTCCCTTTCATAGAGCAGGTTTGAATCACTGTTTCTGTCGTATCTGGAAGTGGATATTTCGAGCGTTTTCAGGCCTAAGGTGAGAAAGGAAATGTCTTCAAATAAGAACTAGACAGAAGCATTCTCAGAAACTTATTTGTGATGTGTGTCCTCAACTAACAGAGTTGAACCTTTCTTTTGACACAGCAGTTTGGAAACACTCTTTTTGTAGAATCTACAAGTGGATATTTTGAGAGCATTGAAAATTTCGTTGGAAACGGGAAAACCTTCATATAAAATCTAGAGAGAAGCATTCTCAGAAACTTCTTTGTAATGTTTGCATTCAACTCATAGAGTTGAACATTCCCTTTCATACAGCAGGTTTGAAACACTCTTTTTGTAGTATGTGGACGTGGACATTTGGAGCGCTTTGAGGCCTACGGTGAAAAAGGAAATATCTTCCCATAAAAACTAGACAGAAGCATTCTCAGAAACTTGTTTGTGACGTGTGTATTCAACTAACAGAGTTGAACCTTTCTTTTTACAGAGCAGCTTTGAAACCCTGTTTCTGTGGAATCTGCAATTGGAAATTTCGATAGTTCTGAGGATTTCGTTGGAAACGGGATTACAAATAGAAAGTAGACAGCAGCATTCTCAGAAACTGCTTTGTGATGTTTGCATTCAAGTCACCTAGTTGAACATTCCCTTTCATAGAGCAGGTTTGAATCACTGTTTCTGTAGTATCTGGAAGTGGGTATTTCGAGCGCTTTCAGGCCTAAGGTGAGAAAGGAAATGTCTTCAAATAAGAACTAGACAGAAGCATTCTCAGAAACTTATTTGTGATGTGTGTCCTCAACTAACAGAGATGAACCTTTGTTTTGATACAGCAGTTTGGAAACACTCTTTTTGTAGAATCTACAAGAGGATATTTTGAGAGCATTGAAAATTTCGTTGGAAGCGGGAAAACCTTCATATAAAATCTAGACAGCAGCATTCTCAGAAACTTCTTTGTGATGTTTGCATTCAACTCATAGAGTTGAACATTCCCATTCATACAGCAGGTTTGAGACACTCTTTGTATAGCATGTGGAAATGGATATTTGGAGCGCTTTGAGGCCTATGGTGAAGAAGGAAATATCTTCCCAAAAAAACTAGACGAAAGCATTCTCGCAATCTTGTTTGCCATGTGTGTACTCAACTAACAGAGTTGAACCTATCTTTTGACAGAGCAGTTTTGAAACACTCTTTTTGTGGAATCTGCAAGTGGATATTTGGATAGCTTCGAGGATTTCGTTGGAAACGGGAATATCCTCATTTAAAATCTAGACGGAAGCATTCTCAGAACCTGCTTTGTGATGTTTGCATTCAACTCACAGAGCTGAACATTCCCGTTCATAGAGCAGGTTTGAAACACTCTTTCTGTACTATCTGGAAGTGGACATTTCCAGCGCTTTCAGGCCTATGGTGAAAAAGGAAACATCTTCAAATAAAAACTAGACAGAAGCATTCTCAGAAACTTATTTGTGATGTGTGTCCTCAACTCACAGAGTTCAACCTTTGTTTTGATACAGCAGTTTGGAAACACTCTTTTTGTAGAATCTACAAATGGATATTTGGAGACCTTTGAAAATTTCGTTGGACACGGGAATATCTTCATATAAAATCTAGACAAAAGCATTCTCAGAGTCTTCTTTGTGATGTTTGCATTCAACTCATAGAGTTGAACATTCCCTTTCATACAGCACGTTTGAAACACACTTTGTGGAGTATGTGGAAATGGACATTTCGAGCACTCTTAGGCCTAAGGTGAAAAGGGAAATATCTTCAAATAAAAACTAGTCAGCAGCATTCTCAGAAACCTCTTTGTGATGTGTGTACTCAACTAACAGAGTTGAACCTTCCTTTTCACAGAGCAGTTTGGAAACACTCTTTTTGTGGCATTTGCAAGTGGATATTTGGATAGCTTTGAGGATTTCGTTGGAAACGGGAATATTTTCATATAAAATCTAGACAGAAGCATTCTCAGAATCTTCTTTGTGATGTATGCCCTCAATTCACAGAGTTGAACCTTTGTTTGGATACAGCATTTTGGAAACATTCCTTTTGTAGAATCTGCAAGTTGATATTTGGATAGCTTTGAGGATTTCGTTGGAAACGGGAATATCTACATATAAAATCTAGACAGAAGCATTCTCAGAAACCTCTTTGTAATGCTTGCATTCAACTCATAGGTTTCAACATTCCCTATCATAGAGCAGGTTTGAAACACTCTTTTTGTAGTATGTGGAAGTGGACATTTGGAGCGCTTTGAGGCCTACGGTGAAAAAGGAAATATCTTCCCATAAAAACTAGACAGAAGCATTCTCAGAAACTTGTTTGTGACGTGTGTATTCAACTAACAGAGTTGAACCTTTCTTTTTACAGAGCAGCTTTGAAACACGCTTTTTGTGGAATCTGCAATTGGAAATTTCGATAGTTCTGAGGATTTCGTTGGAAACGGGATTACAAATAGAAAGTAGACAGCAGCATTCTCAGAAACTGCTTTGTGATGTTTGCATTCAAGTCACCTAGTTGAACATTCCCTTTCATAGAGCAGGTTTGAATCACTGTTTCTGTCGTATCTGGAAGTGGATATTTCGAGCGTTTTCAGGCCTAAGGTGAGAAAGGAAATCTCTTCAAATAAGAACTAGACAGAAGCATTCTCAGAAACTTATTTGTGATGTGTGTCCTCAACTAACAGAGTTGAACCTTTCTTTTGACACAGCAGTTTGGAAACACTCTTTTTGTAGAATCTACAAGTGGATATTTTCAGAGCATTGAAAATTTCGTTGGAAACGGGAAAATCTTCATATAAAATCTAGACAGAAGCATTCTCAGAAACTTCTTTGTAATGTTTGCATTCAACTCATAGTAGTTGAACATTCCCTTTCATACAGCAGGTTTGAAACACTCTTTTTGTAGTATGTGGACGTGGACATTTGCAGCGCTTTGAGGCCTACGGTGAAAAAGGAAATATCTTCCCATAAAAACTAGACAGAAGCATTCTCAGAAACTTGTTTGTGACGTGTGTATTCAACTAACAGAGTTGAACCTTTCTTTTTACAGAGCAGCTTTGAAACCCTGTTTCTGTGGAATCTGCAATTGGAAATTTCGATAGTTCTGAGGATTTCGTTGGAAACGGGATTACAAATAGAAAGTAGACAGCAGCATTCTCAGAAACTGCTTTGTGATGTTTGCATTCAAGTCACATAGTTGAACATTCCCTTTCATAGAGCAGGTTTGAATCACTGTTTCTGTAGTATCTGGAAGTGTGTATTTCGAGCGCTTTCAGGCCTAAGGTGAGAAAGGAAATGTCTTCAAATAAGAACTAGACAGAAGCATTCTCAGAAACTTATTTGTGATGTGTGTCCTCAACTAACAGAGATGAACCTTTGTTTTGATACAGCAGTTTGGAAACACTCTTTTTGTAGAATCTACAAGAGGATATTTTGAGAGCATTGAAAATTTCGTTGGAAGCGGGAAAACCTTCATATAAAATCTAGACAGCAGCATTCTCAGAAACTTCTTTGTGATGTTTGCATTCAACTCATAGAGTTGAACATTCCCATTCATACAGCAGGTTTGAGACACTCTTTGTATAGCATGTGGAAATGGATATTTGGAGCGCTTTGAGGCCTATGGTGAAGAAGGAAATATCTTCCCAAAAAAACTAGACGAAAGCATTCTCGGAATCTTGTTTGCCATGTGTGTACTCAACTAACAGAGTTGAACCGATCTTTTGACAGAGCAGTTTTGAAACACTCTTTTTGTGGAATCTGCAAGTGGATATTTGGATAGCTTCGAGGATTTCGTTGGAAACGGGAATATCCTCATTTAAAATCTAGACGGAAGCATTCTCAGAACCTGCTTTGTGATGTTTGCATTCAACTCACAGAGCTGAACATTCCCGTTCATAGAGCAGGTTTGAAACACTCTTTCTGTACTATCTGGAAGTGGACATTTCGAGCGCTTTCAGGCCTATGGTGAAAAAGGAAACATCTTCAAATAAAAACTAGACAGAAGCATTCTCAGAAACTTATTTGTGATGTGTGTCCTCAACTCACAGAGTTCAACCTTTGTTTTGATACAGCAGTTTGGAAACACTCTTTTTGTAGAATCTACAAATGGATATTTGGAGACCTTTGAAAATTTCGTTGGACACGGGAATATCTTCATATAAAATCTAGACAAAAGCATTCTCAGAGTCTTCTTTGTGATGTTTGCATTCAACTCATAGAGTTGAACATTCCCTTTCATACAGCACGTTTGAAACACACTTTGTGGAGTATGTGGAAATGGACATTTCGAGCACTCTTAGGCCTAAGGTGAAAAGGGAAATATCTTCAAATAAAAACTAGTCAGCAGCATTCTCAGAAACCTCTTTGTGATGTGTGTACTCAACTAACAGAGTTGAACCTTCCTTTTCACAGAGCAGTTTGGAAACACTCTTTTTGTGGCATTTGCAAGTGGATATTTGGATAGCTTTGAGGATTTCGTTGGAAACGGGAATATTTTCATATAAAATCTAGACAGAAGCATTCTCAGAATCTTCTTTGTGATGTATGCCCTCAATTCACAGAGTTGAACCTTTGTTTGGATACAGCATTTTGGAAACATTCCTTTTGTAGAATCTGCAAGTTGATATTTGGATAGCTTTGAGGATTTCGTTGGAAACGGGAATATCTACATATAAAATCTAGACAGAAGCATTCTCAGAAACTTCTTTGTAATGCTTGCATTCAACTCATAGTTTTCAACATTCCCTATCATAGAGCAGGTTTGAAACACTCTTTTTGTAGTATGTGGAAGTGGACATTTGGAGCGCCTTGAGGCCTACGGTGAAAAAGGAAATATCTTCCCATAGAAACTAGACAGAAGCATTCTCAGAAACTTGTTTGTGACGTGTGTATTCAACTAACAGAGTTGAACCTTTCTTTTTACAGAGCAGCTTTGAAACACGCTTTTTGTGGAATCTGCAATTGGAAATTTCGATAGTTCTGAGGATTTCGTTGGAAACGGGATTACAAATAGAAAGTAGACAGCAGCATTCTCAGAAACTGCTTTGTGATGTTTGCATTCAAGTCACCTAGTTGAACATTCCCTTTCATAGAGCAGGTTTGAATCACTGTTTCTGTCGTATCTGGAAGTGGATATTTCGAGCGTTTTCAGGCCTAAGGTGAGAAAGGAAATGTCTTCAAATAAGAACTAGACAGAAGCATTCTCAGAAACTTATTTGTGATGTGTGTCCTCAACTAACAGAGTTGAACCTTTCTTTTGACACAGCAGTTTGGAAACACTCTTTTTGTAGAATCTACAAGTGGATATTTTGAGAGCATTGAAAATTTCGTTGGAAACGGGAAAACCTTCATATAAAATCTAGACAGAAGCATTCTCAGAAACTTCTTTGTAATGTTTGCATTCAACTCATAGAGTTGAACATTCCCTTTCATACAGCAGGTTTGAAACACTCTTTTTGTAGTATGTGGAAGTGGACATTTGGAGCGCTTTGAGGCCTACGGTGAAAAAGGAAATATCTTCCCATAAAAACTAGACAGAAGCATTCTCAGAAACTTGTTTGTGACGTGTGTATTCAACTAACAGAGTTGAACCTTTCTTTTTACAGAGCAGCTTTGAAACCCTGTTTCTGTGGAATCTGCAATTGGAAATTTCGATAGTTCTGAGGATTTCGTTGCAAACGGGATTACAAATAGAAAGTAGACAGCAGCATTCTCAGAAACTGCTTTGTGATGTTTGCATTCAAGTCACATAGTTGAACATTCCCTTTCATAGAGCAGGTTTGAATCACTGTTTCTGTAGTATCTGGAAGTGGGTATTTCGAGCGCTTTCAGGCCTAAGGTGAGAAAGGAAATGTCTTCAAATAAGAACTAGACAGAAGCATTCTCAGAAACTTATTTGTGATGTGTGTCCTCAACTAACAGAGATGAACCTTTGTTTTGATACAGCAGTTTGGAAACACTCTTTTTGTAGAATCTACAAGAGGATATTTTGAGAGCATTGAAAATTTCGTTGGAAGCGGGAAAACCTTCATATAAAATCTAGACAGCAGCATTCTCAGAAACTTCTTTGTGATGTTTGCATTCAACTCATAGAGTTGAACATTCCCTTTCATACAGCAGGTTTGAAACACTCTTTTTGTAGTATGTGGAAGTGGACATTTGGAGCGCTTTGAGGCCTACGGTGAAAAAGGAAATATCTTCCCATAAAAACTAGACAGAAGCATTCTCAGAAACTTGTTTGTGACGTGTGTATTCAACTAACAGAGTTGAACCTTTCTTTTTACAGAGCAGCTTTGAAACCCTGTTTCTGTGGAATCTGCAATTGGAAATTTCGATAGTTCTGAGGATTTCGTTGGAAACGGGATTACAAATAGAAAGTAGACAGCAGCATTCTCAGAAACTGCTTTGTGATGTTTGCATTCAAGTCACATAGTTGAACATTCCCTTTCATAGAGCAGGTTTGAATCACTGTTTCTGTAGTATCTGGAAGTGGGTATTTCGAGCGCTTTCAGGCCTAAGGTGAGAAAGGAAATGTCTTCAAATAAGAACTAGACAGAAGCATTCTCAGAAACTTATTTGTGATGTGTGTCCTCAACTAACAGAGATGAACCTTTGTTTTGATACAGCAGTTTGGAAACACTCTTTTTGTAGAATCTACAAGAGGATATTTTGAGAGCATCGAAAATTTCGTTGGAAGCGGGAAAACCTTCATATAAAATCTAGACAGCAGCATTCTCAGAAACTTCTTTGTGATGTTTGCATTCAACTCATAGAGTTGAACATTCCCATTCATACAGCAGGTTTGAGACACTCTTTGTATAGCATGTGGAAATGGATATTTGGAGCGCTTTGAGGCCTATGGTGAAGAAGGAAATATCTTCCCAAAAAAACTAGACGAAGGCATTCTCACAATCTTGTTTGCCATGTGTGTACTCAACTAACAGAGTTGAACCTATCTTTTGACAGAGCAGTTTTGAAACACTCTTTTTGTGGAATCTGCAAGTGGATATTTGGATAGCTTCGAGGATTTCGTTGGAAACGGGAATATCCTCATTTAAAATCTAGACGGAAGCATTCTCAGAACCTGCTTTGTGATGTTTGCATTCAACTCACAGAGCTGAACATTCCCGTTCATAGAGCAGGTTTGAAACACTCTTTCTGTACTATCTGGAAGTGGACATTTCGAGCGCTTTCAGGCCTATGGTGAAAAAGGAAACATCTTCAAATAAAAACTAGACAGAAGCATTCTCAGAAACTTATTTGTGATGTGTGTCCTCAACTCACAGAGTTCAACCTTTGTTTTGATACAGCAGTTTGGAAACACTCTTTTTGTAGAATCTACAAATGGATATTTGGAGACCTTTGAAAATTTCGTTGGACACGGGAATATCTTCATATAAAATCTAGACAAAAGCATTCTCAGAATCTTCTTTGTGATGTTTGCATTCAACTCATAGAGTTGAACATTCCCTTTCATACAGCACGTTTGAAACACACTTTGTGGAGTATGTGGAAATGGACATTTCGAGCACTCTTAGGCCTAAGGTGAAAAGGGAAATATCTTCAAATAAAAACTAGTCAGCAGCATTCTCAGAAACCTCTTTGTGATGTGTGTACTCAACTAACAGAGTTGAACCTTCCTTTTCACAGAGCAGTTTGGAAACACTCTTTTTGTGGCATTTGCAAGTGGATATTTGGATAGCTTTGAGGATTTCGTTGGAAACGGGAATATTTTCATATAAAATCTAGACAGAAGCATTCTCAGAATCTTCTTTGTGATGTATGCCCTCAATTCACAGAGTTGAACCTTTGTTTGGATACAGCATTTTGGAAACATTCCTTTTGCAGAATCTGCAAGTTGATATTTGGATAGCTTTGAGGATTTCGTTGGAAACGGGAATATCTACATATAAAATCTAGACAGAAGCATTCTCAGAAACCTCTTTGTAATGCTTGCATTCAACTCATAGGTTTCAACATTCCCTATCATAGAGCAGGTTTGAAACACTCTTTTTGTAGTATGTGGAAGTGGACATTTGGAGCGCTTTGAGGCCTACGGTGAATAAAGGAAATATCTTCCCATAAAAACTAGACAGAAGCATTCTCAGAAACTTGTTTGTGACGTGTGTATTCAACTAACAGAGTTGAACCTTTCTTTTTACAGAGCAGCTTTGAAACACGCTTTTTGTGGAATCTGCAATTGGAAATTTCGATAGTTACTGAGGATTTCGTTGGAAACGGGATTACAAATAGAAAGTAGACAGCAAGCATTCTCAGAAACTGCTTTGTGATGTTTGCATTCAAGTCACCTAGTTGAACATTCCCTTTCATAGAGCAGGTTTGAATCACTGTTTCTGTCGTATCTGGAAGTGGATATTTCGAGCGTTTTCAGGCCTAAGGTGAGAAAGGAAATGTCTTCAAATAAGAACTAGACAGAAGCATTCTCAGAAACTTATTTGTGATGTGTGTCCTCAACTAACAGAGTTGAACCTTTCTTTTGACACAGCAGTTTGGAAACACTCTTTTTGTAGAATCTACAAGTGGATATTTTGAGAGCATGGAAAATTTCGTTGGAAACGGGAAAACCTTCATATAAAATCTAGACAGAAGCATTCTCAGAAACTTCTTTGTAATGTTTGCATTCAACTCATAGAGTTGAACATTCCCTTTCATACAGCAGGTTTGAAACACTCTTTTTGTAGTATGTGGACGTGGACATTTGGAGCGCTTTGAGGCCTACGGTGAAAAAGGAAATATCTTCCCATAAAAACTAGACAGAAGCATTCTCAGAAACTTGTTTGTGACGTGTGTATTCAACTAACAGAGTTGAACCTTTCTTTTTACAGAGCAGCTTTGAAACCCTGTTTCTGTGGAATCTGCAATTGGAAATTTCGATAGTTCTGAGGATTTCGTTGGAAACGGGATTACAAATAGAAAGTAGACAGCAGCATTCTCAGAAACTGCTTTGTGATGTTTGCATTCAAGTCACCTAGTTGAACATTCCCTTTCATAGAGCAGGTTTGAATCACTGTTTCTGTAGTATCTGGAAGTGGGTATTTCGAGCGCTTTCAGGCCTAAGGTGAGAAAGGAAATGTCTTCAAATAAGAACTAGACAGAAGCATTCTCAGAAACTTATTTGTGATGTGTGTCCTCAACTAACAGAGATGAACCTTTGTTTTGATACAGCAGTTTGGAAACACTCTTTTTGTAGAATCTACAAGAGGATATTTTGAGAGCATTGAAAATTTCGTTGGAAGCGGGAAAACCTTCATATAAAATCTAGACAGCAGCATTCTCAGAAACTTCTTTGTGATGTTTGCATTCAACTCATAGAGTTGAACATTCCCATTCATACAGCAGGTTTGAGACACTCTTTGTATAGCATGTGGAAATGGATATTTGGAGCGCTTTGAGGCCTATGGTGAAGAAGGAAATATCTTCCCAAAAAAACTAGACGAAAGCATTCTCGGAATCTTGTTTGCCATGTGTGTACTCAACTAACAGAGTTGAACCTATCTTTTGACAGAGCAGTTTTGAAACACTCTTTTTGTGGAATCTGCAAGTGGATATTTGGATAGCTTCGAGGATTTCGTTGGAAACGGGAATATCCTCATTTAAAACCTAGACGGAAGCATTCTCAGAACCTGCTTTGTGATGTTTGCATTCAACTCACAGAGCTGAACATTCCCGTTCATAGAGCAGGTTTGAAACACTCTTTCTGTACTATCTGGAAGTGGACATTTCGAGCGCTTTCAGGCCTATGGTGAAAAAGGAAACATCTTCAAATAAAAACTAGACAGAAGCATTCTCAGAAACTTATTTGTGATGTGTGTCCTCAACTCACAGAGTTCAACCTTTGTTTTGATACAGCAGTTTGGAAACACTCTTTTTGTAGAATCTACAAATGGATATTTGGAGACCTTTGAAAATTTCGTTGGACACGGGAATATCTTCATATAAAATCTAGACAAAAGCATTCTCAGAATCTTCTTTGTGATGTTTGCATTCAACTCATAGAGTTGAACATTCCCTTTCATACAGCACGTTTGAAACACACTTTGTGGAGTATGTGGAAATGGACATTTCGAGCACTCTTAGGCCTAAGGTGAAAAGGGAAATATCTTCAAATAAAAACTAGTCAGCAGCATTCTCAGAAACCTCTTTGTGATGTGTGTACTCAACTAACAGAGTTGAACCTTCCTTTTCACAGAGCAGTTTGGAAACACTCTTTTTGTGGCATTTGCAAGTGGATATTTGGATAGCTTTGAGGATTTCGTTGGAAACGGGAATATTTTCATATAAAATCTAGACAGAAGCATTCTCAGAATCTTCTTTGTGATGTATGCCCTCAATTCACAGAGTTGAACCTTTGTTTGGATACAGCATTTTGGAAACATTCCTTTTGTAGAATCTGCAAGTTGATATTTGGATAGCTTTGAGGATTTCGTTGGAAACGGGAATATCTACATATAAAATCTAGACAGAAGCATTCTCAGAAACCTCTTTGTAATGTTTGCATTCAACTCATAGGTTTCAACATTCCCTATCATAGAGCAGGTTTGAAACACTCTTTTTGTAGTATGTGGAAGTGGACATTTGGAGCGCTTTGAGGCCTACGGTGAAAAAGGAAATATGCTTCCCATAAAAACTAGACAGAAGCATTCTCAGAAACTTGTTTGTGACGTGTGTATTCAACTAACAGAGTTGAACCTTTCTTTTTACAGAGCAGCTTTGAAACCCTGTTTCTGTGGAATCTGCAATTGGAAATTTCGATAGTTGCTGAGGATTTCGTTGGAAACGGGATTACAAATAGAAAGTAGACAGCAAGCATTCTCAGAAACTGCTTTGTGATGTTTGCATTCAAGTCACCTAGTTGAACATTCCCTTTCATAGAGCAGGTTTGAATCACTGTTTCTGTCGTATCTGGAAGTGGATATTTCGAGCGTTTTCAGGCCTAAGGTGAGAAAGGAAATGTCTTCAAATAAGAACTAGACAGAAGCATTCTCAGAAACTTATTTGTGATGTGTGTCCTCAACTAACAGAGTTGAACCTTTCATTTGACACAGCAGTTTGGAAACACTCTTTTTGTAGAATCTACAAGTGGATATTTTGAGAGCATTGAAAATTTCGTTGGAAACGGGAAAACCTTCATATAAAATCTAGACAGAAGCATTCTCAGAAACTTCTTTGTAATGTTTGCATTCAACTCATAGAGTTGAACATTCCCTTTCATACAGCAGGTTTGAAACACTCTTTTTGTAGTATGTGGAAGTGGACATTTGGAGCGCTTTGAGGCCTACGGTGAAAAAGGAAATATCTTCCCATAAAAACTAGACAGAAGCATTCTCAGAAACTTGTTTGTGACGTGTGTATTCAACTAACAGAGTTGAACCTTTCTTTTTACAGAGCAGCTTTGAAACCCTGTTTCTGTGGAATCTGCAATTGGAAATTTCGATAGTTCTGAGGATTTCGTTGGAAACGGGATTACAAATAGAAAGTAGACAGCAGCATTCTCAGAAACTGCTTTGTGATGTTTGCATTCAAGTCACCTAGTTGAACATTCCCTTTCATAGAGCAGGTTTGAATCACTGTTTCTGTCGTATCTGGAAGTGGATATTTCGAGCGTTTTCAGGCCTAAGGTGAGAAAGGAAATGTCTTCAAATAAGAACTAGACAGAAGCATTCTCAGAAACTTATTTGTGATGTGTGTCCTCAACTAACAGAGTTGAACCTTTCTTTTGACACAGCAGTTTGGAAACACTCTTTTTGTAGAATCTACAAGTGGATATTTTGAGAGCATTGAAAATTTCGTTGGAAACGGGAAAACCTTCATATAAAATCTAGACAGAAGCATTCTCAGAAACTTCTTTGTAATGTTTGCATTCAACTCATAGAGTTGAACATTCCCTTTCATACAGCAGGTTTGAAACACTCTTTTTGTAGTATGTGGACGTGGACATTTGGAGCGCTTTGAGGCCTACGGTGAAAAAGGAAATATCTTCCCATAAAAACTAGACAGAAGCATTCTCAGAAACTTGTTTGTGACGTGTGTATTCAACTAACAGAGTTGAACCTTTCTTTTTACAGAGCAGCTTTGAAACCCTGTTTCTGTGGAATCTGCAATTGGAAATTTCGATAGTTCTGAGGATTTCGTTGGAAACGGGATACAAATAGAAAGTAGACAGCAGCATTCTCAGAAACTGCTTTGTGATGTTTGCATTCAAGTCACCTAGTTGAACATTCCCTTTCATAGAGCAGGTTTGAATCACTGTTTCTGTCGTATCTGGAAGTGGATATTTCGAGCGTTTTCAGGCCTAAGGTGAGAAAGGAAATGTCTTCAAATAAGAACTAGACAGAAGCATTCTCAGAAACTTATTTGTGATGTGTGTCCTCAACTAACAGAGTTGAACCTTTCTTTTGACACAGCAGTTTGGAAACACTCTTTTTGTAGAATCTACAAGTGGATATTTTGAGAGCATTGAAAATTTCGTTGGAAACGGGAAAACCTTCATATAAAATCTAGACAGAAGCATCTCAGAAACTTCTTTGTAATGTTTGCATTCAACTCATAGAGTTGAACATTCCCTTTCATACAGCAGGTTTGAAACACTCTTTTTGTAGTATGTGGAAGTGGACATTTGGAGCGCTTTGAGGCCTACGGTGAAAAAGGAAATATCTTCCCATAAAAACTAGACAGAAGCATTCTCAGAAACTTGTTTGTGACGTGTGTATTCAACTAACAGAGTTGAACCTTTCTTTTTACAGAGCAGCTTTGAAACCCTGTTTCTGTGGAATCTGCAATTGGAAATTTCGATAGTTCTGAGGATTTCGTTGGAAACGGGATTACAAATAGAAAGTAGACAGCAGCATTCTCAGAAACTGCTTTGTGATGTTTGCATTCAAGTCACATAGTTGAACATTCCCTTTCATAGAGCAGGTTTGAATCACTGTTTCTGTAGTATCTGGAAGTGGGTATTTCGAGCGCTTTCAGGCCTAAGGTGAGAAAGGAAATGTCTTCAAATAAGAACTAGACAGAAGCATTCTCAGAAACTTATTTGTGATGTGTGTCCTCAACTAACAGAGATGAACCTTTGTTTTGATACAGCAGTTTGGAAACACTCTTTTTGTAGAATCTACAAGAGGATATTTTGAGAGCATTGAAAATTTCGTTGGAAGCGGGAAAACCTTCATATAAAATCTAGACAGCAGCATTCTCAGAAACTTCTTTGTGATGTTTGCATTCAACTCATAGAGTTGAACATTCCCATTCATACAGCAGGTTTGAGACACTCTTTGTATAGCATGTGGAAATGGATATTTGGAGCGCTTTGAGGCCTATGGTGAAGAAGGAAATATCTTCCCAAAAAAACTAGACGAAAGCATTCTCGGAATCTTGTTTGCCATGTGTGTACTCAACTAACAGAGTTGAACCTATCTTTTGACAGAGCAGTTTTGAAACACTCTTTTTGTGGAATCTGCAAGTGGATATTTGGATAGCTTCGAGGATTTCGTTGGAAACGGGAATATCCTCATTTAAAATCTAGACGGAAGCATTCTCAGAACCTGCTTTGTGATGTTTGCATTCAACTCACAGAGCTGAACATTCCCATTCATAGAGCAGGTTTGAAACACTCTTTCTGTACTATCTGGAAGTGGACATTTCGAGCGCTTTCAGGCCTATGGTGAAAAAGGAAACATCTTCAAATAAAAACTAGACAGAAGCATTCTCAGAAACTTATTTGTGATGTGTGTCCTCAACTCACAGAGTTCAACCTTTGTTTTGATACAGCAGTTTGGAAACACTCTTTTTGTAGAATCTACAAATGGATATTTGGAGACCTTTGAAAATTTCGTTGGACACGGGAATATCTTCATATAAAATCTAGACAAAAGCATTCTCAGAATCTTCTTTGTGATGTTTGCATTCAACTCATAGAGTTGAACATTCCCTTTCATACAGCACGTTTGAAACACACTTTGTGGAGTATGTGGAAATGGACATTTCGAGCACTCTTAGGCCTAAGGTGAAAAGGGAAATATCTTCAAATAAAAACTATTCAGCAGCATTCTCAGAAACCTCTTTGTGATGTGTGTACTCAACTAACAGAGTTGAACCTTCCTTTTCACAGAGCAGTTTGGAAACACTCTTTTTGTGGCATTTGCAAGTGGATATTTGGATAGCTTTGAGGATTTCGTTGGAAACGGGAATATTTTCATATAAAATCTAGACAGAAGCATTCTCAGAATCTTCTTTGTGATGTATGCCCTCAATTCCCAGAGTTGAACCTTTGTTTGGATACAGCATTTTGGAAACATTCCTTTTGTAGAATCTGCAAGTTGATATTTGGATAGCTTTGAGGATTTCGTTGGAAACGGGAATAT
This sequence comes from Homo sapiens, assembly GCF_000001405.40. NCBI lineage: Eukaryota > Metazoa > Chordata > Mammalia > Primates > Hominidae > Homo > Homo sapiens. The sequence continues at coordinate 18,688,138 of NC_000015.10, forward strand.
CTACATATAAAATCTAGACAGAAGCATTCTCAGAAACCTCTTTGTAATGCTTGCATTCAACTCATAGGTTTCAACATTCCCTATCATAGAGCAGGTTTGAAACACTCTTTTTGTAGTATGTGGAAGTGGACATTTGGAGCGCTTTGAGGCCTACGGTGAAAAAGGAAATATCTTCCCATAAAAACTAGACAGAAGCATTCTCAGAAACTTGTTTGTGACGTGTGTATTCAACTAACAGAGTTGAACCTTTCTTTTTACAGAGCAGCTTTGAAACACGCTTTTTGTGGAATCTGCAATTGGAAATTTCGATAGTTCTGAGGATTTCGTTGGAAACGGGATTACAAATAGAAAGTAGACAGCAGCATTCTCAGAAACTGCTTTGTGATGTTTGCATTCAAGTCACCTAGTTGAACATTCCCTTTCATAGAGCAGGTTTGAATCACTGTTTCTGTCGTATCTGGAAGTGGATATTTCGAGCGTTTTCAGGCCTAAGGTGAGAAAGGAAATGTCTTCAAATAAGAACTAGACAGAAGCATTCTCAGAAACTTATTTGTGATGTGTGTCCTCAACTAACAGAGTTGAACCTTTCTTTTGACACAGCAGTTTGGAAACACTCTTTTTGTAGAATCTACAAGTGGATATTTTGAGAGCATTGAAAATTTCGTTGGAAACGGGAAAACCTTCATATAAAATCTAGACAGAAGCATTCTCAGAAACTTCTTTGTAATGTTTGCATTCAACTCATAGAGTTGAACATTCCCTTTCATACAGCAGGTTTGAAACACTCTTTTTGTAGTATGTGGACGTGGACATTTGGAGCGCTTTGAGGCCTACGGTGAAAAAGGAAATATCTTCCCATAAAAACTAGACAGAAGCATTCTCAGAAACTTGTTTGTGACGTGTGTATTCAACTAACAGAGTTGAACCTTTCTTTTTACAGAGCAGCTTTGAAACACGCTTTTTGTGGAATCTGCAATTGGAAATTTCGATAGTTCTGAGGATTTCGTTGGAAACGGGATTACAAATAGAAAGTAGACAGCAGCATTCTCAGAAACTGCTTTGTGATGTTTGCATTCAAGTCACCTAGTTGAACATTCCCTTTCATAGAGCAGGTTTGAATCACTGTTTCTGTCGTATCTGGAAGTGGATATTTCGAGCGTTTTCAGGCCTAAGGTGAGAAAGGAAATGTCTTCAAATAAGAACTAGACAGAAGCATTCTCAGAAACTTATTTGTGATGTGTGTCCTCAACTAACAGAGTTGAACCTTTCTTTTGACACAGCAGTTTGGAAACACTCTTTTTGTAGAATCTACAAGTGGATATTTTGAGAGCATTGAAAATTTCGTTGGAAACGGGAAAACCTTCATATAAAATCTAGACAGAAGCATTCTCAGAAACTTCTTTGTAATGTTTGCATTCAACTCATAGAGTTGAACATTCCCTTTCATACAGCAGGTTTGAAACACTCTTTTTCTAGTATGTGGAAGTGGACATTTGGAGCGCTTTGAGGCCTACGGTGAAAAAGGAAATATCTTCCCATAAAAACTAGACAGAAGCATTCTCAGAAACTTGTTTGTGACGTGTGTATTCAACTAACAGAGTTGAACCTTTCTTTTTACAGAGCAGCTTTGAAACCCTGTTTCTGTGGAATCTGCAATTGGAAATTTCGATAGTTCTGAGGATTTCGTTGGAAACGGGATTACAAATAGAAAGTAGACAGCAGCATTCTCAGAAACTGCTTTGTGATGTTTGCATTCAAGTCACATAGTTGAACATTCCCTTTCATAGAGCAGGTTTGAATCACTGTTTCTGTAGTATCTGGAAGTGGGTATTTCGAGCGCTTTCAGGCCTAAGGTGAGAAAGGAAATGTCTTCAAATAAGAACTAGACAGAAGCATTCTCAGAAACTTATTTGTGATGTGTGTCCTCAACTAACAGAGATGAACCTTTGTTTTGATACAGCAGTTTGGAAACACTCTTTTTGTAGAATCTACAAGAGGATATTTTGAGAGCATTGAAAATTTCGTTGGAAGCGGGAAAACCTTCATATAAAATCTAGACAGCAGCATTCTCAGAAACTTCTTTGTGATGTTTGCATTCAACTCATAGAGTTGAACATTCCCATTCATACAGCAGGTTTGAGACACTCTTTGTATAGCATGTGGAAATGGATATTTGGAGCGCTTTGAGGCCTATGGTGAAGAAGGAAATATCTTCCCAAAAAAACTAGACGAAAGCATTCTCGGAATCTTGTTTGCCATGTGTGTACTCAACTAACAGAGTTGAACCTATCTTTTGACAGAGCAGTTTTGAAACACTCTTTTTGTGGAATCTGCAAGTGGATATTTGGATAGCTTCGAGGATTTCGTTGGAAACGGGAATATCCTCATTTAAAATCTAGACGGAAGCATTCTCAGAACCTGCTTTGTGATGTTTGCATTCAACTCACAGAGCTGAACATTCCCGTTCATAGAGCAGGTTTGAAACACTCTTTCTGTACTATCTGGAAGTGGACATTTCGAGCGCTTTCAGGCCTATGGTGAAAAAGGAAACATCTTCAAATAAAAACTAGACAGAAGCATTCTCAGAAACTTATTTGTGATGTGTGTCCTCAACTCACAGAGTTCAACCTTTGTTTTGATACAGCAGTTTGGAAACACTCTTTTTGTAGAATCTACAAATGGATATTTGGAGACCTTTGAAAATTTCGTTGGACACGGGAATATCTTCATATAAAATCTAGACAAAAGCATTCTCAGAATCTTCTTTGTGATGTTTGCATTCAACTCATAGAGTTGAACATTCCCTTTCATACAGCACGTTTGAAACACACTTTGTGGAGTATGTGGAAATGGACATTTCGAGCACTCTTAGGCCTAAGGTGAAAAGGGAAATATCTTCAAATAAAAACTAGTCAGCAGCATTCTCAGAAACCTCTTTGTGATGTGTGTACTCAACTAACAGAGTTGAACCTTCCTTTTCACAGAGCAGTTTGGAAACACTCTTTTTGTGGCATTTGCAAGTGGATATTTCGATAGCTTTGAGGATTTCGTTGGAAACGGGAATATTTTCATATAAAATCTAGACAGAAGCATTCTCAGAATCTTCTTTTTGATGTATGCCCTCAATTCACAGAGTTGAACCTTTGTTTGGATACAGCATTTTGGAAACATTCCTTTTGTAGAATCTGCAAGTTGATATTTGGATAGCTTTGAGGATTTCGTTGGAAACGGGAATATCTACATATAAAATCTAGACAGAAGCATTCTCAGAAACCTCTTTGTAATGCTTGCATTCAACTCATAGGTTTCAACATTCCCTATCATAGAGCAGGTTTGAAACACTCTTTTTGTAGTATGTGGAAGTGGACATTTGGAGCGCTTTGAGGCCTACGGTGAAAAAGGAAATATCTTCCCATAAAAACTAGACAGAAGCATTCTCAGAAACTTGTTTGTGACGTGTGTATTCAACTAACAGAGTTGAACCTTTCTTTTTACAGAGCAGCTTTGAAACCCTGTTTCTGTGGAATCTGCAATTGGAAATTTCGATAGTTCTGAGGATTTCGTTGCAAACGGGATTACAAATAGAAAGTAGACAGCAGCATTCTCAGAAACTGCTTTGTGATGTTTGCATTCAAGTCACATAGTTGAACATTCCCTTTCATAGAGCAGGTTTGAATCACTGTTTCTGTAGTATCTGGAAGTGGGTATTTCGAGCGCTTTCAGGCCTAAGGTGAGAAAGGAAATGTCTTCAAATAAGAACTAGACAGAAGCATTCTCAGAAACTTATTTGTGATGTGTGTCCTCAACTAACAGAGATGAACCTTTGTTTTGATACAGCAGTTTGGAAACACTCTTTTTGTAGAATCTACAAGAGGATATTTTGAGAGCATTGAAAATTTCGTTGGAAGCGGGAAAACCTTCATATAAAATCTAGACAGCAGCATTCTCAGAAACTTCTTTGTGATGTTTGCATTCAACTCATAGAGTTGAACTTTCCCATTCATACAGCAGGTTTGAGACACTCTTTGTATAGCATGTGGAAATGGATATTTGGAGCGCTTTGAGGCCTATGGTGAAGAAGGAAATATCTTCCCAAAAAAACTAGACGAAAGCATTCTCGGAATCTTGTTTGCCATGTGTGTACTCAACTAACAGAGTTGAACCTATCTTTTGACAGAGCAGTTTTGAAACACTCTTTTTGTGGAATCTGCAAGTGGATATTTGGATAGCTTCGAGGATTTCGTTGGAAACGGGAATATCCTCATTTAAAACCTAGACGGAAGCATTCTCAGAACCTGCTTTGTGATGTTTGCATTCAACTCACAGAGCTGAACATTCCCGTTCATAGAGCAGGTTTGAAACACTCTTTCTGCACTATCTGGAAGTGGACATTTCGAGCGCTTTCAGGCCTATGGTGAAAAAGGAAACATCTTCAAATAAAAACTAGACAGAAGCATTCTCAGAAACTTATTTGTGATGTGTGTCCTCAACTCACAGAGTTCAACCTTTGTTTTGATACAGCAGTTTGGAAACACTCTTTTTGTAGAATCTACAAATGGATATTTGGAGACCTTTGAAAATTTCGTTGGACACGGGAATATCTTCATATAAAATCTAGACAAAAGCATTCTCAGAATCTTCTTTGTGATGTTTGCATTCAACTCATAGAGTTGAACATTCCCTTTCATACAGCACGTTTGAAACACACTTTGTGGAGTATGTGGAAATGGACATTTCGAGCACTCTTAGGCCTAAGGTGAAAAGGGAAATATCTTCAAATAAAAACTAGTCAGCAGCATTCTCAGAAACCTCTTTGTGATGTGTGTACTCAACTAACAGAGTTGAACCTTCCTTTTCACAGAGCAGTTTGGAAACACTCTTTTTGTGGCATTTGCAAGTGGATATTTGGATAGCTTTGAGGATTTCGTTGGAAACGGGAATATTTTCATATAAAATCTAGACAGAAGCATTCTCAGAATCTTCTTTGTGATGTATGCCCTCAATTCACAGAGTTGAACCTTTGTTTGGATACAGCATTTTGGAAACATTCCTTTTGTAGAATCTGCAAGTTGATATTTGGATAGCTTTGAGGATTTCGTTGGAAACGGGAATATCTACATATAAAATCTAGACAGAAGCATTCTCAGAAACCTCTTTGTAATGCTTGCATTCAACTCATAGGTTTCAACATTCCCTATCATAGAGCAGGTTTGAAACACTCTTTTTGTAGTATGTGGAAGTGGACATTTGGAGCGCTTTGAGGCCTACCGTGAAAAAGGAAATATCTTCCCATAAAAACTAGACAGAAGCATTCTCAGAAACTTGTTTGTGACGTGTGTATTCAACTAACAGAGTTGAACCTTTCTTTTTACAGAGCAGCTTTGAAACACGCTTTTTGTGGAATCTGCAATTGGAAATTTCGATAGTTCTGAGGATTTCGTTGGAAACGGGATTACAAATAGAAAGTAGACAGCAGCATTCTCAGAAACTGCTTTGTGATGTTTGCATTCAAGTCACCTAGTTGAACATTCCCTTTCATAGAGCAGGTTTGAATCACAGTTTCTGTCGTATCTGGAAGTGGATATTTCGAGCGTTTTCAGGCCTAAGGTGAGAAAGGAAATGTCTTCAAATAAGAACTAGACAGAAGCATTCTCAGAAACTTATTTGTGATGTGTGTCCTCAACTAACAGAGATGAACCTTTGTTTTGATACAGCAGTTTGGAAACACTCTTTTTGTAGAATCTACAAGAGGATATTTTGAGAGCATTGAAAATTTCGTTGGAAGCGGGAAAACCTTCATATAAAATCTAGACAGCAGCATTCTCAGAAACTTCTTTGTGATGTTTGCATTCAACTCATAGAGTTGAACATTCCCATTCATACAGCAGGTTTGAGACACTCTTTGTATAGCATGTGGAAATGGATATTTGGAGCGCTTTGAGGCCTATGGTGAAGAAGGAAATATCTTCCCAAAAAAACTAGACGAAAGCATTCTCGCAATCTTGTTTGCCATGTGTGTACTCAACTAACAGAGTTGAACCTATCTTTTGACAGAGCAGTTTTGAAACACTCTTTTTGTGGAATCTGCAAGTGGATATTTGGATAGCTTCGAGGATTTCGTTGGAAACGGGAATATCCTCATTTAAAATACTAGACGGAGCATTCTCAGAACCTGCTTTGTGATGTTTGCATTCAACTCACAGAGCTGAACATTCCTGTTCATAGAGCAGGTTTGAAACACTCTTTCTGTACTATCTGGAAGGGGACATTTCGAGCGCTTTCAGGCCTATGGTGAAAAAGGAAATATCTTCAAATAAAAACTAGACAGAAGCATTCTCAGAAACTTATTTGTGATGTGTGTCCTCAACTCACAGAGTTCAACCTTTGTTTTGATACAGCAGTTTGGAAACACTCTTTTTGTAGAATCTACAAATGGATATTTGGAGACCATTGAAAATTTCGTTGGACACGGGAATATCTTCATATAAAATCTAGACAAAAGCATTCTCAGAATCTTCTTTGTGATGTTTGCATTCAACTCATAGAGTTGAACATTCCCTTTCATACAGCACGTTTGGAACACACTTTGTGGAGTATGTGGAAATGGACATTTCGAGCACTCTTAGGCCTAAGGTGAAAAGGGAAATATCTTCAAATAAAAACTAGCCAGCAGCATTCTCAGAAACCTCTTTGTGATGTGTGTACTCAACTAACAGAGTTGAACCTTCCTTTTCACAGAGCAGTTTGGAAACACTCTTTTTGTGGCATTTGCAAGTGGATATTTGGATAGCTTTGAGGATTTTGTTGGAAACGGGAATATTTTCATATAAAATCTAGACAGAAGCATTCTCAGAATCTTCTTTGTGATGTATGCCCTCAATTCACAGAGTTGAACCTTTGTTTGGATACAGCATTTTGGAAACATTCCTTTTGTAGAATCTGCAAGTTGATATTTGGATAGCTTTGAGGATTTCGTTGGAAACGGGAATATCTACATATAAAATCTAGACAGAAGCATTCTCAGAAACCTCTTTGTAATGCTTGCATTCAACTCATAGGTTTCAACATTCCCTATCATAGAGCAGGTTTGAAACACTCTTTTTGTAGTATGTGGAAGTGGACATTTGGAGCGCTTTGAGGCCTACGGTGAAAAAGGAAATATCTTCCCATAAAAACTAGACAGAAGCATTCTCAGAAACTTGTTTGTGACGTGTGTATTCAACTAACAGAGTTGAACCTTTCTTTTTACAGAGCAGCTTTGAAACACGCTTTTTGTGGAATCTGCAATTGGAAATTTCGATAGTTCTGAGGATTTCGTTGGAAACGGGATTACAAATAGAAAGTAGACAGCAGCATTCTCAGAAACTGCTTTGTGATGTTTGCATTCAAGTCACCTAGTTGAACATTCCCTTTCATAGAGCAGGTTTGAATCACTGTTTCTGTCGTATCTGGAAGTGGATATTTCGAGCGTTTTCAGGCCTAAGGTGAGAAAGGAAATGTCTTCAAATAAGAACTAGACAGAAGCATTCTCAGAAACTTATTTGTGATGTGTGTCCTCAACTAACAGAGTTGAACCTTTCTTTTGACACAGCAGTTTGGAAACACTCTTTTTGTAGAATCTACAAGTGGATATTTTGAGAGCATTGAAAATTTCGTTGGAAACGGGAAAACCTTCATATAAAATCTAGACAGAAGCATTCTCAGAAACTTCTTTGTAATGTTTGCATTCAACTCATAGAGTTGAACATTCCCTTTCATACAGCAGGTTTGAAACACTCTTTTTGTAGTATGTGGAAGTGGACATTTGGAGCGCTTTGAGGCCTACGGTGAAAAAGGAAATATCTTCCCATAAAAACTAGACAGAAGCATTCTCAGAAACTTGTTTGTGACGTGTGTATTCAACTAACAGAGTTGAACCTTTCTTTTTACAGAGCAGCTTTGAAACCCTGTTTCTGTGGAATCTGCAATTGGAAATTTCGATAGTTCTGAGGATTTCGTTGGAAACGGGATTACAAATAGAAAGTAGACAGCAGCATTCTCAGAAACTGCTTTGTGATGTTTGCATTCAACTCACAGAGCTGAACATTCACTTTCATAGAGCAGGTATGAATCACTGTTTCTGTAGTATCTGGAAGTGGGTATTTCGAGCGCTTTCAGGCCTAAGGTGAGAAAGGAAATGTCTTCAAATAAGAACTAGACAGAAGCATTCTCAGAAACTTATTTGTGATGTGTGTCCTCAACTAACAGAGATGAACCTTTGTTTTGATACAGCAGTTTGGAAACACTCTTTTTGTAGAATCTACAAGAGGATATTTTGAGAGCATTGAAAATTTCGTTGGAAGCGGGAAAACCTTCATATAAAATCTAGACAGCAGCATTCTCAGAAACTTCTTTGTGATGTTTGCATTCAACTCATAGAGTTGAACATTCCCATTCATACAGCAGGTTTGAGACACTCTTTGTATAGCATGTGGAAATGGATATTTGGAGCGCTTTGAGGCCTATGGTGAAGAAGGAAATATCTTCCCAAAAAAACTAGACGAAGGCATTCTCACAATCTTGTTTGCCATGTGTGTACTCAACTAACAGAGTTGAACCTATCTTTTGACAGAGCAGTTTTGAAACACTCTTTTTGTGGAATCTGCAAGTGGATATTTGGATAGCTTCGAGGATTTCGTTGGAAACGGGAATATCCTCATTTAAAATCTAGACGGAAGCATTCTCAGAACCTGCTTTGTGATGTTTGCATTCAACTCACAGAGCTGAACATTCCCGTTCATAGAGCAGGTTTGAAACACTCTTTCTGTACTATCTGGAAGTGGACATTTCGAGCGCTTTCAGGCCTATGGTGAAAAAGGAAACATCTTCAAATAAAAACTAGACAGAAGCATTCTCAGAAACTTATTTGTGATGTGTGTCCTCAACTCACAGAGTTCAACCTTTGTTTTGATACAGCAGTTTGGAAACACTCTTTTTGTAGAATCTACAAATGGATATTTGGAGACCTTTGAAAATTTCGTTGGACACGGGAATATCTTCATATAAAATCTAGACAAAAGCATTCTCAGAATCTTCTTTGTGATATTTCCATTCAACTCATAGAGTTGAACATTCCCTTTCATACAGCACGTTTGAAACACACTTTGTGGAGTATGTGGAAATGGACATTTCGAGCACTCTTAGGCCTAAGGTGAAAAGGGAAATATCTTCAAATAAAAACTAGTCAGCAGCATTCTCAGAAACCTCTTTGTGATGTGTGTACTCAACTAACAGAGTTGAACCTTCCTTTTCACAGAGCAGTTTGGAAACACTCTTTTTGTGGCATTTGCAAGTGGATATTTGGATAGCTTTGAGGATTTCGTTGGAAACGGGAATATTTTCATATAAAATCTAGACAGAAGCATTCTCAGAATCTTCTTTGTGATGTATGCCCTCAATTCACAGAGTTGAACCTTTGTTTGGATACAGCATTTTGGAAACATTCCTTTTGTAGAATCTGCAAGTTGATATTTGGATAGCTTTGAGGATTTCGTTGGAAACGGGAATATCTACATATAAAATCTAGACAGAAGCATTCTCAGAAACCTCTTTGTAATGTTTGCATTCAACTCATAGGTTTCAACATTCCCTATCATAGAGCAGGTTTGAAACACTCTTTTTGTAGTATGTGGAAGTGGACATTTGGAGCGCTTTGAGGCCTACGGTGAAAAAGGAAATATCTTCCCATAAAAACTAGACAGAAGCATTCTCAGAAACTTGTTTGTGACGTGTGTATTCAACTAACAGAGTTGAACCTTTCTTTTTACAGAGCAGCTTTGAAACCCTGTTTCTGTGGAATCTGCAATTGGAAATTTCGATAGTTCTGAGGATTTCGTTGGAAACGGGATTACAAATAGAAAGTAGACAGCAGCATTCTCAGAAACTGCTTTGTGATGTTTGCATTCAAGTCACATAGTTGAACATTCCCTTTCATAGAGCAGGTTTGAATCACTGTTTCTGTAGTATCTGGAAGTGGGTATTTCGAGCGCTTTCAGGCCTAAGGTGAGAAAGGAAATGTCTTCAAATAAGAACTAGACAGAAGCATTCTCAGAAACTTATTTGTGATGTGTGTCCTCAACTAACAGAGATGAACCTTTGTTTTGATACAGCAGTTTGGAAACACTCTTTTTGTAGAATCTACAAGAGGATATTTTGAGAGCATTGAAAATTTCGTTGGAAGCGGGAAAACCTTCATATAAAATCTAGACAGCAGCATTCTCAGAAACTTCTTTGTGATGTTTGCATTCAACTCATAGAGTTGAACATTCCCATTCATACAGCAGGTTTGAGACACTCTTTGTATAGCATGTGGAAATGGATATTTGGAGCGCTTTGAGGCCTATGGTGAAGAAGGAAATATCTTCCCAAAAAAACTAGACGAAAGCATTCTCGGAATCTTGTTTGCCATGTGTGTACTCAACTAACAGAGTTGAACCTATCTTTTGACAGAGCAGTTTTGAAACACTCTTTTTGTGGAATCTGCAAGTGGATATTTGGATAGCTTCGAGGATTTCGTTGGAAACGGGAATATCCTCATTTAAAATCTAGACGGAAGCATTCTCAGAACCTGCTTTGTGATGTTTGCATTCAACTCACAGAGCTGAACATTCCCGTTCATAGAGCAGGTTTGAAACACTCTTTCTGTACTATCTGGAAGTGGACATTTCGAGCGCTTTCAGGCCTATGGTGAAAAAGGAAACATCTTCAAATAAAAACTAGACAGAAGCATTCTCAGAAACTTATTTGTGATGTGTGTCCTCAACTCACAGAGTTCAACCTTTGTTTTGATACAGCAGTTTGGAAACACTCTTTTTGTAGAATCTACAAATGGATATTTGGAGACCTTTGAAAATTTCGTTGGACACGGGAATATCTTCATATAAAATCTAGACAAAAGCATTCTCAGAATCTTCTTTGTGATGTTTGCATTCAACTCATAGAGTTGAACATTCCCTTTCATACAGCACGTTTGAAACACACTTTGTGGAGTATGTGGAAATGGACATTTCGAGCACTCTTAGGCCTAAGGTGAAAAGGGAAATATCTTCAAATAAAAACTAGTCAGCAGCATTCTCAGAAACCTCTTTGTGATGTGTGTACTCAACTAACAGAGTTGAACCTTCCTTTTCACAGAGCAGTTTGGAAACACTCTTTTTGTGGCATTTGCAAGTGGATATTTGGATAGCTTTGAGGATTTCGTTGGAAACGGGAATATTTTCATATAAAATCTAGACAGAAGCATTCTCAGAATCTTCTTTGTGATGTATGCCCTCAATTCACAGAGTTGAACCTTTGTTTGGATACAGCATTTTGGAAACATTCCTTTTGTAGAATCTGCAAGTTGATATTTGGATAGCTTTGAGGATTTCGTTGGAAACGGGAATATCTACATATAAAATCTAGACAGAAGCATTCTCAGAAACCTCTTTGTAATGCTTGCATTCAACTCATAGGTTTCAACATTCCCTATCATAGAGCAGGTTTGAAACACTCTTTTTGTAGTATGTGGAAGTGGACATTTGGAGCGCTTTGAGGCCTATGGTGAAAAAGGAAATATCTTCCCATAAAAACTAGACAGAAGCATTCTCAGAAACTTGTTTGTGACGTGTGTATTCAACTAACAGAGTTGAACCTTTCTTTTTACAGAGCAGCTTTGAAACCCTGTTTCTGTGGAATCTGCAATTGGAAATTTCGATAGTTCTGAGGATTTCGTTGGAAACGGGATTACAAATAGAAAGTAGACAGCAGCATTCTCAGAAACTGCTTTGTGATGTTTGCATTCAAGTCACATAGTTGAACATTCCCTTTCATAGAGCAGGTTTGAATCACTGTTTCTGTAGTATCTGGAAGTGGGTATTTCGAGCGCTTTCAGGCCTAAGGTGAGAAAGGAAATGTCTTCAAATAAGAACTAGACAGAAGCATTCTCAGAAACTTATTTGTGATGTGTGTCCTCAACTAACAGAGATGAACCTTTGTTTTGATACAGCAGTTTGGAAACACTCTTTTTGTAGAATCTACAAGAGGATATTTTGAGAGCATTGAAAATTTCGTTGGAAGCGGGAAAACCTTCATATAAAATCTAGACAGCAGCATTCTCAGAAACTTCTTTGTGATGTTTGCATTCAACTCATAGAGTTGAACATTCCCTTTCATACAGCAGGTTTGAAACACTCTTTTTGTAGTATGTGGAAGTGGACATTTGGAGCGCTTTGAGGCCTACGGTGAAAAAGGAAATATCTTCCCATAAAAACTAGACAGAAGCATTCTCAGAAACTTGTTTGTGACGTGTGTATTCAACTAACAGAGTTGAACCTTTCTTTTTACAGAGCAGCTTTGAAACCCTGTTTCTGTGGAATCTGCAATTGGAAATTTCGATAGTTCTGAGGATTTCGTTGGAAACGGGATTACAAATAGAAAGTAGACAGCAGCATTCTCAGAAACTGCTTTGTGATGTTTGCATTCAAGTCACCTAGTTGAACATTCCCTTTCATAGAGCAGGTTTGAATCACTGTTTCTGTAGTATCTGGAAGTGGGTATTTCGAGCGCTTTCAGGCCTAAGGTGAGAAAGGAAATGTCTTCAAATAAGAACTAGACAGAAGCATTCTCAGAAACTTATTTGTGATGTGTGTCCTCAACTAACAGAGATGAACCTTTGTTTTGATACAGCAGTTTGGAAACACTCTTTTTGTAGAATCTACAAGAGGATATTTTGAGAGCATTGAAAATTTCGTTGGAAGCGGGAAAACCTTCATATAAAATCTAGACAGCAGCATTCTCAGAAACTTCTTTGTGATGTTTGCATTCAACTCATAGAGTTGAACATTCCCATTCATACAGCAGGTTTGAGACACTCTTTGTATAGCATGTGGAAATGGATATTTGGAGCGCTTTGAGGCCTATGGTGAAGAAGGAAATATCTTCCCAAAAAAACTAGACGAAAGCATTCTCGGAATCTTGTTTGCCATGTGTGTACTCAACTAACAGAGTTGAACCTATCTTTTGACAGAGCAGTTTTGAAACACTCTTTTTGTGGAATCTGCAAGTGGATATTTGGATAGCTTCGAGGATTTCGTTGGAAACGGGAATATCCTCATTTAAAATCTAGACGGAAGCATTCTCAGAACCTGCTTTGTGATGTTTGCATTCAACTCACAGAGCTGAACATTCCCGTTCATAGAGCAGGTTTGAAACACTCTTTCTGTACTATCTGGAAGTGGACATTTCGAGCGCTTTCAGGCCTATGGTGAAAAAGGAAACATCTTCAAATAAAAACTAGACAGAAGCATTCTCAGAAACTTATTTGTGATGTGTGTCCTCAACTCACAGAGTTCAACCTTTGTTTTGATACAGCAGTTTGGAAACACTCTTTTTGTAGAATCTACAAATGGATATTTGGAGACCTTTGAAAATTTCGTTGGACACGGGAATATCTTCATATAAAATCTAGACAAAAGCATTCTCAGAATCTTCTTTGTGATGTTTGCATTCAACTCATAGCAGTTGAACATTCCCTTTCATACAGCACGTTTGAAACACACTTTGTGGAGTATGTGGAAATGGACATTTCGAGCACTCTTAGGCCTAAGGTGAAAAGGGAAATATCTTCAAATAAAAACTAGTCAGCAGCATTCTCAGAAACCTCTTTGTGATGTGTGTCCTCAACTAACAGAGTTGAACCTTTCCTTTGACACAGCAGATTGGAAACACTCTTTTTGTAGAATCTACAAGTGGATATTTTGAGAGCATTGAAAATTTCCTTGGAAACGGGAAAACCTTCATATAAAATCTAGACAGAAGCATTCTCAGAAACTTCTTTGTAATGTTTGCATTCAAGTCATAGAGTTGAACATTCCCTTTCATACAGCAGGTTTGAAACACTCTTTTTGTAGTATGTGGAAGTGGACATTTGGAGCGCTTTGAGGCCTACGGTGAAAAAGGAAATATCTTCCCATAAAAACTAGACAGAAGCATTCTCAGAAACTTGTTTGTGACGTGTGTATTCAACTAACAGAGTTGAACCTTTCTTTTTACAGAGCAGCTTTGAAACCCTGTTTCTGTGGAATCTGCAATTGGAAATTTCGATAGTTCTGAGGATTTCGTTGGAAACGGGATTACAAATAGAAAGTAGACAGCAGCATTCTCAGAAACTGCTTTGTGATGTTTGCATTCAACTCACAGAGCTGAACATTCACTTTCATAGAGCAGGTATGAATCACTGTTTCTGTAGTATCTGGAAGTGGGTATTTCGAGCGCTTTCAGGCCTAAGGTGAGAAAGGAAATGTCTTCAAATAAGAACTAGACAGAAGCATTCTCAGAAACTTATTTGTGATGTGTGTCCTCAACTAACAGAGATGAACCTTTGTTTTGATACAGCAGTTTGGAAACACTCTTTTTGTAGAATCTACAAGAGGATATTTTGAGAGCATTGAAAATTTCGTTGGAAGCGGGACAACCTTCATATAAAATCTAGACAGCAGCATTCTCAGAAACTTCTTTGTGATGTTTGCATTCAACTCATAGAGTTGAACATTCCCATTCATACAGCAGGTTTGAGACACTCTTTGTATAGCATGTGGAAATGGATATTTGGAGCGCTTTGAGGCCTATGGTGAAGAAGGAAATATCTTCCCAAAAAAACTAGACGAAAGCATTCTCGGAATCTTGTTTGCCATGTGTGTACTCAACTAACAGAGTTGAACCTATCTTTTGACAGAGCAGTTTTGAAACACTCTTTTTGTGGAATCTGCAAGTGGATATTTGGATAGCTTCGAGGATTTCTTTGGAAACGGGAATATCCTCATTTAAAATCTAGACGGAAGCATTCTCAGAACCTGCTTTGTGATGTTTGCATTCAACTCACAGAGCTGAACATTCCCGTTCATAGAGCAGGTTTGAAACACTCTTTCTGTACTATCTGGAAGTGGACATTTCGAGCGCTTTCAGGCCTATGGTGAAAAAGGAAACATCTTCAAATAAAAACTAGACAGAAGCATTCTCAGAAACTTATTTGTGATGTGTGTCCTCAACTCACAGAGTTCAACCTTTGTTTTGATACAGCAGTTTGGAAACACTCTTTTTGTAGAATCTACAAATGGATATTTGGAGACCTTTGAAAATTTCGTTGGACACGGGAATATCTTCATATAAAATCTAGACAAAAGCATTCTCAGAATCTTCTTTGTGATGTTTGCATTCAACTCATAGAGTTGAACATTCCCTTTCATACAGCACGTTTGAAACACACTTTGTGGAGTATGTGGAAATGTACATTTCGAGCACTCTTAGGCCTAAGGTGAAAAGGGAAATATCGTCAAATAAAAACTAGTCAGCAGCATTCTCAGAAACCTCTTTGTGATGTGTGTCCTCAACTAACAGAGTTGAACCTTTCTTTTGACACAGCAGATTGGAAACACTCTTTTTGTAGAATCTACAAGTGGATATTTTGAGAGCATTGAAAATTTCCTTGGAAACGGGAAAACCTTCATATAAAATCTAGACAGAAGCATTCTCAGAAACTTCTTTGTAATGTTTGCATTCAACTCATAGAGTTGAACATTCCCTTTCATACAGCAGGTTTGAAACACTCTTTTTGTAGTATGTGGAAGTGGACATTTGGAGCGCTTTGAGGTCTACGGTGAAAAAGGAAATATCTTCCCATAAAAACTAGACAGAAGCATTCTCAGAAACTTGTTTGTGACGTGTGTATTCAACTAACAGAGTTGAACCTTTCTTTTTACAGAGCAGCTTTGAAACCCTGTTTCTGTGGAATCTGCAATTGGAAATTTCGATAGTTCTGAGGATTTCGTTGGAAACGGGATTACAAATACAAAGTAGACAGCAGCATTCTCAGAAACTGCTTTGTGATGTTTGCATTCAAGTCACCTAGTTGAACATTCCCTTTTATAGAGCAGGTTTGAATCACAGTTTCTGTCGTATCTGGAAGTGGATATTTCGAGCGTTTTCAGGCCTAAGGTGAGAAAGGAAATGTCTTCAAATAAGAACTAGACAGAAGCATTCTCAGAAACTTATTTGTGATGTGTGTCCTCAACTAACAGAGATGAACCTTTGTTTTGATACAGCAGTTTGGAAACACTCTTTTTGTAGAATCTACAAGAGGATATTTTGAGAGCATTGAAAATTTCGTTGGAAGCGGGAAAACCTTCATATAAAATCTAGACAGCAGCATTCTCAGAAACTTCTTTGTGATGTTTGCATTCAACTCATAGAGTTGAACATTCCCATTCATACAGCAGGTTTGAGACACTCTTTGTATAGCATGTGGAAATGGATATTTGGAGCGCTTTGAGGCCTATGGTGAAGAAGGAAATATCTTCCCAAAAAAACTAGACGAAAGCATTCTCGGAATCTTGTTTGCCATGTGTGTACTCAACTAACAGAGTTGAACCTATCTTTTGACAGAGCAGTTTTGAAACACTCTTTTTGTGGAATCTGCAAGTGGATATTTGGATAGCTTCGAGGATTTCGTTGGAAACGGGAATATCCTCATTTAAAATCTAGACGGAAGCATTCTCAGAACCTGCTTTGTGATGTTTGCATTCAACTCACAGAGCTGAACATTCCCGTTCATAGAGCAGGTTTGAAACACTCTTTCTGTACTATCTGGAAGTGGACATTTGGAGCGCTTTCAGGCCTATGGTGAAAAAGGAAACATCTTCAAATAAAAACTAGACAGAAGCATTCTCAGAAACTTATTTGTGATGTGTGTCCTCAACTCACAGAGTTCAACCTTTGTTTTGATACAGCAGTTTGGAAACACTCTTTTTGTAGAATCTACAAATGGATATTTGGAGACCTTTGAAAATTTCGTTGGACACGGGAATATCTTCATATAAAATCTAGACAAAAGCATTCTCAGAATCTTCTTTGTGATGTTTGCATTCAACTCATAGAGTTGAACATTCCCTTTCATACAGCACGTTTGAAACACACTTTGTGGAGTATGTGGAAATGGACATTTCGAGCACTCTTAGGCCTAAGGTGAAAAGGGAAATATCTTCAAATAAAAACTAGTCAGCAGCATTCTCAGAAACCTCTTTGTGATGTGTGTACTCAACTAACAGAGTTGAACCTTCCTTTTCACAGAGCAGTTTGGAAACACTCTTTTTGTGGCATTTGCAAGTGGATATTTGGATAGCTTTGAGGATTTCGTTGGAAACGGGAATATTTTCATATAAAATCTAGACAGAAGCATTCTCAGAATCTTCTTTGTGATGTATGCCCTCAATTCACAGAGTTGAACCTTTGTTTGGATACAGCATTTTGGAAACATTCCTTTTGTAGAATCTGCAAGTTGATATTTGGATAGCTTTGAGGATTTCGTTGGAAACGGGAATATCTACATATAAAATCTAGACAGAAGCATTCTCAGAAACTTCTTTGTAATGTTTGCATTCAACTCATAGAGTTGAACATTCCCTTTCATACAGCAGGTTTGAAACACTCTTTTTGTAGTATGTGGAAGTGGACATTTGGAGCGCTTTGAGGCCTACGGTGAAAAAGGAAATATCTTCCCATAAAAACTAGACAGAAGCATTCTCAGAAACTTGTTTGTGACGTGTGTATTCAACTAACAGAGTTGAACCTTTCTTTTTACAGAGCAGCTTTGAAACCCTGTTTCTGTGGAATCTGCAATTGGAAATTTCGATAGTTCTGAGGATTTCGTTGGAAACGGGATTACAAATAGAAAGTAGACAGCAAGCATTCTCAGAAACTGCTTTGTGATGTTTGCATTCAAGTCACCTAGTTGAACATTCCCTTTCATAGAGCAGGTTTGAATCACTGTTTCTGTCGTATCTGGAAGTGGATATTTCGAGCGTTTTCAGGCCTAAGGTGAGAAAGGAAATGTCTTCAAATAAGAACTAGACAGAAGCATTCTCAGAAACTTATTTGTGATGTGTGTCCTCAACTAACAGAGATGAACCTTTGTTTTGATACAGCAGTTTGGAAACACTCTTTTTGTAGAATCTACAAGAGGATATTTTGAGAGCATTGAAAATTTCGTTGGAAGCGGGAAAACCTTCATATAAAATCTAGACAGCAGCATTCTCAGAAACTTCTTTGTGATGTTTGCATTCAACTCATAGAGTTGAACATTCCCATTCATACAGCAGGTTTGAGACACTCTTTGTATAGCATGTGGAAATGGATATTTGGAGCGCTTTGAGGCCTATGGTGAAGAAGGAAATATCTTCCCAAAAAAACTAGACGAAAGCATTCTCGCAATCTTGTTTGCCATGTGTGTACTCAACTAACAGAGTTGAACCTATCTTTTGACAGAGCAGTTTTGAAACACTCTTTTTGTGGAATCTGCAAGTGGATATTTGGATAGCTTCGAGGATTTCGTTGGAAACGGGAATATCCTCATTTAAAATCTAGACGGAAGCATTCTCAGAACCTGCTTTGTGATGTTTGCATTCAACTCACAGAGCTGAACATTCCCGTTCATGGAGCAGGTTTGAAACACTCTTTCTGTACTATCTGGAAGTGGACATTTCGAGCGCTTTCAGGCCTATGGTGAAAAAGGAAACATCTTCAAATAAAAACTAGACAGAAGCATTCTCAGAAACTTATTTGTGATGTGTGTCCTCAACTCACAGAGTTCAACCTTTGTTTTGATACAGCAGTTTGGAAACACTCTTTTTGTAGAATCTACAAATGGATATTTGGAGACCTTTGAAAATTTCGTTGGACACGGGAATATCTTCATATAAAATCTAGACAAAAGCATTCTCAGAATCTTCTTTGTGATGTTTGCATTCAACTCATAGAGTTGAACATTCCCTTTCATACAGCACGTTTGAAACACACTTTGTGGAGTATGTGGAAATGGACATTTCGAGCACTCTTAGGCCTAAGGTGAAAAGGGAAATATCTTCAAATAAAAACTAGTCAGCAGCATTCTCAGAAACCTCTTTGTGATGTGTGTACTCAACTAACAGAGTTGAACCTTCCTTTTCACAGAGCAGTTTGGAAACACTCTTTTTGTGGCATTTGCAAGTGGATATTTGGATAGCTTTGAGGATTTCGTTGGAAACGGGAATATTTTCATATAAAATCTAGACAGAAGCATTCTCAGAATCTTCTTTGTGATGTATGCCCTCAATTCACAGAGTTGAACCTTTGTTTGGATACAGCATTTTGGAAACATTCCTTTTGTAGAATCTGCAAGTTGATATTTGGATAGCTTTGAGGATTTCGTTGGAAACGGGAATATCTACATATAAAATCTAGACAGAAGCATTCTCAGAAACCTCTTTGTAATGCTTGCATTCAACTCATAGGTTTCAACATTCCCTATCATAGAGCAGGTTTGAAACACTCTTTTTGTAGTATGTGGAAGTGGACATTTGGAGCGCTTTGAGGCCTACGGTGAAAAAGGAAATATCTTCCCATAAAAACTAGACAGAAGCATTCTCAGAAACTTGTTTGTGACGTGTGTATTCAACTAACAGAGTTGAACCTTTCTTTTTACAGAGCAGCTTTGAAACACGCTTTTTGTGGAATCTGCAATTGGAAATTTCGATAGTTCTGAGGATTTCGTTGGAAACGGGATTACAAATAGAAAGTAGACAGCAGCATTCTCAGAAACTGCTTTGTGATGTTTGCATTCAAGTCACATAGTTGAACATTCCCTTTCATAGAGCAGGTTTGAATCACTGTTTCTGTAGTATCTGGAAGTGGGTATTTCGAGCGCTTTCAGGCCTAAGGTGAGAAAGGAAATGTCTTCAAATAAGAACTAGACAGAAGCATTCTCAGAAACTTATTTGTGATGTGTGTCCTCAACTAACAGAGATGAACCTTTGTTTTGATACAGCAGTTTGGAAACACTCTTTTTGTAGAATCTACAAGAGGATATTTTGAGAGCATTGAAAATTTCGTTGGAAGCGGGAAAACCTTCATATAAAATCTAGACAGAAGCATTCTCAGAAACTTCTTTGTGATGTTTGCATTCAACTCATAGAGTTGAACATTCCCATTCATACAGCAGGTTTGAGACACTCTTTGTATAGCATGTGGAAATGGATATTTGGAGCGCTTTGAGGCCTATGGTGAAGAAGGAAATATCTTCCCAAAAAAACTAGACGAAAGCATTCTCGCAATCTTGTTTGCCATGTGTGTACTCAACTAACAGAGTTGAACCTATCTTTTGACAGAGCAGTTTTGAAACACTCTTTTTGTGGAATCTGCAAGTGGATATTTGGATAGCTTCGAGGATTTCGTTGGAAACGGGAATATCCTCATTTAAAATCTAGACGGAAGCATTCTCAGAACCTGCTTTGTGATGTTTGCATTCAACTCACAGAGCTGAACATTCCCGTTCATAGAGCAGGTTTGAAACACTCTTTCTGTACTATCTGGAAGTGGACATTTCGAGCGCTTTCAGGCCTATGGTGAAAAAGGAAACATCTTCAAATAAAAACTAGACAGAAGCATTCTCAGAAACTTATTTGTGATGTGTGTCCTCAACTCACAGAGTTCAACCTTTGTTTTGATACAGCAGTTTGGAAACACTCTTTTTGTAGAATCTACAAATGGATATTTGGAGACCTTTGAAAATTTCGTTGGACACGGGAATATCTTCATATAAAATCTAGACAAAAGCATTCTCAGAATCTTCTTTGTGATGTTTGCATTCAACTCATAGAGTTGAACATTCCCTTTCATACAGCACGTTTGAAACACACTTTGTGGAGTATGTGGAAATGGACATTTCGAGCACTCTTAGGCCTAAGGTGAAAAGGGAAATATCTTCAAATAAAAACTAGTCAGCAGCATTCTCAGAAACCTCTTTGTGATGTGTGTACTCAACTAACAGAGTTGAACCTTCCTTTTCACAGAGCAGTTTGGAAACACTCTTTTTGTGGCATTTGCAAGTGGATATTTGGATAGCTTTGAGGATTTCGTTGGAAACGGGAATATTTTCATATAAAATCTAGACAGAAGCATTCTCAGAATCTTCTTTGTGATGTATGCCCTCAATTCACAGAGTTGAACCTTTGTTTGGATACAGCATTTTGGAAACATTCCTTTTGTAGAATCTGCAAGTTGATATTTGGATAGCTTTGAGGATTTCGTTGGAAACGGGAATATCTACATATAAAATCTAGACAGAAGCATTCTCAGAAACCTCTTTGTAATGCTTGCATTCAACTCATAGGTTTCAACATTCCCTATCATAGAGCAGGTTTGAAACACTCTTTTTGTAGTATGTGGAAGTGGACATTTGGAGCGCTTTGAGGCCTACCGTGAAAAAGGAAATATCTTCCCATAAAAACTAGACAGAAGCATTCTCAGAAACTTGTTTGTGACGTGTGTATTCAACTAACAGAGTTGAACCTTTCTTTTTACAGAGCAGCTTTGAAACCCTGTTTCTGTGGAATCTGCAATTGGAAATTTCGATAGTTCTGAGGATTTCGTTGGAAACGGGATTACAAATAGAAAGTAGACAGCAGCATTCTCAGAAACTGCTTTGTGATGTTTGCATTCAAGTCACATAGTTGAACATTCCCTTTCATAGAGCAGGTTTGAATCACTGTTTCTGTAGTATCTGGAAGTGGGTATTTCGAGCGCTTTCAGGCCTAAGGTGAGAAAGGAAATGTCTTCAAATAAGAACTAGACAGAAGCATTCTCAGAAACTTATTTGTGATGTGTGTCCTCAACTAACAGAGATGAACCTTTGTTTTGATACAGCAGTTTGGAAACACTCTTTTTGTAGAATCTACAAGAGGATATTTTGAGAGCATTGAAAATTTCGTTGGAAGCGGGAAAACCTTCATATAAAATCTAGACAGCAGCATTCTCAGAAACTTCTTTGTGATGTTTGCATTCAACTCATAGAGTTGAACATTCCCATTCATACAGCAGGTTTGAGACACTCTTTGTATAGCATGTGGAAATGGATATTTGGAGCGCTTTGAGGCCTATGGTGAAGAAGGAAATATCGTCCCAAAAAAACTAGACGAAAGCATTCTCGGAATCTTGTTTGCCATGTGTGTACTCAACTAACAGAGTTGAACCTATCTTTTGACAGAGCAGTTTTGAAACACTCTTTTTGTGGAATCTGCAAGTGGATATTTGGATAGCTTCGAGGATTTCGTTGGAAACGGGAATATCCTCATTTAAAATCTAGACGGAAGCATTCTCAGAACCTGCTTTGTGATGTTTGCATTCAACTCACAGAGCTGAACATTCCCGTTCATAGAGCAGGTTTGAAACACTCTTTCTGTACTATCTGGAAGTGGACATTTCGAGCGCTTTCAGGCCTATGGTGAAAAAGGAAACATCTTCAAATAAAAACTAGACAGAAGCATTCTCAGAAACTTATTTGTGATGTGTGTCCTCAACTCACAGAGTTCAACCTTTGTTTTGATACAGCAGTTTGGAAACACTCTTTTTGTAGAATCTACAAATGGATATTTGGAGACCTTTGAAAATTTCGTTGGACACGGGAATATCTTCATATAAAATCTAGACAAAAGCATTCTCAGAATCTTCTTTGTGATGTTTGCATTCAACACATAGAGTTGAACATTCCCTTTCATACAGCACGTTTGAAACACACTTTGTGGAGTATGCGGAAATGGACATTTCGAGCACTCTTAGGCCTAAGGTGAAAAGGGAAATATCTTCAAATAAAAACTAGTCAGCAGCATTCTCAGAAACCTCTTTGTGATGTGTGTACTCAACTAACAGAGTTGAACCTTCCTTTTCACAGAGCAGTTTGGAAACACTCTTTTTGTAGAATCTACAAGTGGATATTTGGATAGCTTTGAGGATTTCGTTGGAAACGGGAATATTTTCATATAAAATCTAGACAGAAGCATTCTCAGAATCTTCTTTGTGATGTATGCCCTCAATTCACAGAGTTGAACCTTTGTTTGGATACAGCATTTTGGAAACATTCCTTTTGTAGAATCTGCAAGTTGATATTTGGATAGTTTGAGGATTTCGTTGGAAACGGGAATATCTACATATAAAATCTAGACAGAAGCATTCTCAGAAACCTCTTTGTAATGCTTGCATTCAACTCATAGGTTTCAACATTCCCTATCATAGAGCAGGTTTGAAACACTCTTTTTGTAGTATGTGGAAGTGGACATTTGGAGCGCTTTGAGGCCTACGGTGAAAAAGGAAATATCTTCCCATAAAAACTAGACAGAAGCATTCTCAGAAACTTGTTTGTGACGTGTGTATTCAACTAACAGAGTTGAACCTTTCTTTTTACAGAGCAGCTTTGAAACCCTGTTTCTGTGGAATCTGCAATTGGAAATTTCGATAGTTCTGAGGATTTCGTTGCAAACGGGATTACAAATAGAAAGTAGACAGCAGCATTCTCAGAAACTGCTTTGTGATGTTTGCATTCAAGTCACCTAGTTGAACATTCCCTTTCATAGAGCAGGTTTGAATCACTGTTTCTGTAGTATCTGGAAGTGGGTATTTCGAGCGCTTTCAGGCCTAAGGTGAGAAAGGAAATGTCTTCAAATAAGAACTAGACAGAAGCATTCTCAGAAACTTATTTGTGATGTGTGTCCTCAACTAACAGAGATGAACCTTTGTTTTGATACAGCAGTTTGGAAACACTCTTTTTGTAGAATCTACAAGAGGATATTTTGAGAGCATTGAAAATTTCGTTGGAAGCGGGAAAACCTTCATATAAAATCTAGACAGCAGCATTCTCAGAAACTTCTTTGTGATGTTTGCATTCAACTCATAGAGTTGAACATTCCCATTCATACAGCAGGTTTGAGACACTCTTTGTATAGCATGTGGAAATGGATATTTGGAGCGCTTTGAGGCCTATGGTGAAGAAGGAAATATCTTCCCAAAAAAACTAGACGAAAGCATTCTCGCAATCTTGTTTGCCATGTGTGTACTCAACTAAACAGAGTTGAACCTATCTTTTGACAGAGCAGTTTTGAAACACTCTTTTTGTGGAATCTGCAAATGGATATTTGGATAGCTTCGAGGATTTCCTTGGAAACGGGAATATCCTCATATAAAATCTAGACGGAAGCATTCTCAGAACCTGCTTTGTGATGTTTGCATTCAACTCACAGAGCTGAACATTCCCGTTCATAGAGCAGGTTTGAAACACTCTTTCTGTACTATCTGGAAGTGGACATTTCGAGCGCTTTCAGGCCTATGGTGAAAAAGGAAACATCTTCAAATAAAAACTAGACAGAAGCATTCTCAGAAACTTATTTGTGATGTGTGTCCTCAACTCACAGAGTTCAACCTTTGTTTTGATACAGCAGTTTGGAAACACTCTTTTTGTAGAATCTACAAATGGATATTTGGAGACCTTTGAAAATTTCGTTGGACACGGGAATATCTTCATATAAAATCTAGACAAAAGCATTCTCAGAATCTTCTTTGTGATGTTTGCATTCAACTCATAGAGTTGAACATTCCCTTTCATACAGCACGTTTGAAACACACTTTGTGGAGTATGTGGAAATGGACATTTCGAGCACTCTTAGGCCTAAGGTGAAAAGGGAAATATCTTCAAATAAAAACTAGTCAGCAGCATTCTCAGAAACCTCTTTGTGATGTGTGTACTCAACTAACAGAGTTGAACCTTCCTTTTCACAGAGCAGTTTGGAAACACTCTTTTTGTGGCATTTGCAAGTGGATATTTGGATAGCTTTGAGGATTTCGTTGGAAACGGGAATATTTTCATATAAAATCTAGACAGAAGCATTCTCAGAATCTTCTTTGTGATGTATGCCCTCAATTCACAGAGTTAAACCTTTGTTTGGATACAGCATTTTGGAAACATTCCTTTTGTAGAATCTGCAAGTTGATATTTGGATAGTTTGAGGATTTCGTTGGAAACGGGAATATCTATCTACATATAAAATCTAGACAGAAGCATTCTCAGAAACCTCTTTGTAATGCTTGCATTCAACTCATAGGTTTCAACATTCCCTATCATAGAGCAGGTTTGAAACACTCTTTTTGTAGTATGTGGAAGTGGACATTTGGAGCGCTTTGAGGCCTACGGTGAAAAAGGAAATATCTTCCCATAAAAACTAGACAGAAGCATTCTCAGAAACTTGTTTGTGACGTGTGTATTCAACTAACAGAGTTGAACCTTTCTTTTTACAGAGCAGCTTTGAAACACGCTTTTTGTGGAATCTGCAATTGGAAATTTCGATAGTTCTGAGGATTTCGTTGGAAACGGGATTACAAATAGAAAGTAGACAGCAGCATTCTCAGAAACTGCTTTGTGATGTTTGCATTCAAGTCACCTAGTTGAACATTCCCTTTCATAGAGCAGGTTTGAATCACTGTTTCTGTCGTATCTGGAAGTGGATATTTCGAGCGTTTTCAGGCCTAAGGTGAGAAAGGAAATGTCTTCAAATAAGAACTAGACAGAAGCATTCTCAGAAACTTATTTGTGATGTGTGTCCTCAACTAACAGAGTTGAACCTTTCTTTTGACACAGCAGTTTGGAAACACTCTTTTTGTAGAATCTACAAGTGGATATTTTGAGAGCATTGAAAATTTCGTTGGAAACGGGAAAACCTTCATATAAAATCTAGACAGAAGCATTCTCAGAAACTTCTTTGTAATGTTTGCATTCAACTCATAGAGTTGAACATTCCCTTTCATACAGCAGGTTTGAAACACTCTTTTTGTAGTATGTGGAAGTGGACATTTGGAGCGCTTTGAGGCCTACGGTGAAAAAGGAAATATCTTCCCATAAAAACTAGACAGAAGCATTCTCAGAAACTTGTTTGTGACGTGTGTATTCAACTAACAGAGTTGAACCTTTCTTTTTACAGAGCAGCTTTGAAACCCTTTTTCTGTGGAATCTGCAATTGGAAATTTCGATAGGTCTGAGGATTTCGTTGGAAACGGGATTACAAATAGAAAGTAGACAGCAGCATTCTCAGAAACTGCTTTGTGATGTTTGCATTCAAGTCACATAGTTGAACATGTCCTTTCATAGAGCAGGTTTGAATCACTGTTTCTGTAGTATCTGGAAGTGGGTATTTTGAGCGCTTTCAGGCCTAAGGTGAGAAAGGAAATGTCGTCAAATAAGAACTAGACAGAAGCATTCTCAGAAACTTATTTGTGATGTGTGTCCTCAACTAACAGAGTTGAACCTTTCTTTTGACACAGCAGTTTGGAAACACTCTTTTTGTAGAATATACAAGAGGATATTTTCAGAGCATTGAAAATTTCGTTGGAAGCGGGAAAACCTTCATATAAAATCTAGACAGCAGCATTCTCAGAAACTTCTTTGTGATGTTTGCATTCAACTCATAGAGTTGAACATTCCCATTCATACAGCAGGTTTGAGACACTCTTTGTATAGCATGTGGAAATGGATATTTGGAGCGCTTTGAGGCCTATGGTGAAGAAGGAAATATCTTCCCAAAAAAACTAGACGAAAGCATTCTCGGAATCTTGTTTGCCATGTGTGTACTCAACTAACAGAGTAGAACCTATCTTTTGACAGAGCAGTTTTGAAACACTCTTTTTGTGGAATCTGCAAGTGGATATTTGGATAGCTTCGAGGATTTCGTTGGAAACGGGAATATCCTCATTTAAAATCTAGACGGAAGCATTCTCATAACCTGCTTTGTGATGTTTGCATTCAACTCACAGAGCTGAACATTCCCGTTCATAGAGCAGGTTTGAAACACTCTTTCTGTACTATCTGGAAGTGGACATTTCGAGCGCTTTCAGGCCTATGGTGAAAAAGGAAATATCTTCAAATAAAAACTAGACAGAAGCATTCTCAGAAACTTATTTGTGATGTGTGTCCTCAACTCACAGAGTTCAACCTTTGTTTTGATACAGCAGTTTGGAAACACTCTTTTTGTAGAAACTACAAATGGATATTTGGAGACCTTTGAAAATTTCGTTGGACACGGGAATATCTTCATATAAAATCTAAACAAAAGCATTCTCAGAATCTTCTTTGTGATGTTTGCATTCAACTCATAGAGTTGAACATTCCCTTTCATACAGCACGTTTGAAACACACTTTGTGGAGTATGTGGAAATGGACATTTCGAGCACTCTTAGGCCTAAGGTGAAAAGAGAAATATCTTCAAATAAAAACTAGTCAGCAGCATTCTCAGAAACCTCTTTGTGATGTGTGTACTCAACTAACAGAGTTGAACCTTCCTTTTCACAGAGCAGTTTGGAAACACTCTTTTTGTGGCATTTGCAAGTGGATATTTGGATAGCTTTGAGGATTTCGTTGGAAACGGGAATATTTTCATATAAAATCTAGACAGAAGCATTCTCAGAATCTTCTTTGTGATGTATGCCCTCAATTCACAGAGTTGAACCTTTGTTTGGATACAGCATTTTGGAAACATTCCTTTTGTAGAATCTGCAAGTTGATATTTGGATAGCTTTGAGGATTTCGTTGGAAACGGGAATATCTACATATAAAATCTAGACAGAAGCATTCTCAGAAACCTCTTTGTAATGCTTGCATTCAACTCATAGGTTTCAACATTCCCTATCATAGAGCAGGTTTGAAACACTCTTTTTGTAGTATGTGGAAGTGGACATTTGGAGCGCTTTGAGGCCTACGGTGAAAAAGGAAATATCTTCCCATAAAAACTAGACAGAAGCATTCTCAGAAACTTGTTTGTGACGTGTGTATTCAACTAACAGAGTTGAACCTTTCTTTTTACAGAGCAGCTTTGAAACACGCTTTTTGTGGAATCTGCAATTGGAAATTTCGATAGTTCTGAGGATTTCGTTGGAAACGGGATTACAAATAGAAAGTAGACAGCAGCATTCTCAGAAACTGCTTTGTGATGTTTGCATTCAAGTCACCTAGTTGAACATTCCCTTTCATAGAGCAGGTTTGAATCACTGTTTCTGTCGTATCTGGAAGTGGATATTTCGAGCGTTTTCAGGCCTAAGGTGAGAAAGGAAATGTCTTCAAATAAGAACTAGACAGAAGCATTATCAGAAACTTATTTGTGATGTGTGTCCTCAACTAACAGAGTTGAACCTTTCTTTTGACACAGCAGTTTGGAAACACTCTTTTTGTAGAATCTACAAGTGGATATTTTGAGAGCATTGAAAATTTCGTTGGAAACGGGAAAACCTTCATATAAAATCTAGACAGAAGCATTCTCAGAAACTTCTTTGTAAAGTTTGCATTCAACTCACAGAGTTGAACATTCCCTTTCATACAGCAGGTTTGAAACACTCTTTTTGTAGTATGTGGAAGTGGACATTTGGAGCGCTTTGAGGCCTACGGTGAAAAAGGAAATATCTTCCCATAAAAACTAGACAGAAGCATTCTCAGAAACTTGTTTGTGACGTGTGTATTCAACTAACAGAGTTGAACCTTTCTTTTTACAGAGCAGCTTTGAAACCCTGTTTCTGTGGAATCTGCAATTGGAAATTTCGATAGTTCTGAGGATTTCGTTGGAAACGGGATTACAAATAGAAAGTAGACAGCAGCATTCTCAGAAACTGCTTTGTGATGTTTGCATTCAAGTCACATAGTTGAACATTCCCTTTCATAGAGCAGGTTTGAATCACTGTTTCTGTAGTATCTGGAAGTGGGTATTTCGAGCGCTTTCAGGCCTAAGGTGAGAAAGGAAATGTCTTCAAATAAGAACTAGACAGAAGCATTCTCAGAAACTTATTTGTGATGTGTGTCCTCAACTAACAGAGATGAACCTTTGTTTTGATACAGCAGTTTGGAAACACTCTTTTTGTAGAATCTACAAGAGGATATTTTGAGAGCATTGAAAATTTCGTTGGAAGCGGGAAACCTTCATATAAAATCTAGACAGCAGCATTCTCAGAAACTTCTTTGTGATGTTTGCATTCAACTCATAGAGTTGAACATTCCCATTCATACAGCAGTTTTGAGACACTCTTTGTATAGCATGTGGAAATGGATATTTGGAGCGCTTTGAGGCCTATGGTGAAGAAGGAAATATCTTCCCAAAAAAACTAGACGAAAGCATTCTCGCAATCTTGTTTGCCATGTGTGTACTCAACTAACAGAGTTGAACCTATCTTTTGACAGAGCAGTTTTGAAACACTCTTTTTGTGGAATCTGCAAGTGGATATTTGGATAGCTTCGAGGATTTCGTTGGAAACGGGAATATCCTCATTTAAAATCTAGACGGAAGCATTCTCAGAACCTGCTTTGTGATGTTTGCATTCAACTCACAGAACTGAACATTCCCGTTCATAGAGCAGGTTTGAAACACTCTTTCTGTACTATCTGGAAGTGGACATTTCGAGCGCTTTCAGGCCTATGGTGAAAAAGGAAACATCTTCAAATAAAAACTAGACAGAAGCATTCTCAGAAACTTATTTGTGATGTGTGTCCTCAACTCACAGAGTTCAACCTTTGTTTTGATACAGCAGTTTGGAAACACTCTTTTTGTAGAATCTACAAATGGATATTTGGAGACCTTTGAAAATTTCGTTGGACACGGGAATATCTTCATATAAAATCTAGACAAAAGCATTCTCAGAATCTTCTTTGTGATGTTTGCATTCAACTCATAGAGTTGAACGTTCCCTTTCATACAGCACGTTTGAAAGACACTTTGTGGAGTATGTGGAAATGGACATTTCGAGCACTCTTAGGCCTAAGGTGAAAAGGGAAATATCTTCAAATAAAAACTAGTCAGCAGCATTCTCAGAAACCTCTTTGTGATGTGTGTACTCAACTAACAGAGTTGAACCTTCCTTTTCACAGAGCAGTTTGGAAACACTCTTTTTGTGGCATTTGCAAGTGGATATTTGGATAGCTTTGAGGATTTCGTTGGAAACGGGAATATTTTCATATAAAATCTAGACAGAAGCATTCTCAGAATCTTCTTTGTGATGTATGCCCTCAATTCACAGAGTTGAACCTTTGTTTGGATACAGCATTTTGGAAACATTCCTTTTGTAGAATCTGCAAGTTGATATTTGGATAGTTTGAGGATTTCGTTGGAAACGGGAATATCTACATATAAAATCTAGACAGAAGCATTCTCAGAAACTTCTTTGTAATGTTTGCATTCAACTCATAGAGTTGAACATTCCCTTTCATACAGCAGGTTTGAAACACTCTTTTTGTAGTATGTGGAAGTGGACATTTGGAGCGCTTTGAGGCCTACGGTGAAAAAGGAAATATCTTCCCATAAAAACTAGACAGAAGCATTCTCAGAAACTTGTTTGTGACGTGTGTATTCAACTAACAGAGTTGAACCTTTCTTTTTACAGAGCAGCTTTGAAACCCTGTTTCTGTGGAATCTGCAATTGGAAATTTCGATAGTTCTGAGGATTTCGTTGGAAACGGGATTACAAATTGAAAGTAGACAGCAGCATTCTCAGAAACTGCTTTGTGATGTTTGCATTCAAGTCACATAGTTGAACATTCCCTTTCATAGAGCAGGTTTGAATCACTGTTTCTGTAGTATCTGGAAGTGGGTATTTCGAGCGCTTTCAGGCCTAAGGTGAGAAAGGAAATGTCTTCAAATAAGAACTAGACAGAAGCATTCTCAGAAACTTATTTGTGATGTGTGTCCTCACCTAACAGAGATGAACCTTTGTTTTGATACAGCAGTTTGGAAACACTCTTTTTGTAGAATCTACAAGAGGATATTTTGAGAGCATTGAAAATTTCGTTGGAAGCGGGAAAACCTTCATATAAAATCTAGACAGCAGCATTCTCAGAAACTTCTTTGTGATGTTTGCATTCAACTCATAGAGTTGAACATTCCCATTCATACAGCAGGTTTGAGACACTCTTTGTATAGCATGTGGAAATGGATATTTGGAGCGCTTTGAGGCCTATGGTGAAGAAGGAAATATCTTCCCAAAAAAACTAGACGAAAGCATTCTCGCAATCTTGTTTGCCATGTGTGTACTCAACTAACAGAGTTGAACCTATCTTTTGACAGAGCAGTTTTGAAACACTCTTTCTGTGGAATCTGCAAGTGGATATTTGGATAGCTTCGAGGATTTCGTTGGAAACGGGAATATCCTCATTTAAAATCTAGACGGAAGCATTCTCAGAACCTGCTTTGTGATGTTTCCATTCAACTCACAGAGCTGAACATTCCCGTTCATAGAGCAGGTTTGAAACACTCTTTCTGTACTATCTGGAAGTGGACATTTCGAGCGCTTTCAGGCCTATGGTGAAAAAGGAAACATCTTCAAATAAAAACTAGACAGAAGCATTCTCAGAAACTTATTTGTGATGTGTGTCCTCAACTCACAGAGTTCAACCTTTGTTTTGATACAGCAGTTTGGAAACACTCTTTTTGTAGAATCTACAAATGGATATTTGGAGACCTTTGAAAATTTCGTTGGACACGGGAATATCTTCATATAAAATCTAGACAAAAGCATTCTCAGAATCTTCTTTGTGATGTTTGCATTCAACTCATAGAGTTGAACATTCCCTTTCATACAGCACGTTTGAAATACACTTTGTGGAGTATGTGGAAATGGACATTTCGAGCACTCTTAGGCCTAAGGTGAAAAGGGAAATATCTTCAAATAAAAACTAGTCAGCAGCATTCTCAGAAACCTCTTGGTGAATGTGTGTACTCAACTAACAGTAGTTGAACCTTCCTTTTCACAGAGCAGGTTTGAAACACTCTTTTTGTGGCATTTTCAAGTGGATATTTGGATAGCTTTGAGGATTTCGTTGGAAACGGGAATATTTTCATGTAAAATCTAGACCGAAGCATTCTCAGAATCTTCTTTGTGATGTATGCCCTCAATTCACAGAGTTGAACCTTTGTTTGGATACAGCATTTTGGAAACATTCCTTTTGTAGAATCTGCAAGTTGATATTTGGATAGTTTGAGGATTTCGTTGGAAACGGGAATATCTACATATAAAATCTAGACAGAAGCATTCTCAGAAACCTCTTTGTAATGCTTGCATTCAACTCATAGGTTTCAACATTCCCTATCATAGAGCAGGTTTGAAACACTCTTTTTGTAGTATGTGGAAGTGGACATTTGGAGCGCTTTGAGGCCTACGGTGAAAAAGGAAATATCTTCCCATAAAAACTAGACAGAAGCATTCTCAGAAACTTGTTTGTGACGTGTGTATTCAACTAACAGAGTTGAACCTTTCTTTTTACAGAGCAGCTTTGAAACCCTGTTTCTGTGGAATCTGCAATTGGAAATTTCGATAGTTCTGAGGATTTCGTTGGAAACGGGATTACAAATAGAAAGTAGACAGCAGCATTCTCAGAAACTGCTTTGTGATGTTTGCATTCAAGTCTCATAGTTGAACATTCCCTTTCATAGAGCAGGTTTGAATCACTGTTTCTGTAGTATCTGGAAGTGGGTATTTCGAGCGCTTTCAGGCCTAAGGTGAGAAAGGAAATGTCTTCAAATAAGAACTAGACAGAAGCATTCTCAGAAACTTATTTGTGATGTGTGTCCTCAACTAACAGAGATGAACCTTTGTTTTGATACAGCAGTTTGGAAACACTCTTTTTGTAGAATCTACAAGAGGATATTTTGAGAGCATTGAAAATTTCGTTGGAAGCGGGAAAACCTTCATATAAAATCTAGACAGCAGCATTCTCAGAAACTTCTTTGTGATGTTTGCATTCAACTCATAGAGTTGAACATTCCCATTCATACAGCAGGTTTGAGACACTCTTTGTATAGTATGTGGAAATGGATATTTGGAGCGCTTTGAGGCCTATGGTGAAGAAGGAAATATCTTCCCAAAAAAACTAGACGAAAGCATTCTCGCAATCTTGTTTGCCATGTGTGTACTCAACTAACAGAGTTGAACCTATCTTTTGACAGAGCAGTTTTGAAACACTCTTTTTGTGGAATCTGCAAGTGGATATTTGGATAGCTTCGAGGATTTCGTTGGAAACGGGAATATCCTCATTTAAAATCTAGACGGAAGCATTCTCGGAACCTGCTTTGTGATGTTTGCATTCAACTCACAGAGCTGAACATTCCCGTTCATAGAGCAGGTTTGAAACACTCTTTCTGTACTATCTGGAAGTGGACATTTCGAGCGCTTTCAGGCCTATGGTGAAAAAGGAAACATCTTCAAATAAAAACTAGACAGAAGCATTCTCAGAAACTTATTTGTGATGTGTGTCCTCAACTCACAGAGTTCAACCTTTGTTTTGATACAGCAGTTTGGAAACACTCTTTTTGTAGAATCTACAAATGGATATTTGGAGACCTTTGAAAATTTCGTTGGACACGGGAATATCTTCATATAAAATCTAGACAAAAGCATTCTCAGAATCTTCTTTGTGATGTTTGAATTCAACTCATAGAGTTGAACATTCCCTTTCATACAGCACGTTTGAAACACACTTTGTGGAGTATGTGGAAATGGACATTTCGAGCACTCTTAGGCCTAAGGTGAAAAGGGAAATATCTTCAAATAAAAACTAGTCAGCAGCATTCTCAGAAACCTCTTTGTGATGTGTGTACTCAACTAACAGAGTTGAACCTTCCTTTTCACAGAGCAGTTTGGAAACACTCTTTTTGTGGCATTTGCAAGTGGATATTTAGATAGCTTTGAGGATTTCGTTGGAAACGGGAATATTTTCATATAAAATCTAGACAGAAGCATTCTCAGAATCTTCTTTGTGATGTATGCCCTCAATTCACAGAGTTGAACCTTTGTTTGGATACAGCATTTTGGAAACATTCCTTTTGTAGAATCTGCAAGTTGATATTTGGATAGCTTTGAGGATTTCGTTGGAAACGGGAATATCTACATATAAAATACTAGACAGAAGCATTCTCAGAAACCTCTTTGTAATGCTTGCATTCAACTCATAGGTTTCAACATTCCCTATCATAGAGCAGGTTTGAAACACTCTTTTTGTAGTATGTGGAAGTGGACATTTGGAGCGCTTTGAGGCCTACGGTGAAAAAGGAAATATCTTCCCATAAAAACTAGACAGAAGCATTCTCAGAAACTTGTTTGTGACGTGTGTATTCAACTAACAGAGTTGAACCTTTCTTTTTACAGAGCAGCTTTGAAACACGCTTTTTGTGGAATCTGCAATTGGAAATTTCGATAGTTCTGAGGATTTCGTTGGAAACGGGATTACAAATAGAAAGTAGACAGCAGCATTCTCAGAAACTGCTTTGTGATGTTTGCATTCAAGTCACCTAGTTGAACATTCCCTTTCATAGAGCAGGTTTGAATCACTGTTTCTGTCGTATCTGGAAGTGGATATTTCGAGCGTTTTCAGGCCTAAGGTGAGAAAGGAAATGTCTTCAAATAAGAACTAGACAGAAGCATTCTCAGAAACTTATTTGTGATGTGTGTCCTCAACTAACAGAGTTGAACCTTTCTTTTGACACAGCAGTTTGGAAACACTCTTTTTGTAGAATCTACAAGTGGATATTTTGAGAGCATTGAAAATTTCGTTGGAAACGGGAAAACCTTCATATAAAATCTAGACAGAAGCATTCTCAGAAACTTCTTTGTAATGTTTGCATTCAACTCATAGAGTTGAACATTCCCTTTCATACAGCAGGTTTGAAACACTCTTTTGTAGTATGTGGAAGTGGACATTTGGAGCGCTTTGAGGCCTACGGTGAAAAAGGAAATATCTTCCCATAAAAACTAGACAGAAGCATTCTCTGAAACTTGTTTGTGACGTGTGTATTCAACTAACAGAGTTGAACCTTTCTTTTTACAGAGCAGCTTTGAAACCCTGTTTCTGTGGAATCTGCAATTGGAAATTTCGATAGTTCTGAGGATTTCGTTGGAAACGGGATTACAAATAGAAAGTAGACAGCAGCATTCTCAGAAACTGCTTTGTGATGTTTGCATTCAAGTCACCTAGTTGAACATTCCCTTTCATAGAGCAGGTTTGAATCACTGTTTCTGTCGTATCTGGAAGTGGATATTTCGAGCGCTTTCAGGCCTAAGGTGAGAAAGGAAATGTCTTCAAATAAGAACTAGACAGAAGCATTCTCAGAAACTTATTTGTGATGTGTGTCCTCAACTAACAGAGATGAACCTTTGTTTTGATACAGCAGTTTGGAAACACTCTTTTTGTAGAATCTACAAGAGGATATTTTGAGAGCATTGAAAATTTCGTTGGAAGCGGGAAAACCTTCATATAAAATCTAGACAGCAGCATTCTCAGAAACTTCTTTGTGATGTTTGCATTCAACTCATAGAGTTGAACATTCCCATTCATACAGCAGGTTTGAGACACTCTTTGTATAGCATGTGGAAATGGATATTTGGAGCGCTTTGAGGCCTATGGTGAAGAAGGAAATATCTTCCCAAAAAAACTAGACGAAAGCATTCTCGCTATCTTGTTTGCCATGTGTGTACTCAACTAACAGAGTTGAACCTATCTTTTGACAGAGCAGTTTTGAAACACTCTTTTTGTGGAATCTGCAAGTGGATATTTGGATAGCTTCGAGGATTTCGTTGGAAACGGGAATATCCTCATTTAAAATCTAGACGGAAGCATTCTCGGAACCTGCTTTGTGATGTTTGCATTCAACTCACAGAGCTGAACATTCCCGTTCATAGAGCAGGTTTGAAACACTCTTTCTGTACTATCTGGAAGTGGACATTTCGAGCGCTTTCAGGCCTATGGTGAAAAAGGAAACATCTTCAAATAAAAACTAGACAGAAGCATTCTCAGAAACTTATTTGTGATGTGTGTCCTCAACTCACAGAGTTCAACCTTTGTTTTGATACAGCAGTTTGGAAACACTCTTTTTGTAGAATCTACAAATGGATATTTTGAGAGCATTGAAAATTTCGTTGGACACGGGAATATCTTCATATAAAATCTAGACAAAAGCATTCTCAGAGTCTTCTTTGTGATGTTTGCATTCAACTCATAGAGTTGAACATTCCCTTTCATACAGCACGTTTGAAACACACTTTGTGGAGTATGTGGAAATGGACATTTCGAGCACTCTTAGGCCTAAGGTGAAAAGGGAAATATCTTCAAATAAAAACTAGTCAGCAGCATTCTCAGAAACCTCTTTGTGATGTGTGTACTCAACTAACAGAGTTGAACCTTCCTTTTCACAGAGCAGTTTGGAAACACTCTTTTTGTGGCATTTGCAAGTGGATATTTGGATAGCTTTGAGGATTTCGTTGGAAACGGGAATATTTTCATATAAAATCTAGACAGAAGCATTCTCAGAATCTTCTTTGTGATGTATGCCCTCAATTCACAGAGTTGAACCTTTGTTTGGATACAGCATTTTGGAAACATTCCTTTTGCAGAATCTGCAAGCTGATATTTGGATAGCTTTGAGGATTTCGTTGGAAACGGGAATATCTACATATAAAATCTAGACAGAAGCATTCTCAGTAAACCTCTTTGTAATGCTTGCATTCAACTCATAGGTTTCAACATTCCCTATCATAGAGCAGGTTTGAAACACTCTTTTTGTAGTATGTGGAAGTGGACATTTGGAGCGCTTTGAGGCCTACGGTGAAAAAGGAAATATCTTCCCATAAAAACTAGACAGAAGCATTCTCAGAAACTTGTTTGTGACGTGTGTATTCAACTAACAGAGTTGAACCTTTCTTTTTACAGAGCAGCTTTGAAACACGCTTTTTGTGGAATCTGCAATTGGAAATTTCGATAGTTCTGAGGATTTCGTTGGAAACGGGATTACAAATAGAAAGTAGACAGCAGCATTCTCAGAAACTGCTTTGTGATGTTTGCATTCAAGTCACCTAGTTGAACATTCCCTTTCATAGAGCAGGTTTGAATCACTGTTTCTGTCGTATCTGGAAGTGGATATTTCGAGCGTTTTCAGGCCTAAGGTGAGAAAGGAAATGTCTTCAAATAAGAACTAGACAGAAGCATTCTCAGAAACTTATTTGTGATGTGTGTCCTCAACTAACAGAGTTGAACCTTTCTTTTGACACAGCAGTTTGGAAACACTCTTTTTGTAGAATCTACAAGTGGATATTTTGAGAGCATTGAAAATTTCGTTGGAAACGGGAAAACCTTCATATAAAATCTAGACAGAAGCATTCTCAGAAACTTCTTTGTAATGTTTGCATTCAACTCATAGAGTTGAACATTCCCTTTCATACAGCAGGTTTGAAACACTCTTTTTGTAGTATGTGGAAGTGGACATTTGGAGCGCTTTGAGGCCTACGGTGAAAAAGGAAATATCTTCCCATAAAAACTAGACAGAAGCATTCTCAGAAACTTGTTTGTGACGTGTGTATTCAACTAACAGAGTTGAACCTTTCTTTTTACAGAGCAGTTTTGAAACCCTGTTTCTGTGGAATCTGCAATTGGAAATTTCGATAGTTCTGAGGATTTCGTTGGAAACGGGATTACAAATAGAAAGTAGACAGCAGCATTCTCAGAAACTGCTTTGTGATGTTTGCATTCAAGTCACATAGTTGAACATTCCCTTTCATAGAGCAGGTTTGAATCACTGTTTCTGTAGTATCTGGAAGTGGGTATTTCGAGCGCTTTCAGGCCTAAGGTGAGAAAGGAAATGTCTTCAAATAAGAACTAGACAGAAGCATTCTCAGAAACTTATTTGTGATGTGTGTCCTCAACTAACAGAGTTGAACCTTTCTTTTGACACAGCAGTTTGGAAACACTCTTTTTGTAGAATCTACAAGTGGATATTTTGAGAGCATTGAAAATTTCGTTGGAAACGGGAAAACCTTCATATAAAATCTAGACAGAAGCATTCTCAGAAACTTCTTTGTAATGTTTGCATTCGACTCATAGAGTTGAACATTCCCTTTCATACAGCAGGTTTGAAACACTCTTTTTGTAGTATGTGGAAGTGGACATTTGGAGCGCTTTGAGGCCTACGGTGAAAAAGGAAATATCTTCCCATAAAAACTAGACAGAAGCATTCTCAGAAACTTGTTTGTGACGTGTGTATTCAACTAACAGAGTTGAACCTTTCTTTTTACAGAGCAGCTTTGAAACCCTGTTTCTGTGGAATCTGCAATTGGAAATTTCGATAGTTCTGAGGATTTCGTTGCAAACGGGATTACAAATAGAAAGTAGACAGCAGCATTCTCAGAAACTGCTTTGTGATGTTTGCATTCAAGTCACATAGTTGAACATTCCCTTTCATAGAGCAGGTTTGAATCACTGTTTCTGTAGTATCTGGAAGTGGGTATTTCGAGCGCTTTCAGGCCTAAGGTGAGAAAGGAAATGTCTTCAAATAAGAACTAGACAGAAGCATTCTCAGAAACTTATTTGTGATGTGTGTCCTCAACTAACAGAGATGAACCTTTGTTTTGATACAGCAGTTTGGAAACACTCTTTTTGTAGAATCTACAAGAGGATATTTTGAGAGCATTGAAAATTTCGTTGGAAGCGGGAAATCCTTCATATAAAAATCTAGACAGCAGCATTCTCAGAAACTTCTTTGTGATGTTTGCATTCAACTCATAGAGTTGAACATTCCCATTCATACAGCAGGTTTGAGACACTCTTTTTATAGCATGTGGAAATGGATATTTGGAGCGCTTTG
This sequence comes from Homo sapiens, assembly GCF_000001405.40. NCBI lineage: Eukaryota > Metazoa > Chordata > Mammalia > Primates > Hominidae > Homo > Homo sapiens. The sequence goes on from NC_000015.10 coordinate 18,726,657, forward strand.
AGGCCTATGGTGAAGAAGGAAATATCTTCCCAAAAAAACTAGACGAAAGCATTCTCGGAATCTTGTTTGCCATGTGTGTACTCAACTAACAGAGTTGAACCTATCTTTTGACAGAGCAGTTTTGAAACACTCTTTTTGTGGAATCTGCAAGTGGATATTTGGATAGCTTCGAGGATTTCGTTGGAAACGGGAATATCCTCATTTAAAATCTAGACGGAAACATTCTCAGAACCTGCTTTGTGATGTTTGCATTCAACTCACAGAGCTGAACATTCCCGTTCATAGAGCAGGTTTGAAACACTCTTTCTGTACTATCTGGAAGTGGACATTTCGAGCGCTTTCAGGCCTATGGTGAAAAAGGAAACATCTTCAAATAAAAACTAGACAGAAGCATTCTCAGAAACTTATTTGTGATGTGTGTCCTCAACTCACAGAGTTCAACCTTTGTTTTGATACAGCAGTTTGGAAACACTCTTTTTGTAGAATCTACAAATGGATATTTGGAGACCTTTGAAAATTTCGTTGGACACGGGAATATCTTCATATAAAATCTAGACAAAAGCATTCTCAGAATCTTCTTTGTGATGTTTGCATTCAACTCATAGAGTTGAACATTCCCTTTCATACAGCACGTTTGAAACACACTTTGTGGAGTATGTGGAAATGGACATTTCGAGCACTCTTAGGCCTAAGGTGAAAAGGGAAATATCTTCAAATAAAAACTAGTCAGCAGCATTCTCAGAAACCTCTTTGTGATGTGTGTACTCAACTAACAGAGTTGAACCTTTCCTTTTCACAGAGCAGTTTGGAAACACTCTTTTTGTGGCATTTGCAAGTGGATATTTGGATAGCTTTGAGGATTTCGTTGGAAACGGGAATATTTTCATATAAAATCTAGACAGAAGCATTCTCAGAATCTTCTTTGTGATGTATGCCCTCAATTCACAGAGTTGAACCTTTGTTTGGATACAGCATTTTGGAAACATTCCTTTTGTAGAATCTGCAAGTTGATATTTGGATAGCTTTGAGGATTTCGTTGGAAACGAGAATATCTACATATAAAATCTAGACAGAAGCATTCTCAGAAACCTCTTTGTAATGCTTGCATTCAACTCATAGGTTTCAACATTCCCTATCATAGAGCAGGTTTGAAACACTCTTTTTGTAGTATGTGGAAGTGGACATTTGGAGCGCTTTGAGGCCTACGGTGAAAAAGGAAATATCTTCCCATAAAAACTAGACAGAAGCATTCTCAGAAACTTGTTTGTGACGTGTGTATTCAACTAACAGAGTTGAACCTTTCTTTTTACAGAGCAGCTTTGAAACACGCTTTTTGTGGAATCTGCAATTGGAAATTTCGATAGTTCTGAGGATTTCGTTGGAAACGGGATTACAAATAGAAAGTAGACAGCAGCATTCTCAGAAACTGCTTTGTGATGTTTGCATTCAAGTCACCTAGTTGAACATTCCCTTTCATAGAGCAGGTTTGAATCACTGTTTCTGTAGTATCTGGAAGGTGGGTATTTCGAGCGCTTTCAGGCCTAAGGTGAGAAAGGAAATGTCTTCAAATAAGAACTAGACAGAAGCATTCTCAGAAACTTATTTGTGATGTGTGTCCTCAACTAACAGAGATGAACCTTTGTTTTGATACAGCAGTTTGGAAACACTCTTTTTGTAGAATCTACAAGAGGATATTTTGAGAGCATTGAAAATTTCGTTGGAAGCGGGAAAACCTTCATATAAAATCTAGACAGCAGCATTCTCAGAAACTTCTTTGTGATGTTTGCATTCAACTCATAGAGTTGAACATTCCCATTCATACAGCAGGTTTGAGACACTCTTTGTATAGCATGTGGAAATGGATATTTGGAGCGCTTTGAGGCCTATGGTGAAGAAGGAAATATCTTCCCAAAAAAACTAGACGAAAGCATTCTCGGAATCTTGTTTGCCATGTGTGTACTCAACTAACAGAGTTGAACCTATCTTTTGACAGAGCAGTTTTGAAACACTCTTTTTGTGGAATCTGCAAGTGGATATTTGGATAGCTTCGAGGATTTCGTTGGAAACGGGAATATCCTCATTTAAAATCTAGACGGAAGCATTCTCAGAACCTGCTTTGTGATGTTTGCATTCAACTCACAGAGCTGACCATTCCCGTTCATAGAGCAGGTTTGAAACACTCTTTCTGTACTATCTGGAAGTGGACATTTCGAGCGCTTTCAGGCCTATGGTGAAAAAGGAAACATCTTCAAATAAAAACTAGACAGAAGCATTCTCAGAAACTTATTTGTGATGTGTGTCCTCAACTCACAGAGTTCAACCTTTGTTTTGATACAGCAGTTTGGAAACACTCTTTTTGTAGAATCTACAAATGGATATTTGGAGACCTTTGAAAATTTCGTTGGACACGGGAATATCTTCATATAAAATCTAGACAAAAGCATTCTCAGAATCTTCTTTGTGATGTTTGCATTCAACTCATAGAGTTGAACATTCCCTTTCATACAGCACGTTTGAAACACACTTTGTGGAGTATGTGGAAATGGACATTTCGAGCACTCTTAGGCCTAAGGTGAAAAGGGAAATATCTTCAAATAAAAACTAGTCAGCAGCATTCTCAGAAACCTCTTTGTGATGTGTGTACTCAACTAACAGAGTTGAACCTTCCTTTTCACAGAGCAGTTTGGAAACCTCTTTTTGTGGCATTTGCAAGTGGATATTTGGATAGCTTTGAGGATTTCGTTGGAAACGGGAATATTTTCATATAAAATCTAGACAGAAGCATTCTCAGACTCTTCTTTGTGATGTATGCCCTCAATTCACAGAGTTGAACCTTTGTTTGGATACAGCATTTTGGAAACATTCCTTTTGTAGAATATGCAAGTTGATATTTGGATAGCTTTGAGGATTTCGTTGGAAACGGGAATATCTACATATAAAATCTAGACAGAAGCATTCTCAGAAACCTCTTTGTAATGTTTGCATTCAACTCATAGGTTTCAACATTCCCTATCATAGAGCAGGTTTGAAACACTCTTTTTGTAGTATGTGGAAGTGGACATTTGGAGCGCTTTGAGGCCTACGGTGAAAAAGGAAATATCTTCCCATAAAAACTAGACAGAAGCATTCTCAGAAACTTGTTTGTGACGTGTGTATTCAACTAACAGAGTTGAACCTTTCTTTTTACAGAGCAGCTTTGAAACCCTGTTTCTGTGGAATCTGCAATTGGAAATTTCGATAGTTCTGAGGATTTCGTTGGAAACGGGATTACAAATAGAAAGTAGACAGCAGCATTCTCAGAAACTGCTTTGTGATGTTTGCATTCAAGTCACCTAGTTGAACATTCCCTTTCATAGAGCAGGTTTGAATCACTGTTTCTGTAGTATCTGGAAGTGTGTATTTCGAGCGCTTTCAGGCCTAAGGTGAGAAAGGAAATGTCTTCAAATAAGAACTAGACAGAAGCATTCTCAGAAACTTATTTGTGATGTGTGTCCTCAACTAACAGAGATGAACCTTTGTTTTGATACAGCAGTTTGGAAACACTCTTTTTGTAGAATCTACAAGAGGATATTTTGAGAGCATTGAAAATTTCGTTGGAAGCGGGAAAACCTTCATATAAAATCTAGACAGCAGCATTCTCAGAAACTTCTTTGTGATGTTTGCATTCAACTCATAGAGTTGAACATTCCCATTCATACAGCAGGTTTGAGACACTCTTTGTATAGCATGTGGAAATGGATATTTGGAGCGCTTTGAGGCCTATGGTGAAGAAGGAAATATCTTCCCAAAAAAACTAGACGAAAGAAGCATTCTCGGAATCTTGTTTGCCATGTGTGTACTCAACTAACAGAGTTGAACCTATCTTTTGACAGAGCAGTTTTGAAACACTCTTTTTGTGGAATCTGCAAGTGGATATTTGGATAGCTTCGAGGATTTCGTTGGAAACGGGAATATCCTCATTTAAAATCTAGACGGAAGCATTCTCAGAACCTGCTTTGTGATGTTTGCATTCAACTCACAGAGCTGAACATTCCCGTTCATAGAGCAGGTTTGAAACACTCTTTCTGTACTATCTGGAAGTGGACATTTCGAGCGCTTTCAGGCCTATGGTGAAAAAGGAAACATCTTCAAATAAAAACTAGACAGAAGCATTCTCAGAAACTTATTTGTGATGTGTGTCCTCAACTCACAGAGTTCAACCTTTGTTTTGATACAGCAGTTTGGAAACACTCTTTTTGTAGAATCTACAAATGGATATTTGGAGACCTTTGAAAATTTCGTTGGACACGGGAATATCTTCATATAAAATCTAGACAAAAGCATTCTCAGAATCTTCTTTGTGATGTTTGCATTCAACTCATAGAGTTGAACATTCCCTTTCATACAGCACGTTTGAAACACACTTTGTGGAGTATGTGGAAATGGACATTTCGAGCACTCTTAGGCCTAAGGTGAAAAGGGAAATATCTTCAAATAAAAACTAGTCAGCAGCATTCTCAGAAACCTCTTTGTGATGTGTGTACTCAACTAACAGAGTTGAACCTTCCTTTTCACAGAGCAGTTTGGAAACACTCTTTTTGTGGCATTTGCAAGTGGATATTTGGATAGCTTTGAGGATTTCGTTGGAAACGGGAATATTTTCATATAAAATCTAGACAGAAGCATTCTCAGAATCTTCTTTGTGATGTATGCCCTCAATTCACAGAGTTGAACCTTTGTTTGGATACAGCATTTTGGAAACATTCCTTTTGTAGAATCTGCAAGTTGATATTTGGATAGCTTTGAGGATTTCGTTGGAAACGGGAATATCTACATATAAAATCTAGACAGAAGCATTCTCAGAAACCTCTTTGTAATGCTTGCATTCAACTCATAGGTTTCAACATTCCCTACCATAGAGCAGGTTTGAAACACTCTTTTTGTAGTATGTGGAAGTGGACATTTGGAGCGCTTTGAGGCCTACGGTGAAAAAGGAAATATCTTCCCATAAAAACTAGACAGAAGCATTCTCAGAAACTTGTTTGTGACGTGTGTATTCAACTAACAGAGTTGAACCTTTCTTTTTACAGAGCAGCTTTGAAACACGCTTTTTGTGGAATCTGCAATTGGAAATTTCGATAGTTCTGAGGATTTCGTTGGAAACGGGATTACAAATAGAAAGTAGACAGCAGCATTCTCAGAAACTGCTTTGTGATGTTTGCATTCAAGTCACCTAGTTGAACATTCCCTTTCATAGAGCAGGTTTGAATCACTGTTTCTGTCGTATCTGGAAGTGGATATTTCGAGCGTTTTCAGGCCTAAGGTGAGAAAGGAAATGTCTTCAAATAAGAACTAGACAGAAGCATTCTCAGAAACTTATTTGTGATGTGTGTCCTCAACTAACAGAGTTGAACCTTTCTTTTGACACAGCAGTTTGGAAACACTCTTTTTGTAGAATCTACAAGTGGATATTTTGAGAGCATTGAAAATTTCGTTGGAAACGGGAAAACCTTCATATAAAATCTAGACAGAAAGCATTCTCAGAAACTTCTTTGTAATGTTTGCATTCAACTCATAGGAGTTGAACATTCCCTTTCATACAGCAGGTTTGAAACACTCTTTTTGTAGTATGTGGACGTGGACATTTGGAGCGCTTTGAGGCCTACGGTGAAAAAGGAAATATCTTCCCATAAAAACTAGACAGAAGCATTCTCAGAAACTTGTTTGTGACGTGTGTATTCAACTAACAGAGTTGAACCTTTCTTTTTACAGAGCAGCTTTGAAACCCTGTTTCTGTGGAATCTGCAATTGGAAATTTCGATAGTTCTGAGGATTTCGTTGCAAACGGGATTACAAATAGAAAGTAGACAGCAGCATTCTCAGAAACTGCTTTGTGATGTTTGCATTCAAGTCACATAGTTGAACATTCCCTTTCATAGAGCAGGTTTGAATCACTGTTTCTGTAGTATCTGGAAGTGGGTATTTCGAGCGCTTTCAGGCCTAAGGTGAGAAAGGAAATGTCTTCAAATAAGAACTAGACAGAAGCATTCTCAGAAACTTATTTGTGATGTGTGTCCTCAACTAACAGAGATGAACCTTTGTTTTGATACAGCAGTTTGGAAACACTCTTTTTGTAGAATCTACAAGAGGATATTTTGAGAGCATTGAAAATTTCGTTGGAAGCGGGAAAACCTTCATATAAAATCTAGACAGCAGCATTCTCAGAAACTTCTTTGTGATGTTTGCATTCAACTCATAGAGTTGAACATTCCCATTCATACAGCAGGTTTGAGACACTCTTTGTATAGCATGTGGAAATGGATATTTGGAGCGCTTTGAGGCCTATGGTGAAGAAGGAAATATCTTCCCAAAAAAACTAGACGAAAGCATTCTCGGAATCTTGTTTGCCATGTGTGTACTCAACTAACAGAGTTGAACCTATCTTTTGACAGAGCAGTTTTGAAACACTCGTTTTGTGGAATCTGCAAGTGGATATTTGGATAGCTTCGAGGATTTCGTTGGAAACGGGAATATCCTCATTTAAAATCTAGACGGAAGCATTCTCAGAACCTGCTTTGTGATGTTTGCATTCAACTCACAGAGCTGAACATTCCCGTTCATAGAGCAGGTTTGAAACACTCTTTCTGTACTATCTGGAAGTGGACATTTCGAGCGCTTTCAGGCCTATGGTGAAAAAGGAAACATCTTCAAATAAAAACTAGACAGAAGCATTCTCAGAAACTTATTTGTGATGTGTGTCCTCAACTCACAGAGTTCAACCTTTGTTTTGATACAGCAGTTTGGAAACACTCTTTTTGTAGAATCTACAAATGGATATTTGGAGACCTTTGAAAATTTCGTTGGACACGGGAATATCTTCATATAAAATCTAGACAAAAGCATTCTCAGAGTCTTCTTTGTGATGTTTGCATTCAACTCATAGAGTTGAACATTCCCTTTCATACAGCACGTTTGAAACACACTTTGTGGAGTATGTGGAAATGGACATTTCGAGCACTCTTAGGCCTAAGGTGAAAAGGGAAATATCTTCAAATAAAAACTAGTCAGCAGCATTCACAGAAACCTCTTTGTGATGTGTGTACTCAACTAACAGAGTTGAACCTTCCTTTTCACAGAGCAGTTTGGAAACACTCTTTTTGTGGCATTTGCAAGTGGATATTTGGATAGCTTTGAGGATTTCGTTGGAAACGGGAATATTTTCATATAAAATCTAGACAGAAGCATTCTCAGAATCTTCTTTGTGATGTATGCCCTCAATTCACAGAGTTGAACCATGGTTTGGATACAGCATTTTGGAAACATTCCTTTTGTAGAATCTGCAAGTTGATATTTGGATAGCTTTGAGGATTTCGTTGGAAACGGGAATATCTACATATAAAATCTAGACAGAAGCATTCTCAGAAACCTCTTTGTAATGCTTGCATTCAACTCATAGGTTTCAACATTCCCTATCATAGAGCAGGTTTGAAACACTCTTTTTGTAGTATGTGGAAGTGGACATTTGGAGCGCTTTGAGGCCTACCGTGAAAAAGGAAATATCTTCCCATAAAAACTAGACAGAAGCATTCTCAGAAACTTGTTTGTGACGTGTGTATTCAACTAACAGAGTTGAACCTTTCTTTTTACAGAGCAGCTTTGAAACCCTGTTTCTGTGGAATCTGCAATTGGAAATTTCGATAGTTCTGAGGATTTCGTTGGAAACGGGATTACAAATAGAAAGTAGACAGCAGCATTCTCAGAAACTGCTTTGTGATGTTTGCATTCAAGTCACCTAGTTGAACATTCCCTTTCATAGAGCAGGTTTGAATCACTGTTTATGTAGTATCTGGAAGTGGGTATTTCGAGCGCTTTCAGGCCTAAGGTGAGAAAGGAAATGTCTTTCAAATAAGAACTAGACAGAAGCATTCTCAGAAACTTATTTGTGATGTGTGTCCTCAACTAACAGAGATGAACCTTTGTTTTGATACAGCAGTTTGGAAACACTCTTTTTGTAGAATCTACAAGAGGATATTTTGAGAGCATTGAAAATTTCGTTGGAAGCGGGAAAACCTTCATATAAAATCTAGACAGCAGCATTCTCAGAAACTTCTTTGTGATGTTTGCATTCAACTCATAGAGTTGAACATTCCCATTCATACAGCAGGTTTGAGACACTCTTTGTATAGCATGTGGAAATGGATATTTGGAGCGCTTTGAGGCCTATGGTGAAGAAGGAAATATCTTCCCAAAAAAACTAGACGAAAGCATTCTCGGAATCTTGTTTGCCATGTGTGTACTCAACTAACAGAGTTGAACCTATCTTTTGACAGAGCAGTTTTGAAACACTCTTTTTGTGGAATCTGCAAGTGGATATTTGGATAGCTTCGAGGATTTCGTTGGAAACGGGAATATCCTCATTTAAAATCTAGACGGAAGCATTCTCAGAACCTGCTTTGTGATGTTTGCATTCAACTCACAGAGCTGAACATTCCCGTTCATAGAGCAGGTTTGAAACACTCTTTCTGTACTATCTGGAAGTGGACATTTCGAGCGCTTTCAGGCCTATGGTGAAAAAGGAAACATCTTCAAATAAAAACTAGACAGAAGCATTCTCAGAAACTTATTTGTGATGTGTGTCCTCAACTCACAGAGTTCAACCTTTGTTTTGATACAGCAGTTTGGAAACACTCTTTTTGTAGAATCTACAAATGGGTATTTGGAGACCTTTGAAAATTTCGTTGGACACGGGAATATCTTCATATAAAATCTAGACAAAAGCATTCTCAGAGTCTTCTTTGTGATGTTTGCATTCAACTGATAGAGTTGAACATTCCCTTTCATACAGCACGTTTGAAACACACTTTGTGGAGTATGTGGAAATGGACATTTCGAGCACTCTTAGGCCTAAGGTGAAAAGGGAAATATCTTCAAATAAAAACTAGTCAGCAGCATTCTCAGAAACCTCTTTGTGATGTGTGTACTCAACTAACAGAGTTGAACCTTCCTTTTCACAGAGCAGTTTGGAAACACTCTTTTTGTGGCATTTGCAAGTGGATATTTGGATAGCTTTGAGGATTTCGTTGGAAACGGGAATATTTTCATATAAAATCTAGACAGAAGCATTCTCAGAATCTTCTTTGTGATGTATGCCCTCAATTCACAGAGTTGAACCTTTGTTTGGATACAGCATTTTGGAAACATTCCTTTTGTAGAATCTGCAAGTTGATATTTGGATAGCTTTGAGGATTTCGTTGGAAACGGGAATATCTACATATAAAATCTAGACAGAAGCATTCTCAGAAACCTCTTTGTAATGCTTGCATTCAACTCATAGGTTTCAACATTCCCTATCATAGAGCAGGTTTGAAACACTCTTTTTGTAGTATGTGGAAGTGGACATTTGGAGCGCTTTGAGGCCTACGGTGAAAAAGGAAATATCTTCCCATAAAAACTAGACAGAAGCATTCTCAGAAACTTGTTTGTGACGTGTGTATTCAACTAACAGAGTTGAACCTTTCTTTTTACAGAGCAGCTTTGAAACACGCTTTTTGTGGAATCTGCAATTGGAAATTTCGATAGTTCTGAGGATTTCGTTGGAAACGGGATTACAAATAGAAAGTAGACAGCAGCATTCTCAGAAACTGCTTTGTGATGTTTGCATTCAAGTCACCTAGTTGAACATTCCCTTTCATAGAGCAGGTTTGAATCACTGTTTCTGTCGTATCTGGAAGTGGATATTTCGAGCGTTTTCAGGCCTAAGGTGAGAAAGGAAATGTCTTCAAATAAGAACTAGACAGAAGCATTCTCAGAAACTTATTTGTGATGTGTGTCCTCAACTAACAGAGTTGAACCTTTCTTTTGACACAGCAGTTTGGAAACACTCTTTTTGTAGAATCTACAAGTGGATATTTTGAGAGCATTGAAAATTTCGTTGGAAACGGGAAAACCTTCATATAAAATCTAGACAGAAGCATTCTCAGAAACTTCTTTGTAATGTTTGCATTCGACTCATAGAGTTGAACATTCCCTTTCTTACAGCAGGTTTGAAACACTCTTTTTGTAGTATGTGGAAGTGGACATTTGGAGCGCTTTGAGGCCTACGGTGAAAAAGGAAATATCTTCCCATAAAAACTAGACAGAAGCATTCTCAGAAACTTGTTTGTGACGTGTGTATTCAACTAACAGAGTTGAACCTTTCTTTTTACAGAGCAGCTTTGAAACCCTGTTTCTGTGGAATCTGCAATTGGAAATTTCGATAGTTCTGAGGATTTCGTTGGAAACGGGATTACAAATAGAAAGTAGACAGCAGCATTCTCAGAAACTGCTTTGTGATGTTTGCATTCAAGTCACATAGTTGAACATTCCCTTTCATAGAGCAGGTTTGAATCACTGTTTCTGTAGTATCTGGAAGTGGGTATTTCGAGCGCTTTCAGGCCTAAGGTGAGAAAGGAAATGTCTTCAAATAAGAACTAGACAGAAGCATTCTCAGAAACTTATTTGTGATGTGTGTCCTCAACTAACAGAGTTGAACCTTTCTTTTGACACAGCAGTTTGGAAACACTCTTTTTGTAGAATATACAAGAGGATATTTTCAGAGCATTGAAAATTTCGTTGGAAGCGGGAAAACCTTCATATAAAATCTAGACAGCAGCATTCTCAGAAACTTCTTTGTGATGTTTGCATTCAACTCATAGAGTTGAACATTCCCATTCATACAGCAGGTTTGAGACACTCTTTGTATAGCATGTGGAAATGGATATTTGGAGCGCTTTGAGGCCTATGGTGAAGAAGGAAATATCTTCCCAAAAAAACTAGACGAAAGCATTCTCGGAATCTTGTTTGCCATGTGTGTACTCAACTAACAGAGTTGAACCTATCTTTTGACAGAGCAGTTTTGAAACACTCTTTTTGTGGAATCTGCAAGTGGATATTTGGATAGCTTCGAGGATTTCGTTGGAAACGGGAATATCCTCATTTAAAATCTAGACGGAAGCATTCTCAGAACCTGCTTTGTGATGTTTGCATTCAACTCACAGAGCTGAACATTCCCGTTCATAGAGCAGGTTTGAAACACTCTTTCTGTACTATCTGGAAGTGGACATTTCGAGCGCTTTCAGGCCTATGGTGAAAAAGGAAACATCTTCAAATAAAAACTAGACAGAAGCATTCTCAGAAACTTATTTGTGATGTGTGTCCTCAACTCACAGAGTTCAACCTTTGTTTTGATACAGCAGTTTGGAAACAATCTTTATTTGGAGACCTTTGAAAATTTCGTTGGACACGGGAATATCTTCATATAAAATCTAGACAAAAGCATTCTCAGAATCTTCTTTGTGATGTTTGCATTCAACTCATAGAGTTGAACATTCCCTTTCATACAGCACGTTTGAAACACACTTTGTGGAGTATGTGGAAATGGACATTTCGAGCACTCTTAGGCCTAAGGTGAAAAGGGAAATATCTTCAAATAAAAACTAGTCAGCAGCATTCTCAGAAACCTCTTTGTGATGTGTGTACTCAACTAACAGAGTTGAACCTTCCTTTTCACAGAGCAGTTTGGAAACACTCTTTTTGTGGCATTTGCAAGTGGATATTTGGATAGCTTTGAGGATTTCGTTGGAAACGGGAATATTTTCATATAAAATCTAGACAGAAGCATTCTCAGAATCTTCTTTGTGATGTATGCCCTCAATTCACAGAGTTGAACCTTTGTTTGGATACAGCATTTTGGAAACATTCCTTTTGTAGAATCTGCAAGTTGATATTTGGATAGCTTTGAGGATTTCGTTGGAAACGGGAATATCTACATATAAAATCTAGACAGAAGCATTCTCAGAAACCTCTTTGTAATGCTTGCATTCAACTCATAGGTTTCAACATTCCCTATCATAGAGCAGGTTTGAAACACTCTTTTTGTAGTATGTGGAAGTGGACATTTGGAGCGCTTTGAGGCCTACGGTGAAAAAGGAAATATCTTCCCATAAAAACTAGACAGAAGCATTCTCAGAAACTTGTTTGTGACGTGTGTATTCAACTAACAGAGTTGAACCTTTCTTTTTACAGAGCAGCTTTGAAACACGCTTTTTGTGGAATCTGCAATTGGAAATTTCGATAGTTCTGAGGATTTCGTTGGAAACGGGATTACAAATAGAAAGTAGACAGCAGCATTCTCAGAAACTGCTTTGTGATGTTTGCATTCAAGTCACCTAGTTGAACATTCCCTTTCACAGAGCAGGTTTGAATCACTGTTTCTGTCGTATCTGGAAGTGGATATTTCGAGCGTTTTCAGGCCTAAGGTGAGAAAGGAAATGTCTTCAAATAAGAACTAGACAGAAGCATTCTCAGAAACTTATTTGTGATGTGTGTCCTCAACTAACAGAGATGAACCTTTGTTTTGATACAGCAGTTTGGAAACACTCTTTTTGTAGAATCTACAAGAGGATATTTTGAGAGCATTGAAAATTTCGTTGGAAGCGGGAAAACCTTCATATAAAATCTAGACAGCAGCATTCTCAGAAACTTCTTTGTGATGTTTGCATTCAACTCATAGAGTTGAACATTCCCATTCATACAGCAGGTTTGAGACACTCTTTGTATAGCATGTGGAAATGGATATTTGGAGCGCTTTGAGGCCTATGGTGAAGAAGGAAATATCTTCCCAAAAAAACTAGACGAAAGCATTCTCGCAATCTTGTTTGCCATGTGTGTACTCAACTAACAGAGTTGAACCTATCTTTTGACAGAGCAGTTTTGAAACACTCTTTTTGTGGAATCTGCAAGTGGATATTTGGATAGCTTCGAGGATTTCGTTGGAAACGGGAATATCCTCATTTAAAATCTAGACGGAAGCATTCTCAGAACCTGCTTTGTGATGTTTGCATTCAACTCACAGAGCTGAACATTCCCGTTCATAGAGCAGGTTTGAAACACTCTTTCTGTACTATCTGGAAGTGGACATTTCGAGCGCTTTCAGGCCTATGGTGAAAAAGGAAACATCTTCAAATAAAAACTAGACAGAAGCATTCTCAGAAACTTATTTGTGATGTGTGTCCTCAACTCACAGAGTTCAACCTTTGTTTTGATACAGCAGTTTGGAAACACTCTTTTTGTAGAATCTACAAATGGATATTTGGAGACCTTTGAAAATTTCGTTGGACACGGGAATATCTTCATATAAAATCTAGACAAAAGCATTCTCAGAGTCTTCTTTGTGATGTTTGCATTCAACTCATAGAGTTGAACATTCCCTTTCATACAGCACGTTTGAAACACACTTTGTGGAGTATGTGGAAATGGACATTTCGAGCACTCTTAGGCCTAAGGTGAAAAGGGAAATATCTTCAAATAAAAACTAGTCAGCAGCATTCTCAGAAACCTCTTTGTGATGTGTGTACTCAACTAACAGAGTTGAACCTTCCTTTTCACAGAGCAGTTTGGAAACACTCTTTTTGTGGCATTTGCAAGTGGATATTTGGATAGCTTTGAGGATTTCGTTGGAAACGGGAATATTTTCATATAAAATCTAGACAGAAGCATTCTCAGAATCTTCTTTGTGATGTATGCCCTCAATTCACAGAGTTGAACCTTTGTTTGGATACAGCATTTTGGAAACATTCCTTTTGCAGAATCTGCAAGTTGATATTTGGATAGCTTTGAGGATTTCGTTGGAAACGGGAATATCTACATATAAAATCTAGACAGAAGCATTCTCAGAAACCTCTTTGTAATGCTTGCATTCAACTCATAGGTTTCAACATTCCCTATCATAGAGCAGGTTTGAAACACTCTTTTTGTAGTATGTGGAAGTGGACATTTGGAGCGCTTTGAGGCCTACCGTGAAAAAGGAAATATCTTCCCATAAAAACTAGACAGAAGCATTCTCAGAAACTTGTTTGTGACGTGTGTATTCAACTAACAGAGTTGAACCTTTCTTTTTACAGAGCAGCTTTGAAACCCTGTTTCTGTGGAATCTGCAATTGGAAATTTCGATGGTTCTGAGGATTTCGTTGGAAACGGGATTACAAATAGAAAGTAGACAGCAGCATTCTCAGAAACTGCTTTGTGATGTTTGCATTCAAGTCACCTAGTTGAACATTCCCTTTCATAGAGCAGGTTTGAATCACTGTTTCTGTCGTATCTGGAAGTGGATATTTCGAGCGATTTCAGGCCTAAGGTGAGAAAGGAAATGTCTTCAAATAAGAACTAGACAGAAGCATTCTCAGAAACTTATTTGTGATGTGTGTCCTCAACTAACAGAGTTGAACCTTTCTTTTGACACAGCAGTTTGGAAACACTCTTTTTGTAGAATCTACAAGTGGATATTTTGAGAGCATTGAAAATTTCGTTGGAAACGGGAAAACCTTCATATAAAATCTAGACAGAAGCATTCTCAGAAACTTCTTTGTAATGTTTGCATTCAACTCATAGAGTTGAACATTCCCTTTCATACAGCAGGTTTGAAACACTCTTTTTGTAGTATGTGGAAGTGGACATTTGGAGCGCTTTGAGGCCTACGGTGAAAAAGGAAATATCTTCCCATAAAAACTAGACAGAAGCATTCTCAGAAACTTGTTTGTGACGTGTGTATTCAACTAACAGAGTTGAACCTTTCTTTTTACAGAGCAGCTTTGAAACCCTGTTTCTGTGGAATCTGCAATTGGAAATTTTGATAGTTCTGAGGATTTCGTTGGAAACGGGATTACAAATAGAAAGTAGACAGCAGCATTCTCAGAAACTGCTTTGTGATGTTTGCATTCAAGTCACCTAGTTGAACATTCCCTTTCATAGAGCAGGTTTGAATCACTGTTTCTGTAGTATCTGGAAGTGGGTATTTCGAGCGCTTTCAGGCCTAAGGTGAGAAAGGAAATGTCTTCAAATAAGAACTAGACAGAAGCATTCTCAGAAACTTATTTGTGATGTGTGTCCTCAACTAACAGAGATGAACCTTTGTTTTGATACAGCAGTTTGGAAACACTCTTTTTGTAGAATCTACAAGAGGATATTTTGAGAGCATTGAAAATTTCGTTGGAAGCGGGAAAACCTTCATATAAAATCTAGACAGCAGCATTCTCAGAAACTTCTTTGTGATGTTTGCATTCAACTCATAGAGTTGAACATTCCCATTCATACAGCAGGTTTGAGACACTCTTTGTATAGCATGTGGAAATGGATATTTGGAGCGCTTTGAGGCCTATGGTGAAGAAGGAAATATCTTCCCAAAAAAACTAGACGAAAGCATTCTCGGAATCTTGTTTGCCATGTGTGTACTCAACTAACAGAGTTGAACCTATCTTTTGACAGAGCAGTTTTGAAACACTCTTTTTGTGGAATCTGCAAGTGGATATTTGGATAGCTTCGAGGATTTCGTTGGAAACGGGAATATCCTCATTTAAAATCTAGACGGAAGCATTCTCAGAACCTGCTTTGTGATGTTTGCATTCAACTCACGGAGCTGAACATTCCCGTTCATAGAGCAGGTTTGAAACACTCTTTCTGTACTATCTGGAAGTGGACATTTCGAGCGCTTTCAGGCCTATGGTGAAAAAGGAAACATCTTCAAATAAAAACTAGACAGAAGCATTCTCAGAAACTTATTTGTGATGTGTGTCCTCAACTCACAGAGTTCAACCTTTGTTTTGATACAGCAGTTTGGAAACACTCTTTTTGTAGAATCTACAAATGGATATTTGGAGACCTTTGAAAATTTCGTTGGACACGGGAATATCTTCATATAAAATCTAGACAAAAGCATTCTCAGAATCTTCTTTGTGATGTTTGCATTCAACTCATAGAGTTGAACATTCCCTTTCATACAGCACGTTTGAAACACACTTTGTGGAGTATGTGGAAATGGACATTTCGAGCACTCTTAGGCCTAAGGTGAAAAGGGAAATATCTTCAAATAAAAACTAGTCAGCAGCATTCTCAGAAACCTCTTTGTGATGTGTGTACTCAACTAACAGAGTTGAACCTTCCTTTTCACAGAGCAGTTTGGAAACACTCTTTTTGTGGCATTTGCAAGTGGATATTTGGATAGCTTTGAGGATTTCGTTGGAAACGGGACTATTTTCATATAAAATCTAGACAGAAGCATTCTCAGAATCTTCTTTGTGATGTATGCCCTCAATTCACAGAGTTGAACCTTTGTTTGGATACAGCATTTTGGAAACATTCCTTTTGCAGAATCTGCAAGCTGATATTTGGATAGCTTTGAGGATTTCGTTGGAAACGGGAATATCTACATATAAAATCTAGACAGAAGCATTCTCAGAAACCTCTTTGTAATGCTTGCATTCAACTCATAGGTTTCAACATTCCCTATCATAGAGCAGGTTTGAAACACTCTTTTTGTAGTATGTGGAAGTGGACATTTGGAGCGCTTTGAGGCCTACGGTGAAAAAGGAAATATCTTCCCATAAAAACTAGACAGAAGCATTCTCAGAAACTTGTTTGTGACGTGTGTATTCAACTAACAGAGTTGAACCTTTCTTTTTACAGAGCAGCTTTGAAACACGCTTTTTGTGGAATCTGCAATTGGAAATTTCGATAGTTCTGAGGATTTCGTTGGAAACGGGATTACAAATAGAAAGTAGACAGCAGCATTCTCAGAAACTGCTTTGTGATGTTTGCATTCAAGTCACCTAGTTGAACATTCCCTTTCATAGAGCAGGTTTGAATCACTGTTTCTGTCGTATCTGGAAGTGGATATTTCGAGCGTTTTCAGGCCTAAGGTGAGAAAGGAAATGTCTTCAAATAAGAACTAGACAGAAGCATTCTCAGAAACTTATTTGTGATGTGTGTCCTCAACTAACAGAGTTGAACCTTTCTTTTGACACAGCAGTTTGGAAACACTCTTTTTGTAGAATCTACAAGTGGATATTTTGAGAGCATTGAAAATTTCGTTGGAAACGGGAAAACCTTCATATAAAATCTAGACAGAAGCATTCTCAGAAACTTCTTTGTAATGTTTGCATTCAACTCATAGAGTTGAACATTCCCTTTCATACAGCAGGTTTGAAACACTCTTTTTGTAGTATGTGGAAGTGGACATTTGGAGCGCTTTGAGGCCTACGGTGAAAAAGGAAATATCTTCCCATAAAAACTAGACAGAAGCATTCTCAGAAACTTGTTTGTGACGTGTGTATTCAACTAACAGAGTTGAACCTTTCTTTTTACAGAGCAGCTTTGAAACACGCTTTTTGTGGAATCTGCAATTGGAAATTTCGATAGTTCTGAGGATTTCGTTGGAAACGGGATTACAAATACAAAGTAGACAGCAGCATTCTCAGAAACTGCTTTGTGATGTTTGCATTCAAGTCACCTAGTTGAACATTCCCTTTCATAGAGCAGGTTTGAATCACTGTTTCTGTCGTATCTGGAAGTGGATATTTCGAGCGTTTTCAGGCCTAAGGTGAGAAAGGAAATGTCTTCAAATAAGAACTAGACAGAAGCATTCTCAGAAACTTATTTGTGATGTGTGTCCTCAACTAACAGAGTTGAACCTTTCTTTTGACACAGCAGTTTGGAAACACTCTTTTTGTAGAATCTACAAGTGGATATTTTGAGAGCATTGAAAATTTCGTTGGAAACGGGAAAACCTTCATATAAAATCTAGACAGAAGCATTCTCAGAAACTTCTTTGTAATGTTTGCATTCAACTCATAGAGTTGAACATTCCCTTTCATACAGCAGGTTTGAAACACTCTTTTTGTAGTATGTGGACGTGGACATTTGGAGCGCTTTGAGGCCTACGGTGAAAAAGGAAATATCTTCCCATAAAAACTAGACAGAAGCATTCTCAGAAACTTGTTTGTGACGTGTGTATTCAACTAACAGAGTTGAACCTTTCTTTTTACAGAGCAGCTTTGAAACCCTGTTTCTGTGGAATCTGCAATTGGAAATTTCGATAGTTCTGAGGATTTCGTTGGAAACGGGATTACAAATAGAAAGTAGACAGCAGCATTCTCAGAAACTGCTTTGTGATGTTTGCATTCAAGTCACCTAGTTGAACATTCCCTTTCATAGAGCAGGTTTGAATCACAGTTTCTGTCGTATCTGGAAGTGGATATTTCGAGCGTTTTCAGGCCTAAGGTGAGAAAGGAAATGTCTTCAAATAAGAACTAGACAGAAGCATTCTCAGAAACTTATTTGTTATGTGTGTCCTCAACTAACAGAGATGAACCTTTGTTTTGATACAGCAGTTTGGAAACACTCTTTTTGTGGAATCTACAAGAGGATATTTTGAGAGCATTGAAAATTTGGTTGGAAGCGGGAAAACCTTCATATAAAATCTAGACAGCAGCATTCTCAGAAACTTCTTTGTGATGTTTGCATTCAACTCATAGAGTTGAACATTCCCATTCATACAGCAGGTTTGAGACACTCTTTGTATAGCATGTGGAAATGGATATTTGGAGCGCTTTGAGGCCTATGGTGAAGAAGGAAATATCTTCCCAAAAAAACTAGACGAAAGCATTCTCGGAATCTTGTTTGCCATGTGTGTACTCAACTAACAGAGTTGAACCTATCTTTTGACAGAGCAGTTTTGAAACACTCTTTTTGTGGAATCTGCAAGTGGATATTTGGATAGCTTCGAGGATTTCGTTGGAAACGGGAATATCCTCATTTAAAATCTAGACGGAAGCATTCTCAGAACCTGCTTTGTGATGTTTGCATTCAACTCACAGAGCTGAACATTCCCGTTCATAGAGCAGGTTTGAAACACTCTTTCTGTACTATCTGGAAGTGGACATTTCGAGCGCTTTCAGGCCTATGGTGAAAAAGGAAACATCTTCAAATAAAAACTAGACAGAAGCATTCTCAGAAACTTATTTGTGATGTGTGTCCTCAACTCACAGAGTTCAACCTTTGTTTTGATACAGCAGTTTGGAAACACTCTTTTTGTAGAATCTACAAATGGATATTTGGAGACCTTTGAAAATTTCGTTGGACACGGGAATATCTTCATATAAAATCTAGACAAAAGCATTCTCAGAGTCTTCTTTGTGATGTTTGCATTCAACTGATAGAGTTGAACATTCCCTTTCATACAGCACGTTTGAAACACACTTTGTGGAGTATGTGGAAATGGACATTTCGAGCACTCTTAGGCCTAAGGTGAAAAGGGAAATATCTTCAAATAAAAACTAGTCAGCAGCATTCTCAGAAACCTCTTTGTGATGTGTGTACTCAACTAACAGAGTTGAACCTTCCTTTTCACAGAGCAGTTTGGAAACACTCTTTTTGTGGCATTTGCAAGTGGATATTTGGATAGCTTTGAGGATTTCGTTGGAAACGGGAATATTTTCATATAAAATCTAGACAGAAGCATTCTCAGAATCTTCTTTGTGATGTATGCCCTCAATTCACAGAGTTGAACCTTTGTTTGGATACAGCATTTTGGAAACATTCCTTTTGTAGAATCTGCAAGTTGATATTTGGATAGCTTTGAGGATTTCGTTGGAAACGGGAATATCTACATATAAAATCTAGACAGAAGCATTCTCAGAAACCTCTTTGTAATGCTTGCATTCAACTCATAGGTTTCAACATTCCCTATCATAGAGCAGGTTTGAAACACTCTTTTTGTAGTATGTGGAAGTGGACATTTGGAGCGCTTTGAGGCCTACGGTGAAAAAGGAAATATCTTCCCATAAAAACTAGACAGAAGCATTCTCAGAAACTTGTTTGTGACGTGTGTATTCAACTAACAGAGTTGAACCTTTCTTTTTACAGAGCAGCTTTGAAACACGCTTTTTGTGGAATCTGCAATTGGAAATTTCGATAGTTCTGAGGATTTCGTTGGAAACGGGATTACAAATAGAAAGTAGACAGCAGCATTCTCAGAAACTGCTTTGTGATGTTTGCATTCAAGTCACCTAGTTGAACATTCCCTTTCATAGAGCAGGTTTGAATCACTGTTTCTGTCGTATCTGGAAGTGGATATTTCGAGCGTTTTCAGGCCTAAGGTGAGAAAGGAAATGTCTTCAAATAAGAACTAGACACAAGCATTCTCAGAAACTTATTTGTGATGTGTGTCCTCAACTAACAGAATTGAACCTTTCTTTTGACACAGCAGTTTGGAAACACTCTTTTTGTAGAATCTACAAGTGGATATTTTGAGAGCATTGAAAATTTCGTTGGAAACGGGAAAACCTTCATATAAAATCTAGACAGAAGCATTCTCAGAAACTTCTTTGTAATGTTTGCATTCAACTCATAGAGTTGAACATTCCCTTTCATACAGCAGGTTTGAAACACTCTTTTTGTAGTATGTGGAAGTGGACATTTGGAGCGCTTTGAGGCCTACGGTGAAAAAGGAAATATCTTCCCATAAAAACTAGACAGAAGCATTCTCAGAAACTTGTTTGTGACGTGTGTATTCAACTAACAGAGTTGAACCTTTCTTTTTACAGAGCAGCTTTGAAACCCTGTTTCTGTGGAATCTGCAATTGGAAATTTCGATAGTTCTGAGGATTTCGTTGCAAACGGGATTACAAATAGAAAGTAGACAGCAGCATTCTCAGAAACTGCTTTGTGATGTTTGCATTCAAGTCACATAGTTGAACATTCCCTTTCATAGAGCAGGTTTGAATCACTGTTTCTGTAGTATCTGGAAGTGGGTATTTCGAGCGCTTTCAGGCCTAAGGTGAGAAAGGAAATGTCTTCAAATAAGAACTAGACAGAAGCATTCTCAGAAACTTATTTGTGATGTGTGTCCTCAACTAACAGAGATGAACCTTTGTTTTGATACAGCAGTTTGGAAACACTCTTTTTGTAGAATCTACAAGAGGATATTTTGAGAGCATTCAAAATTTCGTTGGAAGCGGGAAAACCTTCATATAAAATCTAGACAGCAGCATTCTCAGAAACTTCTTTGTGATGTTTGCATTCAACTCATAGAGTTGAACATTCCCATTCATACAGCAGGTTTGAGACACTCTTTGTATAGCATGTGGAAATGGATATTTGGAGCGCTTTGAGGCCTATGGTGAAGAAGGAAATATCTTCCCAAAAAAACTAGACGAAAGCATTCTCGGAATCTTGTTTGCCATGTGTGTACTCAACTAACAGAGTTGAACCTATCTTTTGAGAGAGCAGTTTTGAAACACTCTTTCTGTGGAATCTGCAAGTGGATATTTGGATAGCTTCGAGGATTTCGTTGGAAACGGGAATATCCTCATTTAAAATCTAGACGGAAGCATTCTCAGAACCTGCTTTGTGATGTTTGCATTCAACTCACAGAGCTGAACATTCCCGTTCATAGAGCAGGTTTGAAACACTCTTTCTGTACTATCTGGAAGGGGACATTTCGAGCGCTTTCAGGCCTATGGTGAAAAAGGAAACATCTTCAAATAAAAACTAGACAGAAGCATTCTCAGAAACTTATTTGTGATGTGTGTCCTCAACTCACAGAGTTCAACCTTTGTTTTGATACAGCAGTTTGGAAACACTCTTTTTGTAGAATCTACAAATGGATATTTGGAGACCTTTGAAAATTTCGTTGGACACGGGAATATCTTCATATAAAATCTAGACAAAAGCATTCTCAGAATCTTCTTTGTGATGTTTGAATTCAACTCATAGAGTTGAACATTCCCTTTCATACAGCACGTTTGAAACACACTTTGTGGAGTATGTGGAAATGGACATTTCGAGCACTCTTAGGCCTAAGGTGAAAAGGGAAATATCTTCAAATAAAAACTAGTCAGCAGCATTCTCAGAAACCTCTTTGTGATGTGTGTACTCAACTAACAGAGTTGAACCTTCCTTTTCACAGAGCAGTTTGGAAACACTCTTTTTGTGGCATTTGCAAGTGGATATTTGGATAGCTTTGAGGATTTCGTTGGAAACGGGAATATTTTCATATAAAATCTAGACAGAAGCATTCTCAGAATCTTCTTTGTGATGTATGCCCTCAATTCACAGAGTTGAACCTTTGTTTGGATACAGCATTTTGGAAACATTCCTTTTGTAGAATCTGCAAGTTGATATTTGGATAGCTTTGAGGATTTCGTTGGAAACGGGAATATCTACATATAAAATCTAGACAGAAGCATTCTCAGAAACCTCTTTGTAATGCTTGCATTCAACTCATAGGTTTCAACATTCCCTATCATAGAGCAGGTTTGAAACACTCTTTTTGTAGTATGTGGAAGTGGACATTTGGAGCGCTTTGAGGCCTACCGTGAAAAAGGAAATATCTTCCCATAAAAACTAGACAGAAGCATTCTCAGAAACTTGTTTGTGACGTGTGTATTCAACTAACAGAGTTGAACCTTTCTTTTTACAGAGCAGCTTTGAAACCCTGTTTCTGTGGAATCTGCAAATGGAAATTTCGATAGTTCTGAGGATTTCGTTGGAAACGGGATTACAAATAGAAAGTAGACAGCAGCATTCTCAGAAACTGCTTTGTGATGTTTGCGTTCAAGTCACATAGTTGAACATTCCCTTTCATAGAGCAGGTTTGAATCACTGTTTCTGTCGTATCTGGAAGTGGACATTTCGAGCGCTTTCAGGCCTATGGTGAAAAAGGAAACATCTTCAAATAAAAACTAGACAGAAGCATTCTCAGAAACTTATTTGTGATGTGTGTCCTCAACTCACAGAGTTCAACCTTTGTTTTGATACAGCAGTTTGGAAACACTCTTTTTGTAGAATCTACAAATGGATATTTGGAGACCTTTGAAAATTTCGTTGGACACGGGAATATCTTCATATAAAATCTAGACAAAAGCATTCTCAGAATCTTCTTTGTGATGTTTGCATTCAACTCATAGAGTTGAACATTCCCTTTCATACAGCACGTTTGAAACACACTTTGTGGAGTATGTGGAAATGGACATTTCGAGCACTCTTAGGCCTAAGGTGAAAAGGGAAATATCTTCAAATAAAAACTAGTCAGCAGCATTCTCAGAAACCTCTTTGTGATGTGTGTACTCAACTAACAGAGTTGAACCTTCCTTTTCACAGAGCAGTTTGGAAACACTCTTTTTGTGACATTTGCAAGTGGATATTTGGATAGCTTTGAGGATTTCGTTGGAAACGGGAATATTTTCATATAAAATCTAGACAGAAGCATTCTCAGAATCTTCTTTGTGATGTATGCCCTCAATTCACAGAGTTGAACCTTTGTTTGGATACAGCATTTTGGAAACATTCCTTTTGTAGAATCTGCAAGTTGATATTTGGATAGCTTTGAGGATTTCGTTGGAAACGGGAATATCTACATATAAAATCTAGACAGAAGCATTCTCAGAAACCTCTTTGTAATGTTTGCATTCAACTCATAGGTTTCAACATTCCCTATCATAGAGCAGGTTTGAAACACTCTTTTTGTAGTATGTGGAAGTGGACATTTGGAGCGCTTTGAGGCCTACGGTGAAAAAGGAAATATCTTCCCATAAAAACTAGACAGAAGCATTCTCAGAAACTTGTTTGTGACGTGTGTATTCAACTAACAGAGTTGAACCTTTCTTTTTACAGAGCAGCTTTGAAACACGCTTTTTGTGGAATCTGCAATTGGAAATTTTGATAGTTCTGAGGATTTCGTTGGAAACGGGATTACGAATAGAAAGTAGACAGCAGCATTCTCAGAAACTGCTTTGTGATGTTTGCATTCAAGTCACCTAGTTGAACATTCCCTTTCATAGAGCAGGTTTGAATCACTGTTTCTGTCGTATCTGGAAGTGGATATTTCGAGCGTTTTCAGGCCTAAGGTGAGAAAGGAAATGTCTTCAAATAAGAACTAGACAGAAGCATTCTCAGAAACTTATTTGTGATGTGTGTCCTCAACTAACAGAGTTGAACCTTTCTTTTGACACAGCAGTATGGAAACACTCTTTTTGTAGAATCTACAAGTGGATATTTTGAGAGCATTGAAAATTTCGTTGGAAACGGGAAAACCTTCATATAAAATCTAGACAGAAGCATTCTCAGAAACTTCTTTGTAATGTTTGCATTCAACTCATAGGTTTCAACATTCCCTATCATAGAGCAGGTTTGAAACACTCTTTTTGTAGTATGTGGAAGTGGACATTTGGAGCGCTTTGAGGCCTACGGTGAAAAAGGAAATATCTTCCCATAAAAACTAGACAGAAGCATTCTCAGAAACTTGTTTGTGACGTGTGTATTCAACTAACAGAGTTGAACCTTTCTTTTTACAGAGCAGCTTTGAAACACGCTTTTTGTGGAATCTGCAATTGGAAATTTCGATAGTTCTGAGGATTTCGTTGGAAACGGGATTACAAATAGAAAGTAGACAGCAGCATTCTCAGAAACTGCTTTGTGATGTTTGCATTCAAGTCACCTAGTTGAACATTCCCTTTCATAGAGCAGGTTTGAATCACTGTTTCTGTCGTATCTGGAAGTGGATATTTCGAGCGTTTTCAGGCCTAAGGTGAGAAAGGAAATGTCTTCAAATAAGAACTAGACAGAAGCATTCTCAGAAACTTATTTGTGATGTGTGTCCTCAACTAACAGAGTTGAACCTTTCTTTTGACACAGCAGTTTGGAAACACTCTTTTTGTAGAATCTACAAGTGGATATTTTGAGAGCATTGAAAATTTCATTGGAAACGGGAAAACTTTCATATAAAATCTAGACAGAAGCATTCTCAGAAACCTCTTTGTAATGTTTGCATTCAACTCATAGAGTTGAACATTCCCTTTCATACAGCAGGTTTGAAACACTCTTTTTGTAGTATGTGGAAGTGGACATTTGGAGCGCTTTGAGGCCTACGGTGAAAAAGGAAATATCTTCCCATAAAAACTAGACAGAAGCATTCTCAGAAACTTGTTTGTGACGTGTGTATTCAACAAACAGAGTTGAACCTTTCTTTTTACAGAGCAGCTTTGAAACCCTGTTTTTGTGGAATCTGCAATTGGAAATTTCGATAGTTCTGAGGATTTCGTTGGAAACGGGATTACAAATAGAAAGTAGACAGCAGCATTCTCAGAAACTACTTTGTGATGTTTGCATTCAAGTCACCTAGTTGAACATTCCCTTTCATAGAGCAGGTTTGAATCACTGTTTCTGTCGTATCTGGAAGTGGATATTTCGAGCGTTTTCAGGCCTAAGGTGAGAAAGGAAATGTCTTCAAATAAGAACTAGACAGAAGCATTCTCAGAAACTTATTTGTGATGTGTGTCCTCAACTAACAGAGTTGAACCTTTCTTTTGACACAGCAGTTTGGAAACACACTTTTTGTAGAATCTACAAGTGGATATTTTGAGAGCATTGAAAATTTCGTTGGAAACGGGAAAACCTTCATATAAAATCTAGACAGAAGCATTCTCAGAAACTTCTTTGTAATGTTTGCATTCAACTCATAGAGTTGAACATTCCCTTTCATACAGCAGGTTTGAAACACTCTTTTTGTAGTATGTGGAAGTGGACATTTGGAGCGCTTTGAGGCCTACGGTGAAAAAGGAAATATCTTCCCATAAAAACTAGACAGAAGCATTCTCAGAAACTTGTTTGTGACGTGTGTATTCAACTAACAGAGTTGAACCTTTCTTTTTACAGAGCAGCTTTGAAACCCTGTTTCTGTGGAATCTGCAATTGGAAATTTCGATAGTTCTGAGGATTTCGTTGGAAACGGGATTACAAATAGAAAGTAGACAGCAGCATTCTCAGAAACTGCTTTGTGATGTTTGCATTCAACTCATAGAGTTGAACATTCCCTTTCATAGAGCAGGTTTGAATCACTGTTTCTGTAGTATCTGGAAGTGGGTATTTCGAGCGCTTTCAGGCCTAAGGTGAGAAAGGAAATGTCTTCAAATAAGAACTAGACAGAAGCATTCTCAGAAACTTATTTGTGATGTGTGTCCTCAACTAACAGAGATGAACCTTTGTTTTGATACAGCAGTTTGGAAACACTCTTTTTGTAGAATCTACAAGAGGATATTTTGAGAGCATTGAAAATTTCGTTGGAAGCGGGAAAACCTTCATATAAAATCTAGACAGCAGCATTCTCAGAAACTTCTTTGTGATGTTTGCATTCAACTCATAGAGTTGAACATTCCCATTCGTACAGCAGGTTTGAGACACTCTTTGTATAGCATGTGGAAATGGATATTTGGAGCGCTTTGAGGCCTATGGTGAAGAAGGAAATATCTTCCCAAAAAAACTAGACGAAAGCATTCTCGGAATCTTGTTTGCCATGTGTGTACTCAACTAACAGAGTTGAACCTATCTTTTGACAGAGCAGTTTTGAAACACTCTTTTTGTGGAATCTGCAAGTGGATATTTGGATAGCTTCGAGGATTTCGTTGGAAACGGGAATATCCTCATTTAAAATCTAGACGGAAGCATTCTCAGAACCTGCTTTGTGATGTTTGCATTCAACTCACAGAGCTGAACATTCCCGTTCATAGAGCAGGTTTGAAACACTCTTTCTGTACTATCTGGAAGTGGACATTTCGAGCGCTTTCAGGCCTATGGTGAAAAAGGAAACATCTTCAAATAAAAACTAGACAGGAAGCATTCTCAGAAACTTATTTGTGATGTGTGTCCTCAACTCACAGAGTTCAACCTTTGTTTTGATACAGCAGTTTGGAAACACTCTTTTTGTAGAATCTACAAATGGATATTTGGAGACCTTTGAAAATTTCGTTGGACACGGGAATATCTTCATATAAAATCTAGACAAAAGCATTCTCAGAAGCTTCTTTGTGATGTTTGCATTCAACTCATAGAGTTGAACATTCCCTTTCATACAGCACGTTTGAAACACACTTTGTGGAGTATGTGGAAATGGACATTTCGAGCACTCTTAGGCCTAAGGTGAAAAGGGAAATATCTTCAAATAAAAACTAGTCAGCAGCATTCTCAGAAACCTCTTTGTGATGTGTGTACTCAACTAACAGAGTTGATCCTTCCTTTTCACAGAGCAGTTTGGAAACACTCTTTTTGTGGCATTTGCAAGTGGATATTTGGATAGCTTTGAGGATTTCGTTGGAAACGGGAATATTTTCATATAAAATCTAGACAGAAGCATTCTCAGAATCTTCTTTGTGAAGTATGCCCTCAATTCACAGAGTTGAACCTTTGTTTGGATACAGCATTTTGGAAACATTCCTTTTGTAGAATCTGCAAGTTGATATTTGGATAGCTTTGAGGATTTCGTTGGAAACGGGAATATCTACATATAAAATTTAGACAGAAGCATTCTCAGAAACCTCTTTGTAATGCTTGCATTCAACTCATACGTTTCAACATTCCCTATCATAGAGCAGGTTTGAAACACTCTTTTTGTAGTATGTGGAAGTGGACATTTGGAGCGCTTTGAGGCCTACGGTGAAAAAGGAAATATCTTCCCATAAAAACTAGACAGAAGCATTCTCAGAAACTTGTTTGTGACGTGTGTATTCAACTAACAGAGTTGAACCTTTCTTTTTACAGAGCAGCTTTGAAACACGCTTTTTGTGGAATCTGCAATTGGAAATTTCGATAGTTCTGAGGATTTCGTTGGAAACGGGATTACAAATAGAAAGTAGACAGCAGCATTCTCAGAAACTGCTTTGTGATGTTTGCATTCAAGTCACCTAATTGAACATTCCCTTTCATAGAGCAGGTTTGAATCACTGTTTCTGTCGTATCTGGAAGTGGATATTTCGAGCGTTTTCAGGCCTAAGGTGAGAAAGGAAATGTCTTCAAATAAGAACTAGACAGAAGCATTCTCAGAAACTTATTTGTGATGTGTGTCCTCAACTAACAGAGTTGAACCTTTCTTTTGACACAGCAGTTTGGAAACACTCTTTTTGTAGAATCTACAAGTGGATATTTTGAGAGCATTGAAAATTTCGTTGGAAACGGGAAAACCTTCATATAAAATCTAGACAGAAGCATTCTCAGAAACTTCTTTGTAAAGTTTGCATTCAACTCACAGAGTTGAACATTCCCTTTCATACAGCAGGTTTGAAACACTCTTTTTGTAGTATGTGGAAGTGGACATTTGGAGCGCTTTGAGGCCTACGGTGAAAAAGGAAATATCTTCCCATAAAAACTAGACAGAAGCATTCTCAGAAACTTGTTTGTGACGTGTGTATTCAACTAACAGAGTTGAACCTTTCTTTTTACAGAGCAGCTTTGAAACCCTGTTTCTGTGGAATCTGCAATTGGAAATTTCGATAGTTCTGAGGATTTCGTTGGAAACGGGATTACAAATAGAAAGTAGACAGCAGCATTCTCAGAAACTGCTTTGTGATGTTTGCATTCAAGTCACCTAGTTGTACATTCCCTTTCATAGAGCAGGTTTGAATCACAGTTTCTGTCGTATCTGGAAGTGGATATTTCGAGCGTTTTCAGGCCTAAGGTGAGAAAGGAAATGTCTTCAAATAAGAACTAGACAGAAGCATTCTCAGAAACTTATTTGTGATGTGTGTCCTCAACTAACAGAGATGAACCTTTGTTTTGATACAGCAGTTTGGAAACACTCTTTTTGTAGAATCTACAAGAGGATATTTTGAGAGCATTGAAAATTTCGTTGGAAGCGGGAAAACCTTCATATAAAATCTAGACAGCAGCATTCTCAGAAACTTCTTTGTGATGTTTGCATTCAACTCATAGAGTTGAACATTCCCATTCATACAGCAGGTTTGAGACACTCTTTGTATAGCATGTGGAAATGGATATTTGGAGCGCTTTGAGGCCTATGGTGAAGAAGGAAATATCTTCCCAAAAAAACTAGACGAAAGCATTCTCGGAATCTTGTTTGCCATGTGTGTACTCAACTAACAGAGTTGAACCTATCTTTTGACAGAGCAGTTTTGAAACACTCTTTTTGTGGAATCTGCAAGTGGATATTTGGATAGCTTCGAGGATTTCGTTGGAAACGGGAATATCCTCATTTAAAATCTAGACGGAAGCATTCTCAGAACCTGCTTTGTGATGTTTGCATTCAACTCACAGAGCTGAACATTCCCGTTCATAGAGCAGGTTTGAAACACTCTTTCTGTACTATCTGGAAGTGGACATTTCGAGCGCTTTCAGGCCTATGGTGAAAAAGGAAACATCTTCAAATAAAAACTAGACAGAAGCATTCTCAGAAACTTATTTGTGATGTGTGTCCTCAACTCACAGAGTTCAACCTTTGTTTTGATACAGCAGTTTGGAAACACTCTTTTTGTAGAATCTACAAATGGATATTTGGAGACCTTTGAAAATTTCGTTGGACACGGGAATATCTTCATATAAAATCTAGACAAAAGCATTCTCAGAATCTTCTTTGTGATGTTTGCATTCAACTCATAGAGTTGAACATTCCCTTTCATACAGCACGTTTGAAACACACTTTGTGGAGTATGTGGAAATGGACATTTCGAGCACTCTTAGGCCTAAGGTGAAAAGGGAAATATCTTCAAATAAAAACTAGTCAGCAGCATTCTCAGAAACCTCTTTGTGATGTGTGTACTCAACTAACAGAGTTGAACCTTCCTTTTCACAGAGCAGTTTGGAAACACTCTTTTTGTGGCATTTGCAAGTGGATATTTGGATAGCTTTGAGGATTTCGTTGGAAACGGGAATATTTTCATATAAAATCTAGACAGAAGCATTCTCAGAATCTTCTTTGTGATGTATGCCCTCAATTCACAGAGTTGAACCTTTGTTTGGATACAGCATTTTGGAAACATTCCTTTTGCAGAATCTGCAAGTTGATATTTGGATAGCTTTGAGGATTTCGTTGGAAACGGGAATATCTACATATAAAATCTAGACAGAAGCATTCTCAGAAACCTCTTTGTAATGCTTGCATTCAACTCATAGGTTTCAACATTCCCTATCATAGAGCAGGTTTGAAACACTCTTTTTGTAGTATGTGGAAGTGGACATTTGGAGCGCTTTGAGGCCTACCGTGAAAAAGGAAATATCTTCCCATAAAAACTAGACAGAAGCATTCTCAGAAACTTGTTTGTGACGTGTGTATTCAACTAACAGAGTTGAACCTTTCTTTTTACAGAGCAGCTTTGAAACCCTGTTTCTGTGGAATCTGCAATTGGAAATTTCGATGGTTCTGAGGATTTCGTTGGAAACGGGATTACAAATAGAAAGTAGACAGCAGCATTCTCAGAAACTGCTTTGTGATGTTTGCATTCAAGTCACCTAGTTGAACATTCCCTTTCATAGAGCAGGTTTGAATCACTGTTTCTGTCGTATCTGGAAGTGGATATTTCGAGCGTTTTCAGGCCTAAGGTGAGAAAGGAAATGTCTTCAAATAAGAACTAGACAGAAGCATTCTCAGAAACTTATTTGTGATGTGTGTCCTCAACTAACAGAGTTGAACCTTTCTTTTGACACAGCAGTTTGGAAACACTCTTTTTGTAGAATCTACAAGTGGATATTTTGAGAGCATTGAAAATTTCGTTGGAAACGGGAAAACCTTCATATAAAATCTAGACAGAAGCATTCTCAGAAACTTCTTTGTAATGTTTGCATTCAACTCATAGAGTTGAACATTCCCTTTCATACAGCAGGTTTGAAACACTCTTTTTGTAGTATGTGGAAGTGGACATTTGGAGCGCTTTGAGGCCTATGGTGAAAAAGGAAATATCTTCCCATAAAAACTAGACAGAAGCATTCTCAGAAACTTGTTTGTGACGTGTGTATTCAACTAACAGAGTTGAACCTTTCTTTTTACAGAGCAGCTTTGAAACCCTGTTTCTGTGGAATCTGCAATTGGAAATTTCGATAGTTCTGAGGATTTCGTTGGAAACGGGATTACAAATTGAAAGTAGACAGCAGCATTCTCAGAAACTGCTTTGTGATGTTTGCATTCAAGTCACATAGTTGAACATTCCCTTTCATAGAGCAGGTTTGAATCACTGTTTCTGTAGTATCTGGAAGTGGGTATTTCGAGCGCTTTCAGGCCTAAGGTGAGAAAGGAAATGTCTTCAAATAAGAACTAGACAGAAGCATTCTCAGAAACTTATTTGTGATGTGTGTCCTCAACTAACAGAGATGAACCTTTGTTTTGATACAGCAGTTTGGAAACACTCTTTTTGTAGAATCTACAAGAGGATATTTTGAGAGCATTGAAAATTTCGTTGGAAGCGGGAAAACCTTCATATAAAATCTAGACAGCAGCATTCTCAGAAACTTCTTTGTGATGTTTGCATTCAACTCATAGAGTTGAACATTCCCATTCATACAGCAGGTTTGAGACACTCTTTGTATAGCATGTGGAAATGGATATTTGGAGCGCTTTGAGGCCTATGGTGAAGAAGGAAATATCTTCCCAAAAAAACTAGACGAAAGCATTCTCGGAATCTTGTTTGCCATGTGTGTACTCAACTAACAGAGTTGAACCGATCTTTTGACAGAGCAGTTTTGAAACACTCTTTTTGTGGAATCTGCAAGTGGATATTTGGATAGCTTCGAGGATTTCGTTGGAAACGGGAATATCCTCATTTAAAATCTAGACGGAAGCATTCTCAGAACCTGCTTTGTGATGTTTGCATTCAACTCACAGAGCTGAACATTCCCGTTCATAGAGCAGGTTTGAAACACTCTTTCTGTACTATCTGGAAGTGGACATTTCGAGCGCTTTCAGGCCTATGGTGAAAAAGGAAACATCTTCAAATAAAAACTAGACAGAAGCATTCTCAGAAACTTATTTGTGATGTGTGTCCTCAACTCACAGAGTTCAACCTTTGTTTTGATACAGCAGTTTGGAAACACTCTTTTTGTAGAATCTACAAATGGATATTTGGAGACCTTTGAAAATTTCGTTGGACACGGGAATATCTTCATATAAAATCTAGACAAAAGCATTCTCAGAATCTTCTTTGTGATGTTTGCATTCAACTCATAGAGTTGAACATTCCCTTTCATACAGCACGTTTGAAACACACTTTGTGGAGTATGTGGAAATGGACATTTCGAGCACTCTTAGGCCTAAGGTGAAAAGGGAAATATCTTCAAATAAAAACTAGTCAGCAGCATTCTCAGAAACCTCTTTGTGATGTGTGTACTCAACTAACAGAGTTGAACCTTCCTTTTCACAGAGCAGTTTGGAAACACTCTTTTTGTGGCATTTGCAAGTGGATATTTGGATAGCTTTGAGGATTTCGTTGGAAACGGGAATATTTTCATATAAAATCTAGACAGAAGCATTCTCAGAATCTTCTTTGTGATGTATGCCCTCAATTCACAGAGTTGAACCTTTGTTTGGATACAGCATTTTGGAAACATTCCTTTTGTAGAATCTGCAAGTTGATATTTGGATAGCTTTGAGGATTTCGTTGGAAACGGGAATATCTACATATAAAATCTAGACAGAAGCATTCTCAGAAACCTCTTTGTAATGCTTGCATTCAACTCATAGGTTTCAACATTCCCTATCATAGAGCAGGTTTGAAACACTCTTTTTGTAGTATGTGGAAGTGGACATTTGGAGCGCTTTGAGGCCTACGGTGAAAAAGGAAATATCTTCCCATAAAAACTAGACAGAAGCATTCTCAGAAACTTGTTTGTGACGTGTGTATTCAACTAACAGAGTTGAACCTTTCTTTTTACAGAGCAGCTTTGAAACACGCTTTTTGTGGAATCTGCAATTGGAAATTTCGATAGTTCTGAGGATTTCGTTGGAAACGGGATTACAAATAGAAAGTAGACAGCAGCATTCTCAGAAACTGCTTTGTGATGTTTGCATTCAAGTCACCTAGTTGAACATTCCCTTTCATAGAGCAGGTTTGAATCACTGTTTCTGTCGTATCTGGAAGTGGATATTTCGAGCGTTTTCAGGCCTAAGGTGAGAAAGGAAATGTCTTCAAATAAGAACTAGACAGAAGCATTCTCAGAAACTTATTTGTGATGTGTGTCCTCAACTAACAGAGTTGAACCTTTCTTTTGACACAGCAGTTTGGAAACACTCTTTTTGTAGAATCTACAAGTGGATATTTTGAGAGCATTGAAAATTTCGTTGGAAACGGGAAAACCTTCATATAAAATCTAGACAGAAGCCTTCTCAGAAACTTCTTTGTAATGTTTGCATTCAACTCATAGAGTTGAACATTCCCTTTCATACAGCAGGTTTGAAACACTCTTTTTGTAGTATGTGGAAGTGGACATTTGGAGCGCTTTGAGGCCTACGGTGAAAAAGGAAATATCTTCCCATAAAAACTAGACAGAAGCATTCTCAGAAACTTGTTTGTGACGTGTGTATTCAACTAACAGAGTTGAACCTTTCTTTTTACAGAGCAGCTTTGAAACACGCTTTTTGTGGAATCTGCAATTGGAAATTTCGATAGTTCTGAGGATTTCGTTGGAAACGGGATTACAAATAGAAAGTAGACAGCAGCATTCTCAGAAACTGCTTTGTGATGTTTGCATTCAAGTCACCTAGTTGAACATTCCCTTTCATAGAGCAGGTTTGAATCACTGTTTCTGTCGTATCTGGAAGTGGATATTTCGAGCGTTTTCAGGCCTAAGGTGAGAAAGGAAATGTCTTCAAATAAGAACTAGACAGAAGCATTCTCAGAAACTTATTTGTGATGTGTGTCCTCAACTAACAGAGTTGAACCTTTCTTTTGACACAGCAGTTTGGAAACACTCTTTTTGTAGAATCTACAAGTGGATATTTTGAGAGCATTGAAAATTTCCTTGGAAACGGGAAAACTTTCATATAAAATCTAGACAGAAGCATTCTCAGAAACTTCTTTGTGATGTTTGCATTCAACTCATAGAGTTGAACATTCCCATTCATACAGCAGGTTTGAGACACTCTTTGTATAGCATGTGGAAATGGATATTTGGAGCGCTTTGAGGCCTATGGTGAAGAAGGAAATATCTTCCCAAAAAAACTAGACGAAAGCATTCTCGGAATCTTGTTTGCCATGTGTGTACTCAACTAACAGAGTTGAACCTATCTTTTGACAGAGCAGTTTTGAAACACTCTTTTTGTGGAATCTGCAAGTGGATATTTGGATAGCTTCGAGGATTTCGTTGGAAACGGGAATATCCTCATTTAAAATCTAGACGGAAGCATTCTCAGAACCTGCTTTGTGATGTTTGCATTCAACTCACAGAGCTGAACATTCCCGTTCATAGAGCAGGTTTGAAACACTCTTTCTGTACTATCTGGAAGTGGACATTTCGAGCGCTTTCAGGCCTATGGTGAAAAAGGAAACATCTTCAAATAAAAACTAGACAGAAGCATTCTCAGAAACTTATTTGTGATGTGTGTCCTCAACTCACAGAGTTCAACCTTTGTTTTGATACAGCAGTTTGGAAACACTCTTTTTGTAGAATCTACAAATGGATATTTGGAGACCTTTGAAAATTTCGTTGGACACGGGAATATCTTCATATAAAATCTAGACAAAAGCATTCTCAGAATCTTCTTTGTGATGTTTGCATTCAACTCATAGAGTTGAACATTCCCTTTCATACAGCACGTTTGAAACACACTTTGTGGAGTATGTGGAAATGGACATTTCGAGCACTCTTAGGCCTAAGGTGAAAAGGGAAATATCTTCAAATAAAAACTAGTCAGCAGCATTCTCAGAAACCTCTTTGTGATGTGTGTACTCAACTAACAGAGTTGAACCTTCCTTTTCACAGAGCAGTTTGCAAACACTCTTTTTGTGGCATTTGCAAGTGGATATTTGGATAGCTTTGAGGATTTCGTTGGAAACGGGAATATTTTCATATAAAATCTAGACAGAAGCATTCTCAGAATCTTCTTTGTGATGTATGCCCTCAATTCACAGAGTTGAACCTTTGTTTGGATACAGCATTTTGGAAACATTCCTTTTGTAGAATCTGCAAGTTGATATTTGGATAGCTTTGAGGATTTCGTTGGAAACGGGAATATCTACATATAAAATCTAGACAGAAGCATTCTCAGAAACCTCTTTGTAATGCTTGCATTCAACTCATAGGTTTCAACATTCCCTATCATAGAGCAGGTTTGAAACACTCTTTTTGTAGTATGTGGAAGTGGACATTTGGAGCGCTTTGAGGCCTACGGTGAAAAAGGAAATATCTTCCCATAAAAACTAGACAGAAGCATTCTCAGAAACTTGTTTGTGACGTGTGTATTCAACTAACAGAGTTGAACCTTTCTTTTTACAGAGCAGCTTTGAAACACGCTTTTTGTGGAATCTGCAATTGGAAATTTCGATAGTTCTGAGGATTTCGTTGGAAACGGGATTACAAATAGAAAGTAGACAGCAGCATTCTCAGAAACTGCTTTGTGATGTTGGCATTCAAGTCACCTAGTTGAACATTCCCTTTCATAGAGCAGGTTTGAATCACTGTTTCTGTCGTATCTGGAAGTGGATATTTCGAGCGTTTTCAGGCCTAAGGTGAGAAAGGAAATGTCTTCAAATAAGAACTAGACAGAAGCATTCTCAGAAACTTATTTGTGATGTGTGTCCTCAACTAACAGAGTTGAACCTTTCTTTTGACACAGCAGTTTGGAAACACTCTTTTTGTAGAATCTACAAGTGGATATTTTGAGAGCATTGAAAATTTCGTTGGAAACGGGAAAACCTTCATATAAAATCTAGACAGAAGCATTCTCAGAAACTTCTTTGTAATGTTTGCATTCAACTCATAGAGTTGAACATTCCCTTTCATACAGCAGGTTTGAAACACTCTTTTTGTAGTATGTGGAAGTGGACATTTGGAGCGCTTTGAGGCCTACGGTGAAAAAGGAAATATCTTCCCATAAAAACTAGACAGAAGCATTCTCAGAAACTTGTTTGTGACGTGTGTATTCAACTAACAGAGTTGAACCTTTCTTTTTACAGAGCAGCTTTGAAACCCTGTTTCTGTGGAATCTGCAATTGGAAATTTCGATAGTTCTGAGGATTTCGTTGGAAACGGGATTACAAATAGAAAGTAGACAGCAGCATTCTCAGAAACTGCTTTGTGATGTTTGCATTCAAGTCACATAGTTGAACATTCCCTTTCATAGAGCAGGTTTGAATCACTGTTTCTGTAGTATCTGGAAGTGGGTATTTCGAGCGCTTTCAGGCCTAAGGTGAGAAAGGAAATGTCTTCAAATAAGAACTAGACAGAAGCATTCTCAGAAACTTATTTGTGATGTGTGTCCTCAACTAACAGAGGTGAACCTTTGTTTTGATACAGCAGTTTGGAAACACTCTTTTTGTAGAATCTACAAGAGGATATTTTGAGAGCATTGAAAATTTCGTTGGAAGCGGGAAAACCTTCATATAAAATCTAGACAGCAGCATTCTCAGAAACTTCTTTGTGATGTTTGCATTCAACTCATAGAGTTGAACATTCCCATTCATACAGCAGGTTTGAGACACTCTTTGTATAGCATGTGGAAATGGATATTTGGAGCGCTTTGAGGCCTATGGTGAAGAAGGAAATATCTTCCCAAAAAAACTAGACGAAAGCATTCTCGGAATCTTGTTTGCCATGTGTGTACTCAACTAACAGAGTTGAACCTATCTTTTGACAGAGCAGTTTTGAAACACTCTTTTTGTGGAATCTGCAAGTGGATATTTGGATAGCTTCGAGGATTTCGTTGGAAACGGGAATATCCTCATTTAAAATCTAGACGGAAGCATTCTCAGAACCTGCTTTGTGATGTTTGCATTCAACTCACAGAGCTGAACATTCCCGTTCATAGAGCAGGTTTGAAACACTCTTTCTGTACTATCTGGAAGTGGACATTTCGAGCGCTTTCAGGCCTATGGTGAAAAAGGAAACATCTTCAAATAAAAACTAGACAGAAGCATTCTCAGAAACTTATTTGTGATGTGTGTCCTCAACTCACAGAGTTCAACCTTTGTTTTGATACAGCAGTTTGGAAACACTTTTTTTGTAGAATCTACAAATGGATATTTGGAGACCTTTGAAAATTTCGTTGGACACGGGAATATCTTCATATAAAATCTAGACAAAAGCATTCTCAGAGTCTTCTTTGTGATGTTTGCATTCAACTCATAGAGTTGAACATTCCCTTTCATACAGCACGTTTGAAACACACTTTGTGGAGTATGTGGAAATGGACATTTCGAGCACTCTTAGGCCTAAGGTGAAAAGGGAAATATCTTCAAATAAAAACTAGTCAGCAGCATTCTCAGAAACCTCTTTGTGATGTGTGTACTCAACTAACAGAGTTGAACCTTCCTTTTCACAGAGCAGTTTGGAAACACTCTTTTTGTGGCATTTGCAAGTGGATATTTGGATAGCTTTGAGGATTTCGTTGGAAACGGGAATATTTTCATATAAAATCTAGACAGAAGCATTCTCAGAATCTTCTTTGTGATGTATGCCCTCAATTCACAGAGTTGAACCTTTGTTTGGATACAGCATTTTGGAAACATTCCTTTTGTAGAATCTGCAAGTTGATATTTGGATAGCTTTGAGGATTTCGTTGGAAACGGGAATATCTACATATAAAATCTAGACAGAAGCATTCTCAGAAACCTCTTTGTAATGCTTGCATTCAACTCATAGGTTTCAACATTCCCTATCATAGAGCAGGTTTGAAACACTCTTTTTGTAGTATGTGGAAGTGGACATTTGGAGCGCTTTGAGGCCTACGGTGAAAAAGGAAATATCTTCCCATAAAAACTAGACAGAAGCATTCTCAGAAACTTGTTTGTGACGTGTGTATTCAACTAACAGAGTTGAACCTTTCTTTTTACAGAGCAGCTTTGAAACACGCTTTTTGTGGAATCTGCAATTGGAAATTTCGATAGTTCTGAGGATTTCGTTGGAAACGGGATTACAAATAGAAAGTAGACAGCAGCATTCTCAGAAACTGCTTTGTGATGTTTGCATTCAAGTCACCTAGTTGAACATTCCCTTTCATAGAGCAGGTTTGAATCACTGTTTCTGTCGTATCTGGAAGTGGATATTTCGAGCGTTTTCAGGCCTAAGGTGAGAAAGGAAATGTCTTCAAATAAGAACTAGACAGAAGCATTCTCAGAAACTTATTTGTGATGTGTGTCCTCAACTAACAGAGTTGAACCTTTCTTTTGACACAGCAGTTTGGAAACACTCTTTTTGTAGAATCTACAAGTGGATATTTTGAGAGCATTGAAAATTTCGTTGGAAACGGGAAAACCTTCATATAAAATCTAGACAGAAGCATTCTCAGAAACTTCTTTGTAATGTTTGCATTCAACTCATAGAGTTGAACATTCCCTTTCATACAGCAGGTTTGAAACACTCTTTTTGTAGTATGTGGACGTGGACATTTGGAGCGCTTTGAGGCCTACGGTGAAAAAGGAAATATCTTCCCATAAAAACTAGACAGAAGCATTCTCAGAAACTTGTTTGTGACGTGTGTATTCAACTAACAGAGTTGAACCTTTCTTTTTACAGAGCAGCTTTGAAACCCTGTTTCTGTGGAATCTGCAATTGGAAATTTCGATAGTTCTGAGGATTTCGTTGGAAACGGGATTACAAATAGAAAGTAGACAGCAGCATTCTCAGAAACTGCTTTGTGATGTTTGCATTCAAGTCACCTAGTTGAACATTCCCTTTCATAGAGCAGGTTTGAATCACTGTTTCTGTAGTATCTGGAAGTGGGTATTTCGAGCGCTTTCAGGCCTAAGGTGAGAAAGGAAATGTCTTCAAATAAGAACTAGACAGAAGCATTCTCAGAAACTTATTTGTGATGTGTGTCCTCAACTAACAGAGATGAACCTTTGTTTTGATACAGCAGTTTGGAAACACTCTTTTTGTAGAATCTACAAGAGGATATTTTGAGAGCATTGAAAATTTCGTTGGAAGCGGGAAAACCTTCATATAAAATCTAGACAGCAGCATTCTCAGAAACTTCTTTGTGATGTTTGCATTCAACTCATAGAGTTGAACATTCCCATTCATACAGCAGGTTTGAGACACTCTTTGTATAGCATGTGGAAATGGATATTTGGAGCGCTTTGAGGCCTATGGTGAAGAAGGAAATATCTTCCCTAAAAAACTAGACGAAAGCATTCTCGCAATCTTGTTTGCCATGTGTGTACTCAACTAACAGAGTTGAACCTATCTTTTGACAGAGCAGTTTTGAAACACTCTTTTTGTGGAATCTGCAAGTGGATATTTGGATAGCTTCGAGGATTTCGTTGGAAACGGGAATATCCTCATTTAAAATCTAGACGGAAGCATTCTCAGAACCTGCTTTGTGATGTTTGCATTCAACTCACAGAGCTGAACATTCCCGTTCATAGAGCAGGTTTGAAACACTCTTTCTGTACTATCTGGAAGTGGACATTTCGAGCGCTTTCAGGCCTATGGTGAAAAAGGAAACATCTTCAAATAAAAACTAGACAGAAGCATTCTCAGAAACTTATTTGTGATGTGTGTCCTCAACTCACAGAGTTCAACCTTTGTTTTGATACAGCAGTTTGGAAACACTCTTTTTGTAGAATCTACAAATGGATATTTGGAGACCTTTGAAAATTTCGTTGGACACGGGAATATCTTCATATAAAATCTAGACAAAAGCATTCTCAGAATCTTCTTTGTGATGTTTGCATTCAACTCATAGAGTTGAACGTTCCCTTTCATACAGCACGTTTGAAAGACACTTTGTGGAGTATGTGGAAATGGACATTTCGAGCACTCTTAGGCCTAAGGTGAAAAGGGAAATATCTTCAAATAAAAACTAGTCAGCAGCATTCTCAGAAACCTCTTTGTGATGTGTGTACTCAACTAACAGAGTTGAACCTTCCTTTTCACAGAGCAGTTTGGAAACACTCTTTTTGTGGCATTTGCAAGTGGATATTTGGATAGCTTTGAGGATTTCGTTGGAAACGGGAATATTTTCATATAAAATCTAGACAGAAGCATTCTCAGAATCTTCTTTGTGATGTATGCCCTCAATTCACAGAGTTGAACCTTTGTTTGGATACAGCATTTTGGAAACATTCCTTTTGTAGAATCTGCAAGTTGATATTTGGATAGCTTTGAGGATTTCGTTGGAAACGGGAATATCTACATATAAAATCTAGACAGAAGCATTCTCAGAAACCTCTTTGTAATGCTTGCATTCAACTCATAGGTTTCAACATTCCCTATCATAGAGCAGGTTTGAAACACTCTTTTTGTAGTATGTGGAAGTGGACATTTGGAGCGCTTTGAGGCCTACGGTGAAAAAGGAAATATCTTCCCATAAAAACTAGACAGAAGCATTCTCAGAAACTTGTTTGTGACGTGTGTATTCAACTAACAGAGTTGAACCTTTCTTTTTACAGAGCAGCTTTGAAACACGCTTTTTGTGGAATCTGCAATTGGAAATTTCGATAGTTCTGAGGATTTCGTTGGAAACGGGATTACAAATAGAAAGTAGACAGCAGCATTCTCAGAAACTGCTTTGTGTTGTTTGCATTCAAGTCACCTAGTTGAACATTCCCTTTCATAGAGCAGGTTTGAATCACTGTTTCTGTCGTATCTGGAAGTGGATATTTCGAGCGTTTTCAGGCCTAAGGTGAGAAAGGAAATGTCTTCAAATAAGAACTAGACAGAAGCATTCTCAGAAACTTATTTGTGATGTGTGTCCTCAACTAACAGAGTTGAACCTTTCTTTTGACACAGCAGTTTGGAAACACTCTTTTTGTAGAATCTACAAGTGGATATTTTGAGAGCATTGAAAATTTCGTTGGAAACGGGAAAACCTTCATATAAAATCTAGACAGAAGCATTCTCAGAAACTTCTTTGTAATGTTTGCATTCAACTCATAGAGTTGAACATTCCCTTTCATACAGCAGGTTTGAAACACTCTTTTTGTAGCATGTGGAAGTGGACATTTGGAGCACTTTGAGGCCTACGGTGAAAAAGGAAATATCTTCCCATAAAAACTAGACAGAAGCATTCTCAGAAACTTGTTTGTGACGTGTGTATTCAACTAACAGAGTTGAACCTTTCTTTCTACAGAGCAGCTTTGAAACACGCTTTTTGTGGAATCTGCAATTGGAAATTTCGATAGTTCTGAGGATTTCGTTGGAAACGGGATTACAAATAGAAAGTAGACAGCAGCATTCTCAGAAACTGCTTTGTGATGTTTGCATTCAAGTCACCTAGTTGAACATTCCCTTTCATAGAGCAGGTTTGAATCACAGTTTCTGTCGTATCTGGAAGTGGATATTTCGAGCGTTTTCAGGCCTAAGGTGAGAAAGGAAATGTCTTCAAATAAGAACTAGACAGAAGCATTCTCAGAAACTTATTTGTGATGTGTGTCCTCAACTAACAGAGATGAACCTTTGTTTTGATACAGCAGTTTGGAAACACTCTTTTTGTAGAATCTACAAGAGGATATTTTGAGAGCATTGAAAATTTCGTTGGAAGCGGGAAAACCTTCATATAAAATCTAGACAGCAGCATTCTCAGAAACTTCTTTGTGATGTTTGCATTCAACTCATAGAGTTGAACATTCCCATTCATACAGCAGGTTTGAGACACTCTTTGTATAGCATGTGGAAATGGATATTTGGAGCGCTTTGAGGCCTATGGTGAAGAAGGAAATATCTTCCCAAAAAAACTAGACGAAAGCATTCTCGCAATCTTGTTTGCCATGTGTGTACTCAACTAACAGAGTTGAACCTATCTTTTGACAGAGCAGTTTTGAAACACTCTTTTTGTGGAATCTGCAAGTGGATATTTGGATAGCTTCGAGGATTTCGTTGGAAACGGGAATATCCTCATTTAAAATCTAGACGGAAGCATTCTCAGAACCTGCTTTGTGATGTTTGCATTCAACTCACAGAGCTGAACATTCCCGTTCATAGAGCAGGTTTGAAACACTCTTTCTGTACTATCTGGAAGTGGACATTTCGAGCGCTTTCAGGCCTATGGTGAAAAAGGAAACATCTTCAAATAAAAACTAGACAGAAGCATTCTCAGAAACTTATTTGTGATGTGTGTCCTCAACTCACAGAGTTCAACCTTTGTTTTGATACAGCAGTTTGGAAACACTCTTTTTGTAGAATCTACAAATGGATATTTGGAGACCTTTGAAAATTTCGTTGGACACGGGAATATCTTCATATAAAATCTAGACAAAAGCATTCTCAGAATCTTCTTTGTGATGTTTGCATTCAACTCATAGAGTTGAACGTTCCCTTTCATACAGCACGTTTGAAACACACTTTGTGGAGTATGTGGAAATGGACATTTCGAGCACTCTTAGGCCTAAGGTGAAAAGGGAAATATCTTCAAATAAAAACTAGTCAGCAGCATTCTCAGAAACCTCTTTGTGATGTGTGTACTCAACTAACAGAGTTGAACCTTCCTTTTCACAGAGCAGTTTGGAAACACTCTTTTTGTGGCATTTGCAAGTGGATATTTGGATAGCTTTGAGGATTTCGTTGGAAACGGGAATATTTTCATATAAAATCTAGACAGAAGCATTCTCAGAATCTTCTTTGTGATGTATGCCCTCAATTCACAGAGTTGAACCTTTGTTTGGATACAGCATTTTGGAAACATTCCTTTTGTAGAATCTGCAAGTTGATATTTGGATAGTTTGAGGATTTCGTTGGAAACGGGAATATCTACATATAAAATCTAGACAGAAGCATTCTCAGAAACCTCTTTGTAATGCTTGCATTCAACTCATAGGTTTCAACATTCCCTATCATAGAGCAGGTTTGAAACACTCTTTTTGTAGTATGTGGAAGTGGACATTTGGAGCGCTTTGAGGCCTACGGTGAAAAAGGAAATATCTTCCCATAAAAACTAGACAGAAGCATTCTCAGAAACTTGTTTGTGACGTGTGTATTCAACTAACAGAGTTGAACCTTTCTTTTTACAGAGCAGCTTTGAAACACGCTTTTTGTGGAATCTGCAATTGGAAATTTCGATAGTTCTGAGGATTTCGTTGGAAACGGGATTACAAATAGAAAGTAGACAGCAGCATTCTCAGAAACTGCTTTGTGATGTTTGCATTCAAGTAACCTAGTTGAACATTCCCTTTCATAGAGCAGGTTTGAATCACTGTTTCTGTCGTATCTGGAAGTGGATATTTCGAGCGTTTTCAGGCCTAAGGTGAGAAAGGAAATGTCTTCAAATAAGAACTAGACAGAAGCATTCTCAGAAACTTATTTGTGATGTGTGTCCTCAACTAACAGAGATGAACCTTTGTTTTGATACAGCAGTTTGGAAACACTCTTTTTGTAGAATCTACAAGAGGATATTTTGAGAGCGTTGAAA
Source organism: Homo sapiens (assembly GCF_000001405.40). Taxonomy (NCBI): domain Eukaryota; kingdom Metazoa; phylum Chordata; class Mammalia; order Primates; family Hominidae; genus Homo; species Homo sapiens. The sequence goes on from NC_000015.10 coordinate 18,769,777, forward strand.
ATTTCGTTGGAAGCGGGAAAACCTTCATATAAAATCTAGACAGCAGCATTCTCAGAAACTTCTTTGTGATGTTTGCATTCAACTCATAGAGTTGAACATTCCCATTCATACAGCAGGTTTGAGACACTCTTTGTATAGCATGTGGAAATGGATATTTGGAGCGCTTTGAGGCCTATGGTGAAGAAGGAAATATCTTCCCAAAAAAACTAGACGAAAGCATTCTCGGAATCTTGTTTGCCATGTGTGTACTCAACTAACAGAGTTGAACCTATCTTTTGACAGAGCAGTTTTGAAACACTCTTTTTGTGGAATCTGCAAGTGGATATTTGGATAGCTTCGAGGATTTCGTTGGAAACGGGAATATCCTCATTTAAAATCTAGACGGAAGCATTCTCAGAACCTGCTTTGTGATGTTTGCATTCAACTCACAGAGCTGAACATTTCCGTTCATAGAGCAGGTTTGAAACACTCTTTCTGTACTATCTGGAAGTGGACATTTCGAGCGCTTTCAGGCCTATGGTGAAAAAGGAAACATCTTCAAATAAAAACTAGACAGAAGCATTCTCAGAAACTTATTTGTGATGTGTGTCCTCAACTCACAGGGTTCAACCTTTGTTTTGATACAGCAGTTTGGAAACACTCTTTTTGTAGAATCTACAAATGGATATTTGGAGAACTTTGAAAATTTCGTTGGACACGGGAATATCTTCATATAAAATCTAGACAAAAGCATTCTCAGAATCTTCTTTGTGATGTTTGCATTCAACTCATAGAGTTGAACATTCCCTTTCATACAGCACGTTTGAAACACACTTTGTGGAGTATGTGGAAATGGACATTTCGAGCACTCTTAGGCCTAAGGTGAAAAGGGAAATATCTTCAAATAAAAACTAGTCAGCAGCATTCTCAGAAACCTCTTTGTGATGTGTGTACTCAACTAACAGAGTTGAACCTTCCTTTTCACAGAGCAGTTTGGAAACACTCTTTTTGTGGCATTTGCAAGTGGATATTTGGATAGCTTTGAGGATTTCGTTGGAAACGGGAATATTTTCATATAAAATCTAGACAGAAGCATTCTCAGAATCTTCTTTGTGATGTATGCCCTCAATTCACAGAGTTGAACCTTTGTTTGGATACAGCATTTTGGAAACATTCCTTTTGTAGAATCTGCAAGTTGATATTTGGATAGTTTGAGGATTTCGTTGGAAACGGGAATATCTACATATAAAATCTAGACAGAAGCATTCTCAGAAACCTCTTTGTAATGCTTGCATTCAACTCATAGGTTTCAACATTCCCTATCATAGAGCAGGTTTGAAACACTCTTTTTGTAGTATGTGGAAGTGGACATTTGGAGCGCTTTGAGGCCTACCGTGAAAAAGGAAATATCTTCCCATAAAAACTAGACAGAAGCATTCTCAGAAACTTGTTTGTGACGTGTGTATTCAACTAACAGAGTTGAACCTTTCTTTTTACAGAGCAGCTTTGAAACACGCTTTTTGTGGAATCTGCAATTGGAAATTTCGATAGTTCTGAGGATTTCGTTGGAAACGGGATTACAAATAGAAAGTAGACAGCAGCATTCTCAGAAACTGCTTTGTGATGTTTGCATTCAAGTCACCTAGTTGAACATTCCCTTTCATAGAGCAGGTTTGAATCACTGTTTCTGTCGTATCTGGAAGTGGATATTTCGAGCGTTTTCAGGCCTAAGGTGAGAAAGGAAATGTCTTCAAATAAGAACTAGACAGAAGCATTCTCAGAAACTTATTTGTGATGTGTGTCCTCAACTAACAGAGTTGAACCTTTCTTTTGACACAGCAGTTTAGAAACACTCTTTTTGTAGAATCTACAAGTGGATATTTTGAGAGCATTGAAAATTTCGTTGGAAACGGGAAAACCTTCATATAAAATCTAGACAGAAGCATTCTCAGAAACTTCTTTGTAATGTTTGCATTCAACTCATAGAGTTGAACATTCCCTTTCATACAGCAGGTTTGAAACACTCTTTTTGTAGTATGTGGACGTGGACATTTGGAGCGCTTTGAGGCCTACGGTGAAAAAGGAAATATCTTCCCATAAAAACTAGACAGAAGCATTCTCAGAAACTTGTTTGTGACGTGTGTATTCAACTAACAGAGTTGAACCTTTCTTTTTACAGAGCAGCTTTGAAACCCTGTTTCTGTGGAATCTGCAATTGGAAATTTCGATAGTTCTGAGGATTTCGTTGGAAACGGGATTACAAATAGGAAAGTAGACAGCAGCATTCTCAGAAACTGCTTTGTGATGTTTGCATTCAAGTCACATAGTTGAACATTCCCTTTCATAGAGCAGGTTTGAATCACTGTTTCTGTAGTATCTGGAAGTGGGTATTTCGAGCGCTTTCAGGCCTAAGGTGAGAAAGGAAATGTCTTCAAATAAGAACTAGACAGAAGCATTCTCAGAAACTTATTTGTGATGTGTGTCCTCAACTAACAGAGATGAACCTTTGTTTTGATACAGCAGTTTGGAAACACTCTTTTTGTAGAATCTACAAGAGGATATTTTGAGATCATTGAAAATTTCGTTGGAAGCGGGAAAACCTTCATATAAAATCTAGACAGAAGCATTCTCAGAAACTTCTTTGTGATGTTTGCATTCAACTCATAGAGTTGAACATTCCCATTCATACAGCAGGTTTGAGACACTCTTTGTATAGCATGTGGAAATGGATATTTGGAGCGCTTTGAGGCCTATGGTGAAGAAGGAAATATCTTCCCAAAAAAACTAGACGAAAGCATTCTCGCAATCTTGTTTGCCATGTGTGTACTCAACTAACAGAGTTGAACCTATCTTTTGACAGAGCAGTTTTGAAACACTCTTTTTGTGGAATCTGCAAGTGGATATTTGGATAGCTTCGAGGATTTCGTTGGAAACGGGAATATCCTCATTTAAAAACTAGACGGAAGCATTCTCGGAACCTGCTTTGTGATGTTTGCATTCAACTCACAGAGCTGAACATTCCCGTTCATAGAGCAGGTTTGAAACACTCTTTCTGTACTATCTGGAAGTGGACATTTCGAGCGCTTTCAGGCCTATGGTGAAAAAGGAAACATCTTCAAATAAAAACTAGACAGAAGCATTCTCAGAAACTTATTTGTGATGTGTGTCCTCAACTCACAGAGTTAAACCTTTGTTTTGATACAGCAGTTTGGAAACACTCTTTTTGTAGAATCTACAAATGGATATTTGGAGACCTTTGAAAATTTCGTTGGACACGGGAATATCTTCATATAAAATCTAGACAAAAGCATTCTCAGAGTCTTCTTTGTGATGTTTGCATTCAACTCATAGAGTTGAACATTCCCTTTCATACAGCACGTTTGAAACACACTTTGTGGAGTATGTGGAAATGGACATTTCGAGCACTCTTAGGCCTAAGGTGAAAAGGGAAATATCTTCAAATAAAAACTAGTCAGCAGCATTCTCAGAAACCTCTTTGTGATGTGTGTACTCAACTAACAGAGTTGAACCTTCCTTTTCACAGAGCAGTTTGGAAACACTCTTTTTGTGGCATTTGCAAGTGGATATTTGGATAGCTTTGAGGATTTCGTTGGAAACGGGAATATTTTCATATAAAATCTAGACAGAAGCATTCTCAGAATCTTCTTTGTGATGTATGCCCTCAATTCACAGAGTTGAACCTTTGTTTGGATACAGCATTTTGGAAACATTCCTTTTGTAGAATCTGCAAGTTGATATTTGGATAGCTTTGAGGATTTCGTTGGAAACGGGAATATCTACATATAAAATCTAGACAGAAGCATTCTCAGAAACCTCTTTGTAATGCTTGCATTCAACTCATAGGTTTCAACATTCCCTATCATAGAGCAGGTTTGAAACACTCTTTTTGTAGTATGTGGAAGTGGACATTTGGAGCGCTTTGAGGCCTACGGTGAAAAAGGAAATATCTTCCCATAAAAACTAGACAGAAGCATTCTCAGAAACTTGTTTGTGACGTGTGTATTCAACTAACAGAGTTGAACCTTTCTTTTTACAGAGCAGCTTTGAAACACGCTTTTTGTGGAATCTGCAATTGGAAATTTCGATAGTTCTGAGGATTTCGGTGGAAACGGGATTACAAATAGAAAGTAGACAGCAGCATTCTCAGAAACTGCTTTCTGATGTTTGCATTCAAGTCACCTAGTTGAACATTCCCTTTCATAGAGCAGGTTTGAATCACTGTTTCTGTCGTATCTGGAAGTGGATATTTCGAGCGTTTTCAGGCCTAAGGTGAGAAAGGAAATGTCTTCAAATAAGAACTAGACAGAAGCATTCTCAGAAACTTATTTGTGATGTGTGTCCTCAACTAACAGAGTTGAACCTTTCTTTTGACACAGCAGTTTGGAAACACTCTTTTTGTAGAATCTACAAGTGGATATTTTGAGAGCATTGAAAATTTCGTTGGAAACGGGAAAACCTTCATATAAAATCTAGACAGAAGCATTCTCAGAAACTTCTTTGTAATGTTTGCATTCAACTCATAGAGTTGAACATTCCCTTTCATACAGCAGGTTTGAAACACTCTTTTTGTAGTATGTGGACGTGGACATTTGGAGCGCTTTGAGGCCTACGGTGAAAAAGGAAATATCTTCCCATAAAAACTAGACAGAAGCATTCTCAGAAACTTGTTTGTGACGTGTGTATTCAACTAACAGAGTTGAACCTTTCTTTTTACAGAGCAGCTTTGAAACCCTGTTTCTGTGGAATCTGCAATTGGAAATTTCGATAGTTCTGAGGATTTCGTTGGAAACGGGATTACAAATAGAAAGTAGACAGCAGCATTCTCAGAAACTGCTTTGTGATGTTTGCATTCAAGTCACCTAGTTGAACATTCCCTTTCATAGAGCAGGTTTGAATCACTGTTTCTGTAGTATCTGGAAGTGGGTATTTCGAGCGCTTTCAGGCCTAAGGTGAGAAAGGAAATGTCTTCAAACAAGAACTAGACAGAAGCATTCTCAGAAACTTATTTGTGATGTGTGTCCTCAACTAACAGAGATGAACCTTTGTTTTGATACAGCAGTTTGGAAACACTCTTTTTGTAGAATCTACAAGAGGATATTTTGAGAGCATTGAAAATTTCGTTGGAAGCGGGAAAACCTTCATATAAAATCTAGACAGCAGCATTCTCAGAAACTTCTTTGTGATGTTTGCATTCAACTCATAGAGTTGAACATTCCCATTCATACAGCAGGTTTGAGACACTCTTTGTATAGCATGTGGAAATGGATATTTGGAGCGCTTTGAGGCCTATGGTGAAGAAGGAAATATCTTCCCTAAAAAACTAGACGAAAGCATTCTCGCAATCTTGTTTGCCATGTGTGTACTCAACTAACAGAGTTGAACCTATCTTTTGACAGAGCAGTTTTGAAACACTCTTTTTGTGGAATCTGCAAGTGGATATTTGGATAGCTTCGAGGATTTCGTTGGAAACGGGAATATCCTCATTTAAAATCTAGACGGAAGCATTCTCAGAACCTGCTTTGTGATGTTTGCATTCAACTCACAGAGCTGAACATTCCCGTTCATAGAGCAGGTTTGAAACACTCTTTCTGTACTATCTGGAAGTGGACATTTCGAGCGCTTTCAGGCCTATGGTGAAAAAGGAAACATCTTCAAATAAAAACTAGACAGAAGCATTCTCAGAAACTTATTTGTGATGTGTGTCCTCAACTGACAGAGTTCAACCTTTGTTTTGATACAGCAGTTTGGAAACACTCTTTTTGTAGAATCTACAAATGGATATTTGGAGACCTTTGAAAATTTCGTTGGACACGGGAATATCTTCATATAAAATCTAGACAAAAAGCATTCTCAGAATCTTCTTTGTGATGTTTGCATTCAACTCATAGAGTTGAACATTCCCTTTCATACAGCACGTTTGGAACACACTTTGTGGAGTATGTGGAAATGGACATTTCGAGCACTCTTAGGCCTAAGGTGAAAAGGGAAATATCTTCAAATAAAAACTAGTCAGCAGCATTCTCAGAAACCTCTTTGTGATGTGTGTACTCAACTAACAGAGTTGAACCTTCCTTTTCACAGAGCAGTTTGGAAACACTCTTTTTGTGGCATTTGCAAGTGGATATTTGGATAGCTTTGAGGATTTCGTTGGAAACGGGAATATTTTCATATAAAATCTAGACAGAAGCATTCTCAGAATCTTCTTTGTGATGTATGCCCTCAATTCACAGAGTTGAACCTTTGTTTGGATACAGCATTTTGGAAACATTCCTTTTGTAGAATCTGCAAGTTGATATTTGGATAGCTTTGAGGATTTCGTTGGAAACGGGAATATCTACATATAAAATCTAGACAGAAGCATTCTCAGAAACCTCTTTGTAATGCTTGCATTCAACTCATAGGTTTCAACATTCCCTATCATAGAGCAGGTTTGAAACACTCTTTTTGTAGTATGTGGAAGTGGACATTTGGAGCGCTTTGAGGCCTACGGTGAAAAAGGAAATATCTTCCCATAAAAACTAGACAGAAGCATTCTCAGAAACTTGTTTGTGACGTGTGTATTCAACTAACAGAGTTGAACCTTTCTTTTTACAGAGCAGCTTTGAAACACGCTTTTTGTGGAATCTGCAATTGGAAATTTCGATAGTTCTGAGGATTTCGTTGGAAACGGGATTACAAATAGAAAGTAGACAGCAGCATTCTCAGAAACTGCTTTGTGATGTTTGCATTCAAGTCACCTAGTTGAACATTCCCTTTCATAGAGCAGGTTTGAATCACTGTTTCTGTAGTATCTGGAAGTGGGTATTTCGAGCGCTTTCAGGCCTAAGGTGAGAAAGGAAATGTCTTCAAATAAGAACTAGACAGGAAGCATTCTCAGAAACTTATTTGTGATGTGTGTCCTCAACTAACAGAGATGAACCTTTGTTTTGATACAGCAGTTTGGAAACACTCTTTTTGTAGAATCTACAAGAGGATATTTTGAGAGCATTGAAAATTTCGTTGGAAGCGGGAAAACCTTCATATAAAATCTAGACAGCAGCATTCTCAGAAACTTCTTTGTGATGTTTGCATTCAACTCATAGAGTTGAACATTCCCATTCATACAGCAGGTTTGAGACACTCTTTGTATAGCATGTGGAAATGGATATTTGGAGCGCTTTGAGGCCTATGGTGAAGAAGGAAATATCTTCCCAAAAAAACTAGACGAAACCATTCTCGCAATCTTGTTTGCCATGTGTGTACTCAACTAACAGAGTTGAACCTATCTTTTGACAGAGCAGTTTTGAAACACTCTTTTTGTGGAATCTGCAAGTGGATATTTGGATAGCTTCGAGGATTTCGTTGGAAACGGGAATATCCTCATTTAAAATCTAGACGGAAGCATTCTCGGAACCTGCTTTGTGATGTTTGCATTCAACTCACAGAGCTGAACATTCCCGTTCATAGAGCAGGTTTGAAACACTCTTTCTGTACTATCTGGAAGTGGACATTTCGAGCGCTTTCAGGCCTATGGTGAAAAAGGAAACATCTTCAAATAAAAACTAGACAGAAGCATTCTCAGAAACTTATTTGTGATGTGTGTCCTCAACTCACAGAGTTCAACCTTTGTTTTGATACAGCAGTTTGGAAACACTCTTTTTGTAGAATCTACAAATGGATATTTGGAGACCTTTGAAAATTTCGTTGGACACGGGAATATCTTCATATAAAATCTAGACAAAAGCATTCTCAGAATCTTCTTTGTGATGTTTGAATTCAACTCATAGAGTTGAACATTCCCTTTCATACAGCACGTTTGAAACACACTTTGTGGAGTATGTGGAAATGGACATTTCGAGCACTCTTAGGCCTAAGGTGAAAAGGGAAATATCTTCAAATAAAAACTAGTCAGCAGCATTCTCAGAAACCTCTTTGTGATGTGTGTACTCAACTAACAGAGTTGAACCTTCCTTTTCACAGAGCAGTTTGGAAACACTCTTTTTGTGGCATTTGCAAGTGGATATTTGGATAGCTTTGAGGATTTCGTTGGAAACGGGAATATTTTCATATAAAATCTAGACAGAAGCATTCTCAGAATCTTCTTTGTGATGTATGCCCTCAATTCACAGAGTTGAACCTTTGTTTGGATACAGCATTTTGGAAACATTCCTTTTGTAGAATCTGCAAGTTGATATTTGGATAGCTTTGAGGATTTCGTTGGAAACGGGAATATCTACATATAAAATCTAGACAGAAGCATTCTCAGAAACCTCTTTGTAATGCTTGCATTCAACTCATAGGTTTCAACATTCCCTATCATAGAGCAGGTTTGAAACACTCTTTTTGTAGTATGTGGAAGTGGACATTTGGAGCGCTTTGAGGCCTACGGTGAAAAAGGAAATATCTTCCCATAAAAACTAGACAGAAGCATTCTCAGAATCTGCTTTGTGATGTTTGCATTCAACTCATAGAGTTGAATATTCCCTTTCATACAACAGGTTTGAAACACACTTTGTGTAGTATGTGGAAATGGACATTTAGAGTGCTCTTAGGCCTAAGGTGAAAAGGGAAATATCTTCAAATAAAAACTAGTCAGCAGCATTCTCAGAAACCTCTTTGTGATGTGTGTACTCAACTAACGGAGTTGAACCTTCCTTTTGACAGAGCAGTTTTGAAACACTCTTTTTGTGGAATTTGCAAGTGGATATTTGGATAGATTTGAGGATTTCGTTGGAAACGGGAATATCTTCATATAAAATCAACACAGAAGCATTCTCAGAATCTTCTTTGTGATGTATGTCCTCAATTAACAGAGTTGAACCTTTGTTGGGATACAGCATTTTGGAAACATTCCTTTTGTAGAATCTGCAAGCTAATATTTGGATAGCTTTGAGGATTTCGTTGGAAACGGGAATATCTACATATAAAATCTAGACAGAAGCATTCTCAGAAACTTCTTTGTAATGTTTGCATTCGACTCATAGAGTTGAACATTCCCTTTCATACAGCAGGTTTGAAACACTCTTTTTGTAGTATGTGGAAGTGGACATTTGGAGCGCTTTGAGGCCTACGGTGAAAAAGGAAATATACTTCCCATAAAAACTAGACAGAAGCATTCTCAGAAACTTGTTTGTGACGTGTGTATTCAACTAACAGAGTTGAACCTTTCTTTTTACAGAGCAGCTTTGAAACCCTGTTTCTGTGGAATCTGCAATTGGAAATTTCGATAGTTCTGAGGATTTCGTTGGAAACGGGATTACAAATAGAAAGTAGCCAGCAGCATTCTCAGAAACTGCTTTGTGATGTTTGCATTCAAGTCACATAGTTGAACATTCCCTTTCATAGAGCAGGTTTGAATCACTGTTTCTGTAGTATCTGGAAGTGGGTATTTCGAGCGCTTTCAGGCCTAAGGTGAGAAAGGAAATGTCTTCAAATAAGAACTAGACAGAAGCATTCTCAGAAACTTATTTGTGATGTGTGTCCTCAACTAACAGAGATGAACCTTTGTTTTGATACAGCAGTTTGGAAACACTCTTTTTGTAGAATCTACAAGAGGATATTTTGAGAGCATTGAAAATTTCGTTGGAAGCGGGAAAACCTTCATATAAAATCTAGACAGCAGCATTCTCAGAAACTTCTTTGTGATGTTTGCATTCAACTCATAGAGTTGAACATTCCCATTCATACAGCAGGTTTGAGACACTCTTTGTATAGCATGTGGAAATGGATATTTGGAGCGCTTTGAGGCCTATGGTGAAGAAGGAAATATCTTCCCAAAAAAACTAGACGAAAGCATTCTCGCAATCTTGTTTGCCATGTGTGTACTCAACTAACAGAGTTGAACCTATCTTTTGACAGAGCAGTTTTGAAACACTCTTTTTGTGGAATCTGCAAGTGGATATTTGGATAGCTTCGAGGATTTCGTTGGAAACGGGAATATCCTCATTTAAAATCTAGACGGAAGCATTCTCAGAACCTGCTTTGTGATGTTTGCATTCAACTCACAGAGCTGAACATTCCCGTTCATAGAGCAGGTTTGAAACACTCTTTCTGTACTATCTGGAAGTGGACATTTCGAGCGCTTTCAGGCCTATGGTGAAAAAGGAAACATCTTCAAATAAAAACTAGACAGAAGCATTCTCAGAAACTTATTTGTGATGTGTGTCCTCAACTCACAGAGTTCAACCTTTGTTTTGATACAGCAGTTTGGAAACACTCTTTTTGTAGAATCTACAAATGGATATTTGGAGACCTTTGAAAATTTCGTTGGACACGGGAATATCTTCATATAAAATCTAGACAAAAGCATTCTCAGAATCTTCTTTGTGATGTTTGCATTCAACTCATAGAGTTGAACATTCCCTTTCATACAGCACGTTTGAAACACACTTTGTGGAGTATGTGGAAATGGACATTTCGAGCACTCTTAGGCCTAAGGTGAAAAGGGAAATATCTTCAAATAAAAACTAGTCAGCAGCATTCTCAGAAACCTCTTTGTGATGTGTGTACTCAACTAACAGAGTTGAACCTTCCTTTTCACAGAGCAGTTTGGAAACACTCTTTTTGTGGCATTTGCAAGTGGATATTTGGATAGCTTTGAGGATTTCGTTGGAAACGGGAATATTTTCATATAAAATCTAGACAGAAGCATTCTCAGAATCTTCTTTGTGATGTATGCCCTCAATTCACAGAGTTGAACCTCTGTTTGGATACAGCATTTTGGAAACATTCCTTTTGTAGAATCTGTAAGTTGATATTTGGATAGCTTTGAGGATTTCGTTGGAAACGGGAATATCTACATATAAAATCTAGACAGAATCATTCTCAGAAACCTCTTTGTAAGGTTTGCATTCAACTCATAGGTTTCAACATTCCCTATCATAGAGCAGGTTTGAAACACACTTTTTGTAGTATGTGGAAGTGGACATTTGGAGCGCTTTGAGGCCTACGGTGAATAAGGAAATATCTTCCCATAAAAACTAGACAGAAGCATTCTCAGAAACTTGTTTGTGACGTGTGTATTCAACTAACAGAGTTGAACCTTTCTTTTTACAGAGCAGCTTTGAAACACGCTTTTTGTGGAATCTGCAATTGGAAATTTCGATAGTTCTGAGGATTTCGTTGGAAACGGGATTAAAAATAGAAAGTAGACAGCGGCATTCTCAGAAACTGCTTTGTGATATTTGCGTTCAAGTCACATAGTTGAACATTCCCTTTCATAGAGCAGGTTTGAATCACTGTCTCTGTAGTATCTGGAAGTGGATATTTCGAGCGCTTTCAGGCCTAAGGTGAGAAAGGAAATGTCTTCAAATAAGAACTAGACAGAAGCATTCTCAGAAACTTATTTGTGATGTGTGTCCTCAACTAACAGAGTTGAATCTTTGTTTTGATACAGCAGTTTGGAAACACTCTTTTTGTAGAATCTACAAGTGGATAGTTTGAGAGCATTGAAAATTTCGTTGGAAACGGGAATACCTTCATATAAAATCTAGACAGAAAGCATTCTCAGAATCTTCTTTGTGATGTTTGCATTCAACTCATAGAGTTGAACATTCCCTTTCATACAGCACGTTTGAAACACACTTTGTGGAGTATGTGGAAATGGACATTTCGAGCACTCTTAGGCCTAAGGTGAAAAGGGAAATATCTTCAAATAAAAACTAGTCAGAGCATTCTCAGAAACCTCTTTGTGATGTGTGTACTCAACTAACAGAGTTGAACCTTCCTTTTCACAGAGCAGTTTGGAAACACTCTTTTTGTGGCATTTGCAAGTGGATATTTGGATAGCTTTGAGGATTTCGTTGGAAACGGGAATATTTTCATATAAAATCTAGACAGAAGCATTCTCAGAATCTTCTTTGTGATGTATGCCCTCAATTCACAGAGTTGAACCTTTGTTTGGATACAGCATTTTGGAAACATTCCTTTTGTAGAATCTGCAAGTTGATATTTGGATAGCTTTGAGGATTTCGTTGGAAACGGGAATATCTACATATAAAATCTAGACAGAAGCATTCTCAGAAACCTCTTTGTAATGCTTGCATTCAACTCATAGGTTTCAACATTCCCTATCATAGAGCAGGTTTGAAACACTCTTTTTGTAGTATGTGGAAGTGGACATTTGGAGCGCTTTGAGGCCTATGGTGAAAAAGGAAATATCTTCCCATAAAAACTAGACAGAAGCATTCTCAGAAACTTGTTTGTGACGTGTGTATTCAACTAACAGAGTTGAACCTTTCTTTTTACAGAGCAGCTTTGAAACACGCTTTTTGTGGAATCTGCAATTGGAAATTTCGATAGTTCTGAGGATTTCGTTGGAAACGGGATTACAAATAGAAAGTAGACAGCAGCATTCTCAGAAACTGCTTTGTGATGTTTGCATTCAAGTCACCTAGTTGAACATTCCCTTTCATAGAGCAGGTTTGAATCACTGTTTCTGTCGTATCTGGAAGTGGATATTTCGAGCGTTTTCAGGCCTAAGGTGAGAAAGGAAATGTCTTCAAATAAGAACTAGACAGAAGCATTCTCAGAAACTTATTTGTGATGTGTGTCCTCAACTAACAGAGTTGAACCTTTCTTTTGACACAGCAGTTTGGAAACACTCTTTTTGTAGAATCTACAAGTGGATATTTTCAGAGCATTGAAAATTTCGTTGGAAACGGGAAAACCTTCATATAAAATCTAGACAGAAGCATTCTCAGAAACTTCTTTGTAATGTTTGCATTCAACTCATAGAGTTGAACATTCCCTTTCATACAGCAGGTTTGAAATACTCTTTTTGTAGTATGTGGAAGTGGACATTTGGAGCGCTTTGAGGCCTACGGTGAAAAAGGAAATATCTTCCCATAAAAACTAGACAGAAGCATTCTCAGAAACTTGTTTGTGACGTGTGTATTCAACTAACAGAGTTGAACCTTTCTTTTTACAGAGCAGCTTTGAAACCCTGTTTCTGTGGAATCTGCAATTGGAAATTTCGATAGTTCTGAGGATTTCGTTGGAAACGGGATTACAAATAGAAAGTAGACAGCAGCATTCTCAGAAACTGCTTTGTGATGTTTGCATTCAAGTCACCTAGTTGAACATTCCCTTTCATAGAGCAGGTTTGAATCACTGTTTCTGTAGTATCTGGAAGTGGGTATTTCGAGCGCTTTCAGGCCTAAGGTGAGAAAGGAAATGTCTTCAAATAAGAACTAGACAGAAGCATTCTCAGAAACTTATTTGTGATGTGTGTCCTCAACTAACAGAGATGAACCTTTGTTTTGATACAGCAGTTTGGAAACACTCTTTTTGTAGAATCTACAAGAGGATATTTTGAGAGCATTGAAAATTTCGTTGGAAGCGGGAAAACCTTCATATAAAATCTAGACAGCAGCATTCTCAGAAACTTCTTTGTGATGTTTGCATTCAACTCATAGAGTTGAACATTCCCATTCATACAGCAGGTTTGAGACACTCTTTGTATAGCATGTGGAAATGGATATTTGGAGCGCTTTGAGGCCTATGGTGAAGAAGGAAATATCTTCCCAAAAAAACTAGACGAAAGCATTCTCGCAATCTTGTTTGCCATGTGTGTACTCAACTAACAGAGTTGAACCTATCCTTTGACAGAGCAGTTTTGAAACACTCTTTTTGTGGAATCTGCAAGTGGATATTTGGATAGCTTCGAGGATTTCGTTGGAAACGGGAATATCCTCATTTAAAATCTAGACGGAAGCATTCTCAGAACCTGCTTTGTGATGTTTGCATTCAACTCACAGAGCTGAACATTCCCGTTCATAGAGCAGGTTTGAAACACTCTTTCTGTACTATCTGGAAGTGGACATTTCGAGCGCTTTCAGGCCTATGGTGAAAAAGGAAACATCTTCAAATAAAAACTAGACAGAAGCATTCTCAGAAACTTATTTGTGATGTGTGTCCTCAACTCACAGAGTTCAACCTTTGTTTTGATACAGCAGTTTGGAAACACTCTTTTTGTAGAATCTACAAATGGATATTTGGAGACCTTTGAAAATTTCGTTGGACACGGGAATATCTTCATATAAAATCTAGACAAAAGCATTCTCAGAATCTTCTTTGTGATGTTTGCATTCAACTCATAGAGTTGAACATTCCCTTTCATACAGCACGTTTGAAACACACTTTGTGGAGTATGTGGAAATGGACATTTCGAGCACTCTTAGGCCTAAGGTGAAAAGGGAAATATCTTCAAATAAAAACTAGTCAGCAGCATTCTCAGAAACCTCTTTGTGATGTGTGTACTCAACTAACAGAGTTGAACCTTCCTTTTCACAGAGCAGTTTGGAAACACTCTTTTTGTGGCATTTGCAAGTGGATATTTGGATAGCTTTGAGGATTTCGTTGGAAACGGGAATATTTTCATATAAAATCTAGACAGAAGCATTCTCAGAATCTTCTTTGTGATGTATGCCCTCAATTCACAGAGTTGAACCTTTGTTTGGATACAGCATTTTGGAAACATTCCTTTTGCAGAATCTGCAAGTTGATATTTGGATAGCTTTGAGGATTTCGTTGGAAACGGGAATATCTACATATAAAATCTAGACAGAAGCATTCTCAGAAACCTCTTTGTAATGCTTGCATTCAACTCATAGGTTTCAACATTCCCTATCATAGAGCAGGTTTGAAACACTCTTTTTGTAGTATGTGGAAGTGGACATTTGGAGCGCTTTGAGGCCTACGGTGAAAAAGGAAATATCTTCCCATAAAAACTAGACAGAAGCATTCTCAGAAACTTGTTTGTGACGTGTGTATTCAACTAACAGAGTTGAACCTTTCTTTTTACAGAGCAGCTTTGAAACACGCTTTTTGTGGAATCTGCAATTGGAAATTTCGATAGTTCTGAGGATTTCGTTGGAAACGGGATTACAAATAGAAAGTAGACAGCAGCATTCTCAGAAACTGCTTTGTGATGTTTGCATTCAAGTCACCTAGTTGAACATTCCCTTTCATAGAGCAGGTTTGAATCACTGTTTCTGTCGTATCTGGAAGTGGATATTTCGAGCGTTTTCAGGCCTAAGGTGAGAAAGGAAATGTCTTCAAATAAGAACTAGACAGAAGCATTCTCAGAAACTTATTTGTGATGTGTGTCCTCAACTAACAGAGTTGAACCTTTCTTTTGACACAGCAGTTTGGAAACACTCTTTTTGTAGAATCTACAAGTGGATATTTTGAGAGCATTGAAAATTTCGTTGGAAACGGGAAAACCTTCATATAAAATCTAGACAGAAGCATTCTCAGAAACTTCTTTGTAATGTTTGCATTCAACTCATAGAGTTGAACATTCCCTTTCATACAGCAGGTTTGAAACACTCTTTTTGTAGTATGTGGACGTGGACATTTGGAGCGCTTTGAGGCCTACGGTGAAAAAGGAAATATCTTCCCATAAAAACTAGACAGAAGCATTCTCAGAAACTTGTTTGTGACGTGTGTATTCAACTAACAGAGTTGAACCTTTCTTTTTACAGAGCAGCTTTGAAACCCTGTTTCTGTGGAATCTGCAATTGGAAATTTCGATAGTTCTGAGGATTTCGTTGGAAACGGGATTACAAATAGAAAGTAGACAGCAGCATTCTCAGAAACTGCTTTGTGATGTTTGCATTCAAGTCACCTAGTTGAACATTCCCTTTCATAGAGCAGGTTTGAATCACTGTTTCTGTAGTATCTGGAAGTGGGTATTTCGAGCGCTTTCAGGCCTAAGGTGAGAAAGGAAATGTCTTCAAATAAGAACTAGACAGAAGCATTCTCAGAAACTTATTTGTGATGTGTGTCCTCAACTAACAGAGATGAACCTTTGTTTTGATACAGCAGTTTGGAAACACTCTTTTTGTAGAATCTACAAGAGGATATTTTGAGAGCATTGAAAATTTCGTTGGAAGCAGGAAAACCTTCATATAAAATCTAGACAGCAGCATTCTCAGAAACTTCTTTGTGATGTTTGCATCCAACTCATAGAGTTGAACATTCCCATTCATACAGCAGGTTTGAGACACTCTTTGTATAGCATGTGGAAATGGATATTTGGAGCGCTTTGAGGCCTATGGTGAAGAAGGAAATATCTTCCCAAAAAAACTAGACGAAAGCATTCTCGGAATCTTGTTTGCCATGTGTGTACTCAACTAACAGAGTTGAACCTATCTTTTGACAGAGCAGTTTTGAAACACTCTTTTTGTGGAATCTGCAAGTGGATATTTGGATAGCTTCGAGGATTTCGTTGGAAACGGGAATATCCTCATTTAAAATCTAGACGGAAGCATTCTCAGAACCTGCTTTGTGATGTTTGCATTCAACTCACAGAGCTGAACATTCCCGTTCATAGAGCAGGTTTGAAACACTCTTTCTGTACTATCTGGAAGTGGACATTTCGAGCGCTTTCAGGCCTATGGTGAAAAAGGAAACATCTTCAAATAAAAACTAGACAGAAGCATTCTCAGAAACTTATTTGTGATGTGTGTCCTCAACTCACAGAGTTCAACCTTTGTTTTGATACAGCAGTTTGGAAACACTCTTTTTGTAGAATCTACAAATGGATATTTGGAGACCTTTGAAAATTTCGTTGGACACGGGAATATCTTCATATAAAATCTAGACAAAAGCATTCTCAGAATCTTCTTTGTGATGTTTGCATTCAACTCATAGAGTTGAACATTCCCTTTCATACAGCACGTTTGAAACACACTTTGTGGAGTATGTGGAAATGGACATTTCGAGCACTCTTAGGCCTAAGGTGAAAAGGGAAATATCTTCAAATAAAAACTAGTCAGCAGCATTCTCAGAAACCTCTTTGTGATGTGTGTACTCAACTAACAGAGTTGAACCTTCCTTTTCACAGAGCAGTTTGGAAACACTCTTTTTGTGGCATTTGCAAGTGGATATTTGGATAGCTTTGAGGATTTCGTTGGAAACGGGAATATTTTCATATAAAATCTAGACAGAAGCATTCTCAGAATCTTCTTTGTGATGTATGCCCTCAATTCACAGAGTTGAACCTTTGTTTGGATACAGCATTTTGGAAACATTCCTTTTGTAGAATCTGCAAGTTGATATTTGGATAGCTTTGAGGATTTCGTTGGAAACGGGAATATCTATCTACATATAAAATCTAGACAGAAGCATTCTCAGAAACTTCTTTGTAATGTTTGCATTCAACTCATAGAGTTGAACATTCCCTTTCATACAGCAGGTTTGAAACACTCTTTTTGTAGTATGTGGAAGTGGACATTTGGAGCGCTTTGAGGCCTACGGTGAAAAAGGAAATATCTTCCCATAAAAACTAGACAGAAGCATTCTCAGAAACTTGTTTGTGACGTGTGTATTCAACTAACAGAGTTGAACCTTTCTTTTTACAGAGCAGCTTTGAAACCCTGTTTCTGTGGAATCTGCAATTGGAAATTTCGATAGTTCTGAGGATTTCGTTGGAAACGGGATTACAAATAGAAAGTAGACAGCAGCATTCTCAGAAACTGCTTTGTGATGTTTGCATTCAAGTCACCTAGTTGAACATTCCCTTTCATAGAGCAGGTTTGAATCACTGTTTCTGTAGTATCTGGAAGTGGGTATTTCGAGCGCTTTCAGGCCTAAGGTGAGAAAGGAAATGTCTTCAAATAAGAACTAGACAGGAAGCATTCTCAGAAACTTATTTGTGATGTCTGTCCTCAACTAACAGAGTTGAACCTTTGTTTTGATACAGTAGTTTGGAAACACTCTTTTTGTAGAATCTCCAAGTGGTTATTTTGAGAGCATTGAAAATTTCGTTGGAAGCGGGAAAACCTTCATATAAAATCTAGACAGAAGCATTCTCAGAAAACTTCTTTGTAATGTTTGCATTCAACTCATAGAGTTGAACATTCCCTTTCATACAGCAGGTTTGAAACACTCTTTTTGTAGTATGTGGAAGTGGACATTTGGAGCGCTTTGAGGCCTACGGTGAAAAAGGAAATATCTTCCCATAAAAACTAGACAGAAGCATTCTCAGAAACTTGTTTGTGACGTGTGTATTCAACTAACAGAGTTGAACCTTTCTTTTTACAGAGCAGCTTTGAAACCCTGTTTCTGTGGAATCTGCAATTGGAAATTTCGATAGTTCTGAGGATTTCGTTGGAAACGGGATTACAAATAGAAAGTAGACAGCCAGCATTCTCAGCAAACTGCTTTGTGATGTTTGCATTCAAGTCACCTAGTTGAACATTCCCTTTCATAGAGCAGGTTTGAATCACTGTTTCTGTCGTATCTGGAAGTGGATATTTCGAGCGTTTTCAGGCCTAAGGTGAGAAAGGAAATGTCTTCAAATAAGAACTAGACAGAGCATTCTCAGAAACTTATTTGTGATGTGTGTCCTCAACTAACAGAGTTGAACCTTTCTTTTGACACAGCAGTTTGGAAACACTCTTTTTGTAGAATCTACAAGTGGATATTTTGAGAGCATTGAAAATTTCGTTGGAAACGGGAAAACCTTCATATAAAATCTAGACAGAAGCATTCTCAGAAACTTCTTTGTAATGTTTGCATTCAACTCATAGAGTTGAACATTCCCTTTCATACAGCAGGTTTGAAACACTCTTTTTGTAGTATGTGGACGTGGACATTTGGAGCGCTTTGAGGCCTACGGTGAAAAAGGAAATATCTTCCCATAAAAACTAGACAGAAGCATTCTCAGAAACTTGTTTGTGACGTGTGTATTCAACTAACAGACTTGAACCTTTCTTTTTACAGAGCAGCTTTGAAACCCTGTTTCTGTGGAATCTGCAATTGGAAATTTCGATAGTTCTGAGGATTTCGTTGGAAACGGGATTACAAATAGAAAGTAGACAGCAGCATTCTCAGAAACTGCTTTGTGATGTTTGCATTCAAGTCACCTAGTTGAACATTCCCTTTCATAGAGCAGGTTTGAATCACTGTTTCTGTAGTATCTGGAAGTGGGTATTTCGAGCGCTTTCAGGCCTAAGGTGAGAAAGGAAATGTCTTCAAATAAGAACTAGACAGAAGCATTCTCAGAAACTTATTTGTGATGTGTGTCCTCAACTAACAGAGATGAACCTTTGTTTTGATACAGCAGTTTGGAAACACTCTTTTTGTAGAATCTACAAGAGGATATTTTGAGAGCATTGAAAATTTCGTTGGAAGCGGGAAAACCTTCATATAAAATCTAGACAGCAGCATTCTCAGAAACTTCTTTGTGATGTTTGCATTCAACTCATAGAGTTGAACATTCCCATTCATACAGCAGGTTTGAGACACTCTTTGTATAGCATGTGGAAATGGATATTTGGAGCGCTTTGAGGCCTATGGTGAAGAAGGAAATATCTTCCCAAAAAAACTAGACGAAAGCATTCTCGCAATCTTGTTTGCCATGTGTGTACTCAACTAACAGAGTTGAACCTATCTTTTGACAGAGCAGTTTTGAAACACTCTTTTTGTGGAATCTGCAAGTGGATATTTGGATAGCTTCGAGGATTTCGTTGGAAACGGGAATATCCTCATTTAAAATCTAGACGGAAGCATTCTCAGAACCTGCTTTGTGATGTTTGCATTCAACTCACAGAGCTGAACATTCCCGTTCATAGAGCAGGTTTGAAACACTCTTTCTGTACTATCTGGAAGTGGACATTTCGAGCGCTTTCAGGCCTATGGTGAAAAAGGAAACATCTTCAAATAAAAACTAGACAGAAGCATTCTCAGAAACTTATTTGTGATGTGTGTTCTCAACTCACAGAGTTCAACCTTTGTTTTGATACAGCAGTTTGGAAACACTCTTTTTGTAGAATCTACAAATGGATATTTGGAGAACTTTGAAAATTTCGTTGGACACGGGAATATCTTCATATAAAATCTAGACAAAAGCATTCTCAGAATCTTCTTTGTGATGTTTGAATTCAACTCATAGAGTTGAACATTCCCTTTCATACAGCACGTTTGAAACACACTTTGTGGAGTATGTGGAAATGGACATTTCGAGCACTCTTAGGCCTAAGGTGAAAAGGGAAATATCTTCAAATAAAAACTAGTCAGCAGCATTCTCAGAAACCTCTTTGTGATGTGTGTACTCAACTAACAGAGTTGAACCTTCCTTTTCACAGAGCAGTTTGGAAACACTCTTTTTGTGGCATTTGCAAGTGGATATTTGGATAGCTTTGAGGATTTCGTTGGAAACGGGAATATTTTCATATAAAATCTAGACAGAAGCATTCTCAGAATCTTCTTTGTGATGTATGCCCTCAATTCACAGAGTTGAACCTTTGTTTGGATACAGCATTTTGGAAACATTCCTTTTGTAGAATCTGCAAGTTGATATTTGGATAGCTTTGAGGATTTCGTTGGAAACGGGAATATCTACATATAAAATCTAGACAGAAGCATTCTCAGAAACCTCTTTGTAATGCTTGCATTCAACTCATAGGTTTCAACATTCCCTATCATAGAGCAGGTTTGAAACACTCTTTTTGTAGTATGTGGAAGTGGACATTTGGAGCGCTTTGAGGCCTACCGTGAAAAAGGAAATATCTTCCCATAAAAACTAGACAGAAGCATTCTCAGAAACTTGTTTGTGACGTGTGTATTCAACTAACAGAGTTGAACCTTTCTTTTTACAGAGCAGCTTTGAAACCCTGTTTCTGTGGAATCTGCAATTGGAAATTTCGATAGTTCTGAGGATTTCGTTGGAAACGGGATTACAAATAGAAAGTAGACAGCAGCATTCTCAGAAACTGCTTTGTGATGTTTGCATTCAAGTCACCTAGTTGAACATTCCCTTTCATAGAGCAGGTTTGAATCACTGTTTCTGTAGTATCTGGAAGTGGGTATTTCGAGCACTTTCAGGCCTAAGGTGAGAAAGGAAATGTCTTCAAATAAGAACTAGACAGAAGCATTCTCAGAAACTTATTTGTGATGTGTGTCCTCAACTAACAGAGATGAACCTTTGTTTTGATACAGCAGTTTGGAAACACTCTTTTTGTAGAATCTACAAGAGGATATTTTGAGAGCATTGAAAATTTCGTTGGAAGCGGGAAAACCTTCATATAAAATCTAGACAGCAGCATTCTCAGAAACTTCTTTGTGATGTTTGCATTCAACTCATAGAGTTGAACATTCCCATTCATACAGCAGGTTTGAGACACTCTTTGTATAGCATGTGGAAATGGATATTTGGAGCGCTTTGAGGCCTATGGTGAAGAAGGAAATATCTTCCCAAAAAAACTAGACGAAAGCATTCTCGGAATCTTGTTTGCCATGTGTGTACTCAACTAACAGAGTTGAACCTATCTTTTGACAGAGCAGTTTTGAAACACTCTTTTTGTGGAATCTGCAAGTGGATATTTGGATAGCTTCGAGGATTTCGTTGGAAACGGGAATATCCTCATTTAAAATCTAGACGGAAGCATTCTCAGAACCTGCTTTGTGATGTTTGCATTCAACTCACAGAGCTGAACATTCCCGTTCATAGAGCAGGTTTGAAACACTCTTTCTGTACTATCTGGAAGTGGACATTTCGAGCGCTTTCAGGCCTATGGTGAAAAAGGAAACATCTTCAAATAAAAACTAGACAGAAGCATTCTCAGAAACTTATTTGTGATGTGTGTCCTCAACTCACAGAGTTCAACCTTTGTTTTGATACAGCAGTTTGGAAACACTCTTTTTGTAGAATCTACAAATGGATATTTGGAGACCTTTGAAAATTTCGTTGGACACGGGAATATCTTCATATAAAATCTAGACAAAAGCATTCTCAGAATCTTCTTTGTGATGTTTGCATTCAACTCATAGAGTTGAACATTCCCTTTCATACAGCACGTTTGAAACACACTTTGTGGAGTATGTGGAAATGGACATTTCGAGCACTCTTAGGCCTAAGGTGAAAAGGGAAATATCTTCAAATAAAAACTAGTCAGCAGCATTCTCAGAAACCTCTTTGTGATGTGTGTACTCAACTAACAGAGTTGAACCTTCCTTTTCACAGAGCAGTTTGGAAACACTCTTTTTGTGGCATTTGCAAGTGGATATTTGGATAGCTTTGAGGATTTCGTTGGAAACGGGAATATTTTCATATAAAATCTAGACAGAAGCATTCTCAGAATCTTCTTTGTGATGTATGCCCTCAATTCACAGAGTTGAACCTTTGTTTGGATACAGCATTTTGGAAACATTCCTTTTGTAGAATGTGCAAGTTGATATTTGGATAGCTTTGAGGATTTCGTTGGAAACGGGAATATCTACATATAAAATCTAGACAGAAGCATTCTCAGAAACTTCTTTGTAATGTTTGCATTCAACTCATAGGTTTCAACATTCCCTATCATAGAGCAGGTTTGAAACACTCTTTTTGTAGTATGTGGAAGTGGACATTTGGAGCGCTTTGAGGCCTACGGTGAAAAAGGAAATATCTTCCCATAAAAACTAGACAGAAGCATTCTCAGAAACTTGTTTGTGACGTGTGTATTCAACTAACAGAGTTGAACCTTTCTTTTTACAGAGCAGGTTTGAAACCCTGTTTCTGTGGAATCTGCAATTGGAAATTTCGATAGTTCTGAGGATTTCGTTGGAAACGGGATTACAAATAGAAAGTAGACAGCAGCATTCTCAGAAACTGCTTTGTGATGTTTGCATTCAAGTCACCTAGTTGAACATTCCCTTTCATAGAGCAGGTTTGAATCACTGTTTCTGTCGTATCTGGAAGTGGATATTTCGAGCGTTTTCAGGCCTAAGGTGAGAAAGGAAATGTCTTCAAATAAGAACTAGACAGAAGCATTCTCAGAAATTTATTTGTGATGTGTGTCCTCAACTAACAGAGTTGAACCTTTCTTTTGACACAGCAGTTTGGAAACACTCTTTTTGTAGAATCTACAAGTGGATATTTTGAGAGCATTGAAAATTTCGTTGGAAACGGGAAAACCTTCATATAAAATCTAGACAGAAGCATTCTCAGAAACTTCTTTGTAATGTTTGCATTCGACTCATAGAGTTGAACATTCCCTTTCATACAGCAGGTTTGAAACACTCTTTTTGTAGTATGTGGAAGTGGACATTTGGAGCGCTTTGAGGCCTACGGTGAAAAAGGAAATATCTTCCCATAAAAACTAGACAGAAGCATTCTCAGAAACTTGTTTGTGACGTGTGTATTCAACTAACAGAGTTGAACCTTTCTTTTTACAGAGCAGCTTTGAAACCCTGTTTCTGTGGAATCTGCAATTGGAAATTTCGATAGTTCCTGAGGATTTCGTTGGAAACGGGATTACAAATAGAAAGTAGACAGCAGCATTCTCAGTAAACTGCTTTGTGATGTTTGCATTCAAGTCACCTAGTAGAACATTCCCTTTCATAGAGCAGGTTTGAATCACTGATTCTGTCGTATCTGGAAGTGGATATTTCGAGCGTTTTCAGGCCTAAGGTGAGAAAGGAAATGTCTTCAAATAAGAACTAGACAGAAGCATTCTCAGAAACTTATTTGTGATGTGTGTCCTCAACTAACAGAGATGAACCTTTGTTTTGATACAGCAGTTTGGAAACACTCTTTTTGTAGAATCTACAAGAGGATATTTTGAGAGCATTGAAAATTTCGTTGGAAGCGGGAAAACCTTCATATAAAATACTAGACAGCAAGCATTCTCAGAAACTTCTTTGTGATGTTTGCATTCAACTCATAGAGTTGAACATTCCCATTCATACAGCAGGTTTGAGACACTCTTTGTATAGCATGTGGAAATGGATATTTGGAGCGCTTTGAGGCCTATGGTGAAGAAGGAAATATCTTCCCAAAAAAACTAGACGAAAGCATTCTCGCAATCTTGTTTGCCATGTGTGTACTCAACTAACAGAGTTGAACCTATCTTTTGACAGAGCAGTTTTGAAACACTCTTTTTGTGGAATCTGCAAGTGGATATTTGGATAGCTTCGAGGATTTCGTTGGAAACGGGAATATCCTCATTTAAAATCTAGACGGAAGCATTCTCAGAACCTGCTTTGTGATGTTTGCATTCAACTCACAGAGCTGAACATTCCCGTTCATAGAGCAGGTTTGAAACACTCTTTCTGTACTATCTGGAAGTGGACATTTCGAGCGCTTTCAGGCCTATGGTGAAAAAGGAAACATCTTCAAATAAAAACTAGACAGAAGCATTCTCAGAAACTTATTTGTGATGTGTGTCCTCAACTCACAGAGTTCAACCTTTGTTTTGATACAGCAGTTTGGAAACACTCTTTTTGTAGAATCTACAAATGGATATTTGGAGACCTTTGAAAATTTCGTTGGACACGGGAATATCTTCATATAAAATCTAGACAAAAGCATTCTCAGAATCTTCTTTGTGATGTTTGCATTCAACTCATAGAGTTGAACATTCCCTTTCATACAGCACGTTTGAAACACACTTTGTGGAGTATGTGGAAATGGACATTTCGAGCACTCTTAGGCCTAAGGTGAAAAGGGAAATATCTTCAAATAAAAACTAGTCAGCAGCATTCTCAGAAACCTCTTTGTGATGTGTGTACTCAACTAACAGAGTTGAACCTTCCTTTTCACAGAGCAGTTTGGAAACACTCTTTTTGTGGCATTTGCAAGTGGATATTTGGATAGCTTTGAGGATTTCGTTGGAAACGGGAATATTTTCATATAAAATCTAGACAGAAGCATTCTCAGAATCTTCTTTGTGATGTATGCCCTCAATTCACAGAGTTGAACCTTTGTTTGGATACAGCATTTTGGAAACATTCCTTTTGTAGAATCTGCAAGTTGATATTTGGATAGTTTGAGGATTTCGTTGGAAACGGGAATATCTACATATAAAATCTAGACAGAAGCATTCTCAGAAACCTCTTTGTAATGCTTGCATTCAACTCATAGGTTTCAACATTCCCTATCATAGAGCAGGTTTGAAACACTCTTTTTGTAGTATGTGGAAGTGGACATTTGGAGCGCTTTGAGGCCTACCGTGAAAAAGGAAATATCTTCCCATAAAAACTAGACAGAAGCATTCTCAGAAACTTGTTTGTGACGTGTGTATTCAACTAACAGAGTTGAACCTTTCTTTTTACAGAGCAGCTTTGAAACACGCTTTTTGTGGAATCTGCAATTGGAAATTTCGATAGTTCTGAGGATTTCGTTGGAAACGGGATTACAAATAGAAAGTAGACAGCAGCATTCTCAGAAACTGCTTTGTGATGTTTGCATTCAAGTCACCTAGTTGAACATTCCCTTTCATAGAGCAGGTTTGAATCACTGTTTCTGTCGTATCTGGAAGTGGATATTTCGAGCGTTTTCAGGCCTAAGGTGAGAAAGGAAATGTCTTCAAATAAGAACTAGACAGAAGCATTCTCAGAAACTTATTTGTGATGTGTGTCCTCAACTAACAGAGTTGAACCTTTCTTTTGACACAGCAGTTTGGAAACACTCTTTTTGTAGAATCTACAAGTGGATATTTTGAGAGCATTGAAAATTTCGTTGGAAACGGGAAAACCTTCATATAAAATCTAGACAGAAGCATTCTCAGAAACTTCTTTGTAATGTTTGCATTCAACTCATAGAGTTGAACATTCCCTTTCATACAGCAGGTTTGAAACACTCTTTTGTAGTATGTGGAAGTGGACATTTGGAGCGCTTTGAGGCCTACGGTGAAAAAGGAAATATCTTCCCATAAAAACTAGACAGAAGCATTCTCTGAAACTTGTTTGTGACGTGTGTATTCAACTAACAGAGTTGAACCTTTCTTTTTACAGAGCAGCTTTGAAACCCTGTTTCTGTGGAATCTGCAATTGGAAATTTCGATAGTTCTGAGGATTTCGTTGGAAACGGGATTACAAATAGAAAGTAGACAGCAGCATTCTCAGAAACTGCTTTGTGATGTTTGCATTCAAGTCACCTAGTTGAACATTCCCTTTCATAGAGCAGGTTTGAATCACTGTTTCTGTCGTATCTGGAAGTGGATATTTCGAGCGCTTTCAGGCCTAAGGTGAGAAAGGAAATGTCTTCAAATAAGAACTAGACAGAAGCATTCTCAGAAACTTATTTGTGATGTGTGTCCTCAACTATCAGAGATGAACCTTTGTTTTGATACAGCAGTTTGGAAACACTCTTTTTGTAGAATCTACAAGAGGATATTTTGAGAGCATTGAAAATTTCGTTGGAAGCGGGAAAACCTTCATATAAAATCTAGACAGCCAGCATTCTCAGCAAACTTCTTTGTGATGTTTGCATTCAACTCATAGAGTTGAACATTCCCATTCATACAGCAGGTTTGAGACACTCTTTGTATAGCATGTGGAAATGGATATTTGGAGCGCTTTGAGGCCTATGGTGAAGAAGGAAATATCTTCCCAAAAAAACTAGACGAAAGCATTCTCGGAATCTTGTTTGCCATGTGTGTACTCAACTAACAGAGTTGAACCTATCTTTTGACAGAGCAGTTTTGAAACACTCTTTTTGTGGAATCTGCAAGTGGATATTTGGATAGCTTCGAGGATTTCGTTGGAAACGGGAATATCCTCATTTAAAATCTAGACGGAAGCATTCTCAGAACCTGCTTTGTGATGTTTGCATTCAACTCACAGAGCTGAACATTCCCGTTCATAGAGCAGGTTTGAAACACTCTTTCTGTACTATCTGGAAGTGGACATTTCGAGCGCTTTCAGGCCTATGGTGAAAAAGGAAACATCTTCAAATAAAAACTAGACAGAAGCATTCTCAGAAACTTATTTGTGATGTGTGTCCTCAACTCACAGAGTTCAACCTTTGTTTTGATACAGCAGTTTGGAAACAATCTTTATTTGGAGACCTTTGAAAATTTCGCTGGACACGGGAATATCTTCATATAAAATCTAGACAAAAGCATTCTCAGAATCTTCTTTGTGATGTTTGCATTCAACTCATAGAGTTGAACATTCCCTTTCATACAGCACGTTTGAAACACACTTTGTGGAGTATGTGGAAATGGACATTTCGAGCACTCTTAGGCCTAAGGTGAAAAGGGAAATATCTTCAAATAAAAACTAGTCAGCAGCATTCTCAGAAACCTCTTTGTGATGTGTGTACTCAACTAACAGAGTTGAACCTTCCTTTTCACAGAGCAGTTTGGAAACACTCTTTTTGTGGCATTTGCAAGTGGATATTTGGATAGCTTTGAGGATTTCGTTGGAAACGGGAATATTTTCATATAAAATCTAGACAGAAGCATTCTCAGAATCTTCTTTGTGATGTATGCCCTCAATTCACAGAGTTGAACCTTTGTTTGGATACAGCATTTTGGAAACATTCCTTTTGTAGAATCTGCAAGTTGATATTTGGATAGCTTTGAGGATTTCGTTGGAAACGGGAATATCTACATATAAAATCTAGACAGAAGCATTCTCAGAAACCTCTTTGTAATGTTTGCATTCAACTCATAGGTTTCAACATTCCCTATCATAGAGCAGGTTTGAAACACTCTTTTTGTAGTATGTGGAAGTGGACATTTGGAGCGCTTTGAGGCCTACGGTGAAAAAGGAAATATCTTCCCATAAAAACTAGACAGAAGCATTCTCAGAAACTTGTTTGTGACGTGTGTATTCAACTAACAGAGTTGAACCTTTCTTTTTACACAGCAGCTTTGAAACACGCTTTTTGTGGAATCTGCAATTGGAAATTTCGATAGTTCTGAGGATTTCGTTGGAAACGGGATTACAAATAGAAAGTAGACAGCAGCATTCTCAGAAACTGCTTTGTGATGTTTGCATTCAAGTCACCTAGTTGAACATTCCCTTTCATAGAGCAGGTTTGAATCACTGTTTCTGTCGTATCTGGAAGTGGATATTTCGAGCGTTTTCAGGCCTAAGGTGAGAAAGGAAATGTCTTCAAATAAGAACTAGACAGAAGCATTCTCAGAAACTTATTTGTGATGTGTGTCCTCAACTAACAGAGTTGAACCTTTCTTTTGACACAGCAGTTTGGAAACACTCTTTTTGTAGAATCTACAAGTGGATATTTTGAGAGCATTGAAAATTTCGTTGGAAACGGGAAAACCTTCATATAAAATCTAGACAGAAGCATTCTCAGAAACTTCTTTGTAAAGTTTGCATTCAACTCATAGAGTTGAACATTCCCTTTCATACAGCAGGTTTGAAACACTCTTTTTGTAGTATGTGGAAGCGGACATTTGGAGCGCTTTGAGGCCTACGGTGAAAAAGGAAATATCTTCCCATAAAAACTAGACAGAAGCATTCTCAGAAACTTGTTTGTGACGTGTGTATTCAACTAACAGAGTTGAACCTTTTCTTTTTACAGAGCAGCTTTGAAACCCTGTTTCTGTGGAATCTGCAATTGGAAATTTCGATAGTTCTGAGGATTTCGTTGGAAACGGGATTACAAATAGAAAGTAGACAGCAGCATTCTCAGAAACTGCTTTGTGATGTTTGCATTCAAGTCACCTAGTTGAACATTCCCTTTCATAGAGCAGGTTTGAATCACTGTTTCTGTCGTATCTGGAAGTGGATATTTCGAGCGTTTTCAGGCCTAAGGTGAGAAAGGAAATGTCTTCAAATAAGAACTAGACAGAAGCATTCTCAGAAACTTATTTGTGATGTGTGTCCTCAACTAACAGAGTTGAACCTTTCTTTTGACACAGCAGTTTGGAAACACTCTTTTTGTAGAATCTACAAGTGGATATTTTGAGAGCATTGAAAATTTCCTTGGAAACGGGAAAACCTTCATATAAAATCTAGACAGCAGCATTCTCAGAAACTTCTTTGTGATGTTTGCATTCAACTCATAGAGTTGAACATTCCCATTCATACAGCAGGTTTGAGACACTCTTTGTATAGCATGTGGAAATGGATATTTGGAGCGCTTTGAGGCCTATGGTGAAGAAGGAAATATCTTCCCAAAAAAACTAGACGAAAGCATTCTCGGAATCTTGTTTGCCATGTGTGTACTCAACTAACAGAGTTGAACCTATCTTTTGACAGAGCAGTTTTGAAACACTCTTTTTGTGGAATCTGCAAGTGGATATTTGGATAGCTTCGAGGATTTCGTTGGAAACGGGAATATCCTCATTTAAAATCTAGACGGAAGCATTCTCAGAACCTGCTGTGTGATGTTTGCATTCAACTCACAGAGCTGAACATTCCCGTTCATAGAGCAGGTTTGAAACACTCTTTCTGTACTATCTGGAAGTGGACATTTCGAGCGCTTTCAGGCCTATGGTGAAAAAGGAAACATCTTCAAATAAAAACTAGACAGAAGCATTCTCAGAAACTTATTTGTGATGTGTGTCCTCAACTCACAGAGTTCAACCTTTGTTTTGATACAGCAGTTTGGAAACACTCTTTTTGTAGAATCTACAAATGGATATTTGGAGACCTTTGAAAATTTCGTTGGACACGGGAATATCTTCATATAAAATCTAGACAAAAGCATTCTCAGAATCTTCTTTGTGATGTTTGCATTCAACTCATAGAGTTGAACATTCCCTTTCATACAGCACGTTTGAAACACACTTTGTGGAGTATGTGGAAATGGACATTTCGAGCACTCTTAGGCCTAAGGTGAAAAGGGAAATATCTTCAAATAAAAACTAGTCAGCAGCATTCTCAGAAACCTCTTTGTGATGTGTGTACTCAACTAACAGAGTTGAACCTTCCTTTTCACAGAGCAGTTTGGAAACACTCTTTTTGTGGCATTTGCAAGTGGATATTTGGATAGCTTTGAGGATTTCGTTGGAAACGGGAATATTTTCATATAAAATCTAGACAGAAGCATTCTCAGAATCTTCTTTGTGATGT
Organism: Homo sapiens; assembly: GCF_000001405.40. Lineage (NCBI taxonomy): Eukaryota > Metazoa > Chordata > Mammalia > Primates > Hominidae > Homo > Homo sapiens. Next base: position 18,799,513 of record NC_000015.10, read on the forward strand.
ATGCCCTCAATTCCCAGAGTTGAACCTTTGTTTGGATACAGCATTTTGGAAACATTCCTTTTGTAGAATCTGCAAGTTGATATTTGGATAGCTTTGAGGATTTCGTTGGAAACGGGAATATCTACATATAAAATCTAGACAGAAGCATTCTCAGAAACCTCTTTGTAATGCTTGCATTCAACTCATAGGTTTCAACATTCCCTATCATAGAGCAGGTTTGAAACACTCTTTTTGTAGTATGTGGAAGTGGACATTTGGAGCGCTTTGAGGCCTACGGTGAAAAAGGAAATATCTTCCCATAAAAACTAGACAGAAGCATTCTCAGAAACTTGTTTGTGACCGTGTGTATTCAACTAACAGAGTTGAACCTTTCTTTTTACACAGCAGCTTTGAAACACGCTTTTTGTGGAATCTGCAATTGGAAATTTCGATAGTTCTGAGGATTTCGTTGGAAACGGGATTACAAATAGAAAGTAGACAGCAGCATTCTCAGAAACTGCTTTGTGATGTTTGCATTCAAGTCAGATAGTTGAACATTCCCTTTCATAGAGCAGGTTTGAATCACTGTCTCTGTAGTATCTGGAAGTGGATATTTAGAGCGCTTTCAGGCCTAAGGTGAGAAAGGAAATGTCTTCAAATAAGAACTAGACAGAAGCATTCTCAGAAACTTATTTGTGATGTGTGTCCTCAACTAACAGAGTTGAACCTTTGTTTTGATACAGCAGTTTGGAAACACTCTTTTTGTAGAATCTACAAGTGGATATTTGGAGAGCATTGAAAATTTCGTTGGAAGCGGGACAACCTTCATATAAAATCTAGACAGTAGCATTCTCAGAAACTTCTTTGTGATGTTTGCATTCAACTCATAGAGTTGAACGTTCCCTTTCATACAGCAGTTTTGAGACACTCTTTGTATAGTATGTGGAAATGGATATTTGGAGCGCTTTGAGGCCTATGGTGAAGAAGGAAATATCTTCCCAAAAAAACTAGACGAAAGCATTCTCGGAATCTTGTTTGCCATGTGTGTACTCAACTAACAGAGTTGAACCTATCTTTTGACAGAGCAGTTTTGAAACACTCTTTTTGTGGAATCTGCAAATGGATATTTGTATAGCTTCGAGGACTTCGTTGGAAACGGGAATATCCTCATATAACATCTAGACGGAAGCATTCTCAGAACCTGCTTTGTGATGTTTGCATTCCACTCACAGAGCTGAACATTCCCGTTCATAGAGCAGGTTTGAAACACTCTTTCTGTACTATCTGGAAGTGGACATTTCGAGCGCTTTCAGGCCTAAGGTGAGAAAGGAAATGTCTTCAAATAAGAACTAGACAGGAGCATTCTCAGAAACTTCTTTGTAATGTTTGCATTCAACTCATAGAGTTGAACATTCCCTTTCATACAGCAGGTTTCAAACACTCTTTTTGTAGTATGTGGAAGCGGACATTTGGAGCACTTTGAGGCCTACGGTGAAAAAGGAAATATCTTCCCGTAAAAACTAGATAGAACCATTCTCAGAAACTTGTTTGTGACGTGTGTATTCAACTAACAGAGTTGAACCTTTCTTTTTACAGAGCAGCTTTGAAACACTCTTTTTGTGGAATCTGCAATTGGAAATTTCGATAGTTCTGAGGATTTCGTTGGAAACGGGATTACAAATAGAAAGTAGACAGCAGCATTCTCAGAATCTGCTTTGTGATGTTTGCATTCAAGTCACCTAGTTGAACATTCCCTTTCATAGAGCAGGTTTGAATCACTGTTTCTGTAGTACCTGGAAGTGGGTATTTCGATCGCTTTCAGGCCTAAGGTGAGAAAGGAAATGTCTTCAAATCAGAACTAGACAGAAGCATTCTCAGAAACTTATTTGTGATGTGTGTCCTCAACTAAGAGTGTTGTACATTTGTTTGGATACAGCATTTTGGAAACATTCTTTTGTAGAATCTGCAAGTTGATATTTGGATAGCTTTGAGGATTTCGTTGGAAACGGTAATATCTACATATAAAATCTAGACAGAAGCGTTCTCAGTAACTTCTTTGTGATGTTTGCATTCAACTCATAGGTTTCAACATTCCCTTTCATAGAGCAGGTTTGAAACACTCTTTTTGTGGTATGTGGAAGTGGACATTTGGAGCGCTTTGAGGCCTACGGTGAAAAAGGAAATATCTTCCCATAAAAACTAGACAGAAGCATTCTCAGAAACTTGTTTGTGACGTGTGTCCTCAACTAACAGAGTTGAACCTTTGTTTTGATACAGCAGTTTGGAAACACTCTTTTTGTAGAATCTACAAGTGGATATTTTGAGAGCATTGAAAATTTCGTTGAAGCGGGAAAACCTTCATATAAAATCTAGACAGAAGCATTCTCAGAAACTTCTTTGTAATGTTTGCATTCAACTCATAGAGTTGAACATTCCCTTTCATACAGCAGATTTGAAACACTCTTTTTGTAGTATGTGGAAGTGGACATTTGGAGCGCTTAGAGGCCTACGGTGAAAAAGGAAGTATCTTTCCATAAAAACTAGACAGAAGCATTCTCAGAAACTTGTTTGTGACGTGCATTCAACTAACAGAGTTGAACCTTTCTTTTTACAGAGCAGCTTTGAAACACGCTTTTTGTGGAATCTGCAATTGGAAATTTCAATAGTTCTGAGTATTTCGTTGGAAACGGGATTACAAATAGAAAGTAGACAGCAGCATTCTCAGAAACTGCTTTGTGATGTTTGCATTCAAGTCACCTAGTTGAACATTCCCTTTCATAGAGCAGGTTTGAATCACTGTTTTTGTAGAATCTGGAAGTGGATATTTCGGGCATTTTCAGGCCTAAGGTGAGAAAGGAAATGTCTTCAAATAAGAACTAGACAGAAGCATTCTCTGAAACTTATTTGTGATGTGTGTCCTCAACTAACAGAGTTGAACATTTGTTTTGATACAGCAGTTTGGAAACACTCTTTTTGTAGAATCTACAAGTGGATATTTTGAGAGCATTGAAAATTTCGTTGGAAGCGGGAATACCTTCATATAAAATCTAGACAGAAACATTCTCAGAAACCTCTTTGTAATGTTTGCATTCAACTCATAGAGTTGAACATTCCCTTTCATACAGCAGGTTTGAAACACTCTTTTTGTAGTATGAGGAAGTGGACATTTGGAGCACTTTGAGGCCTACGGTGAAAAAGGAAATATCTTCCCATAAAAAGTAGACAGAAGCATTCTCAGAAACTTGTTTGTGACATGTGTATTCAACTAACAGAGTTGAACCTTTCTTTTTACAGAGCAGCTTTGAAACACCCTTTTTGTGGAATTTGCAATTGAAAATTTCGATAATTCTGAGGATATCGTTGGAAACGGGATTACAAATAGAAAGTAGACAGGAGCATTCTCAGAAACTGCTTTGTGATGTTTGCATTCTAGTCACCTAGTTGAACATTCCCTTTCATAGAGCAGGTTTGAATCACTATTTCTGTAGTATCTGGAAGTGGATATTTCGAGCGCTTTCAGGCCTAAGGTGAGAAAGGAAATGTCTTCAAATAAGAATTAGACAGAAGCATTCTCAGAAACTTATTTGTGACGTGTGTCCTCAACTAACAGAGTTGAACCTTTGTTTTGATACAGCAGTTTGGAAACACTCATTTTGTAGAATCTACAAGTGGATATTTTGAGAGCATTGAAAATTTCGTTGAAGCAGGAAAACCTTCATATAAAATCTAGACAGAAGCATTCTCAGAAACTTCTTTGTAATGTTTGCATTCAACTCATAGGGTTGAACATTCCCTTTCATACACCAGGTTTGAAACACTCTTTTTGTAGTATGTGGAAGTTTACATTTGGAGTGCTTTGAGGCCTACGGTGAAAATGGAAATATCTTCCCATAAAAACTAGACAGAAGCATTCTCAGAAACTTGTTTGTGACGTGTGTATTCAGCTAACAGAGTTGAACCTTTCTTTTTACAGAGCAGCTTTGAAAACCTGTTTCTGTGGAATCTGCAATTGGAAATTTCGATAGGTCTGAGGATTTCGTTGGAAACGGGATTACAAATAGAAAGTAGACAGCAGCATTCTCAGAAACTGCTTTGTGATGTTTGCATTCAAGTCACATAGTTGAACATGTCCTTTCATAGAGCAGGTTTGAATCACTGTTTCTGTAGTATCTGGAAGTGGGTATTTTGAGCGCTTTCAGGCCTAAGGTGAGAAAGGAAATGTCGTCAAATAAGAACTAGACAGAAGCATTCTCAGAAACTTATTTGTGATGTGTGTCCTCAACTAACAGAGTTGAACCTTTCTTTTGACACAGCAGTTTGGAAACACTCTTTTTGTAGAATCTACAAGAGGATATTTTCAGAGCATTGAAAATTTCGTTGGAAGCGGGAAAACCTTCATATAAAATCTAGACAGCAGCATTCTCAGAAACTTCTTTGTGATGTTTGCATTCAACTCATAGAGTTGAACATTCCCATTCATACAGCAGGTTTGAGACACTCTTTGTATAGCATGTGGAAATGGATATTTGGAGCGCTTTGAGGCCTATGGTGAAGAAGGAAATATCTTCCCAAAAAAACTAGACGAAAGCATTCTCGGAATCTTGTTTGCCATGTGTGTACTCAACTAACAGAGTTGAACCTATCTTTTGACAGAGCAGTTTTGAAACACTCTTTTTGTGGAATCTGCAAGTGGATATTTGGATAGCTTCGAGGATTTCGTTGGAAACGGGAATATCCTCATTTAAAATCTAGACGGAAGCATTCTCAGAACCTGCTTTGTGATGTTTGCATTCAACTCACAGAGCTGAACATTCCCGTTCATAGAGCAGGTTTGAAACACTCTTTCTGTACTATCTGGAAGTGGACATTTCGAGCGCTTTCAGGCCTATGGTGAAAAAGGAAACATCTTCAAATAAAAACTAGACAGAAGCATTCTCAGAAACTTATTTGTGATGTGTGTCCTCAACTCACAGAGTTCAACCTTTGTTTTGATACAGCAGTTTGGAAACACTCTTTTTGTAGAATCTACAAATGGATATTTGGAGACCTTTGAAAATTTCGTTGGACACGGGAATATCTTCATATAAAATCTAGACAAAAGCATTCTCAGAATCTTCTTTGTGATGTTTGCATTCAACTCATAGAGTTGAACATTCCCTTTCATACAGCACGTTTGAAACACACTTTGTGGAGTATGTGGAAATGGACATTTCGAGCACTCTTAGGCCTAAGGTGAAAAGGGAAATATCTTCAAATAAAAACTAGTCAGCAGCATTCTCAGAAACCTCTTTGTGATGTGTGTACTCAACTAACAGAGTTGAACCTTCCTTTTCACAGAGCAGTTTGGAAACACTCTTTTTGTGGCATTTGCAAGTGGATATTTGGATAGCTTTGAGGATTTCGTTGGAAACGGGAATATTATCATTTAAATCTAGACAGAAGCATTCTCAGAATCTTCTTTGTGATGTATGCCCTCAATTCACAGAGTTGAACCTTTGTTTGGATACAGCATTTTGGAAACATTCCTTTTGTAGAATCTGCAAGTTGATATTTGGATAGCTTTGAGGATTTCGTTGGAAACGGGAATATCTACATATAAAATCTAGACAGAAGCATTCTCAGAAACCTCTTTGTAATGCTTGCATTCAACTCATAGGTTTCAACATTCCCTATCATAGAGCAGGTTTGAAACACTCTTTTTGTAGTATGTGGAAGTGGACATTTGGAGCGCTTTGAGGCCTACGGTGAATAAAGGAAATATCTTCCCATAAAAACTAGACAGAAGCATTCTCAGAAACTTGTTTGTGACGTGTGTATTCAACTAACAGAGTTGAACCTTTCTTTTTACAGAGCAGCTTTGAAACACGCTTTTTGTGGAATCTGCAATTGGAAATTTCGATAGTTACTGAGGATTTCGTTGGAAACGGGATTACAAATAGAAAGTAGACAGCAAGCATTCTCAGAAACTTATTTGTGATGTGTGTCCTCAACTAACAGAGTTGAACCTTTCTTTTGACACAGCAGTTTGGAAACACTCTTTTTGTAGAATCTACAAGTGGATATTTTGAGAGCATTGAAAATTTCGTTGGAAACGGGAAAACCTTCATATAAAATCTAGACAGAAGCATTCTCAGAAACTTCTTTGTAATGTTTGCATTCAACTCATAGAGTTGAACATTCCCTTTCATACAGCAGGTTTGAAACACTCTTTTTGTAGTATGTGGAAGTGGACATTTGGAGCGCTTTGAGGCCTACGGTGAAAAAGGAAATATCTTCCCATAAAAACTAGACAGAAGCATTCTCAGAAACTTGTTTGTGACGTGTGTATTCAACTAACAGAGTTGAACCTTTCTTTTTACAGAGCAGCTTTGAAACCCTGTTTCTGTGGAATCTGCAATTGGAAATTTCGATAGTTCTGAGGATTTCGTTGGAAACGGGATTACAAATAGAAAGTAGACAGCAGCATTCTCAGAAACTGCTTTGTGATGTTTGCATTCAAGTCACCTAGTTGAACATTCCCTTTCATAGAGCAGGTTTGAATCACTGTTTCTGTAGTATCTGGAAGTGGGTATTTCGAGCGCTTTCAGGCCTAAGGTGAGAAAGGAAATGTCTTCAAATAAGAACTAGACAGAAGCATTCTCAGAAACTTATTTGTGATGTGTATCCTCAACTAACAGAGATGAACCTTTGTTTTGATACAGCAGTTTGGAAACACTCTTTTTGTAGAATCTACAAGAGGATATTTTGAGAGCATTGAAAATTTCGTTGGAAGCGGGAAAACCTTCATATAAAATCTAGACAGCCAGCATTCTCAGAAACTTCTTTGTGATGTTTGCATTCAACTCATAGAGTTGAACATTCCCATTCATACAGCAGGTTTGAGACACTCTTTGTATAGCATGTGGAAATGGATATTTGGAGCGCTTTGAGGCCTATGGTGAAGAAGGAAATATCTTCCCAAAAAAACTAGACGAAAGCATTCTCGGAATCTTGTTTGCCATGTGTGTACTCAACTAACAGAGTTGAACCTATCTTTTGACAGAGCAGTTTTGAAACACTCTTTTTGTGGAATCTGCAAGTGGATATTTGGATAGCTTCGAGGATTTCGTTGGAAACGGGAATATCCTCATTTAAAATCTAGACGGAAGCATTCTCAGAACCTGCTTTGTGATGTTTGCATTCAACTCACAGAGCTGAACATTCCCGTTCATAGAGCAGGTTTGAAACACTCTTTCTGTACTATCTGGAAGTGGACATTTCGAGCGCTTTCAGGCCTATGGTGAAAAAGGAAACATCTTCAAATAAAAACTAGACAGAAGCATTCTCAGAAACTTATTTGTGATGTGTGTCCTCAACTCACAGAGTTCAACCTTTGTTTTGATACAGCAGTTTGGAAACACTCTTTTTGTAGAATCTACAAATGGATATTTGGAGACCTTTGAAAATTTCGTTGGACACGGGAATATCTTCATATAAAATCTAGACAAAAGCATTCTCAGAATCTTCTTTGTGATGTTTGCATTCAACTCATAGAGTTGAACATTCCCTTTCATACAGCACGTTTGAAACACACTTTGTGGAGTATGTGGAAATGGACATTTCGAGCACTCTTAGGCCTAAGGTGAAAAGGGAAATATCTTCAAATAAAAACTAGTCAGCAGCATTCTCAGAAACCTCTTTGTGATGTGTGTACTCAACTAACAGAGTTGAACCTTCCTTTTCACAGAGCAGTTTGGAAACACTCTTTTTGTGGCATTTGCAAGTGGATATTTGGATAGCTTTGAGGATTTCGTTGGAAACGGGAATATTTTCATATAAAATCTAGACAGAAGCATTCTCAGAATCTTCTTTGTGATGTATGCCCTCAATTCACAGAGTTGAACCTTTGTTTGGATACAGCATTTTGGAAACATTCCTTTTGTAGAATCTGCAAGTTGATATTTGGATAGCTTTGAGGATTTCGTTGGAAACGGGAATATCTACATATAAAATCTAGACAGAAGCATTCTCAGAAACCTCTTTGTAATGCTTGCATTCAACTCATAGCTTTCAACATTCCCTATCATAGAGCAGGGTTGAAACACTCTTTTTGTAGTATGTGGAAGTGGACATTTGGAGCGCTTTGAGGCCTACGGTGAAAAAGGAAATATCTTCCCATAAAAACTAGACAGAAGCATTCTCAGAAACTTGTTTGTGACGTGTGTATTCAACTAACAGAGTTGAACCTTTCTTTTTACAGAGCAGCTTTGAAACACGCTTTTTGTGGAATCTGCAATTGGAAATTTCGATAGTTCTGAGGATTTCGTTGGAAACGGGATTACAAATAGAAAGTAGACAGCAGCATTCTCAGAAACTGCTTTGTGATGTTTGCATTCAAGTCACCTAGTTGAACATTCCCTTTCATAGAGCAGGTTTGAATCACTGTTTCTGTCGTATCTGGAAGTGGATATTTCGAGCGTTTTCAGGCCTAAGGTGAGAAAGGAAATGTCTTCAAATAAGAACTAGACAGAAGCATTCTCAGAAACTTATTTGTGATGTGTGTCCTCAACTAACAGAGTTGAACCTTTCTTTTGACACAGCAGTTTGGAAACACTCTTTTTGTAGAATCTACAAGTGGATATTTTGAGAGCATTGAAAATTTCGTTGGAAACGGGAAAACCTTCATATAAAATCTAGACAGAAGCATTCTCAGAAACTTCTTTGTAATGTTTGCATTCAACTCATAGAGTTGAACATTCCCTTTCATACAGCAGGTTTGAAACACTCTTTTTGTAGTATGTGGACGTGGACATTTGGAGCGCTTTGAGGCCTACGGTGAAAAAGGAAATATCTTCCCATAAAAACTAGACAGAAGCATTCTCAGAAACTTGTTTGTGACGTGTGTATTCAACTAACAGAGTTGAACCTTTCTTTTTACAGAGCAGCTTTGAAACCCTGTTTCTGTGGAATCTGCAATTGGAAATTTCGATAGTTCTGAGGATTTCGTTGCAAACGGGATTACAAATAGAAAGTAGACAGCAGCATTCTCAGAAACTGCTTTGTGATGTTTGCATTCAAGTCACCTAGTTGAACATTCCCTTTCATAGAGCAGGTTTGAATCACTGTTTCTGTAGTATCTGGAAGTGGGTATTTCGAGGGCTTTCAGGCCTAAGGTGAGAAAGGAAATGTCTTCAAATAAGAACTAGACAGAAGCATTCTCAGAAACTTATTTGTGATGTGTGTCCTCAACTAACAGAGATGAACCTTTGTTTTGATACAGCAGTTTGGAAACACTCTTTTTGTAGAATCTACAAGAGGATATTTTGAGAGCATTGAAAATTTCGTTGGAAGCGGGAAAACCTTCATATAAAATCTAGACAGCAGCATTCTCAGAAACTTCTTTGTGATGTTTGCATTCAACTCATAGAGTTGAACATTCCCATTCATACAGCAGGTTTGAGACACTCTTTGTATAGCATGTGGAAATGGATATTTGGAGCGCTTTGAGGCCTATGGTGAAGAAGGAAATATCTTCCCAAAAAAACTAGACGAAAGCATTCTCGGAATCTTGTTTGCCATGTGTGTACTCAACTAACAGAGTTGAACCTATCTTTTGACAGAGCAGTTTTGAAACACTCTTTTTGTGGAATCTGCAAGTGGATATTTGGATAGCTTCGAGGATTTCGTTGGAAACGGGAATATCCTCATTTAAAATCTAGACGGAAGCATTCTCAGAACCTGCTTTGTGATGTTTGCATTCAACTCACAGAGCTGAACATTCCCGTTCATAGAGCAGGTTTGAAACACTCTTTCTGTACTATCTGGAAGTGGACATTTCGAGCGCTTTCAGGCCTATGGTGAAAAAGGAAACATCTTCAAATAAAAACTAGACAGAAGCATTCTCAGAAACTTATTTGTGATGTGTGTCCTCAACTCACAGAGTTCAACCTTTGTTTTGATACAGCAGTTTGGAAACACTCTTTTTGTAGAATCTACAAATGGATATTTGGAGACCTTTGAAAATTTCGTTGGACACGGGAATATCTTCATATAAAATCTAGACAAAAGCATTCTCAGAGTCTTCTTTGTGATGTTTGCATTCAACTCATAGAGTTGAACATTCCCTTTCATACAGCACGTTTGAAACACACTTTGTGGAGTATGTGGAAATGGACATTTCGAGCACTCTTAGGCCTAAGGTGAAAAGGGAAATATCTTCAAATAAAAACTAGTCAGCAGCGTTCTCAGAAACCTCTTTGTGATGTGTGTACTCAACTAACAGAGTTGAACCTTCCTTTTCACAGAGCAGTTTGGAAACACTCTTTTTGTGGCATTTGCAAGTGGATATTTGGATAGCTTTGAGGATTTCGTTGGAAACGGGAATATTTTCATATAAAATCTAGACAGAAGCATTCTCAGAATCTTCTTTGTGATGTATGCCCTCAATTCACAGAGTTGAACCTTTGTTTGGATACAGCATTTTGGAAACATTCCTTTTGTAGAATCTGCAAGTTGATATTTGGATAGCTTTGAGGATTTCGTTGGAAACGGGAATATCTACATATAAAATCTAGACAGAAGCATTCTCAGAAACCTCTTTGTAATGCTTGCATTCAACTCATAGGTTTCAACATTCCCTATCATAGAGCAGGTTTGAAACACTCTTTTTGTAGTATGTGGAAGTGGACATTTGGAGCGCTTTGAGGCCTACGGTGAAAAAGGAAATATCTTCCCATAAAAACTAGACAGAAGCATTCTCAGAAACTTGTTTGTGACGTGTGTATTCAACTAACAGAGTTGAACCTTTCTTTTTACAGAGCAGCTTTGAAACACGCTTTTTGTGGAATCTGCAATTGGAAATTTCGATAGTTCTGAGGATTTCGTTGGAAACGGGATTACAAATAGAAAGTAGACAGCAGCATTCTCAGAAACTGCTTTGTGATGTTTGCATTCAAGTCACCTAGTTGAACATTCCCTTTCATAGAGCAGGTTTGAATCACTGTTTCTGTCATATCTGGAAGTGGATATTTCGAGCGTTTTCAGGCCTAAGGTGAGAAAGGAAATGTCTTCAAATAAGAACTAGACAGAAGCATTCTCAGAAACTTATTTGTGATGTGTGTCCTCAACTAACAGAGTTGAACCTTTCTTTTGACACAGCAGTTTGGAAACACTCTTTTTGTAGAATCTACAAGTGGATATTTTCAGAGCATTGAAAATTTCGTTGGAAACGGGAAAATCTTCATATAAAATCTAGACAGAAGCATTCTCAGAAACTTCTTTGTAATGTTTGCATTCAACTCATAGAGTTGAACATTCCCTTTCATACAGCAGGTTTGAAACACTCTTTTTGTAGTATGTGGAAGTGGACATTTGGAGCGCTTTGAGGCCTACGGTGAAAAAGGAAATATCTTCCCATAAAAACTAGACAGAAGCATTCTCAGAAACTTGTTTGTGACGTGTGTATTCAACTAACAGAGTTGAACCTTTCTTTTTACAGAGCAGCTTTGAAACCCTGTTTCTGTGGAATCTGCAATTGGAAATTTCGATAGTTCTGAGGATTTCGTTGGAAACGGGATTACAAATAAAAAGTAGACAGCAGCATTCTCAGAAACTGCTTTGTGATGTTTGCATTCAAGTCACATAGTTGAACATTCCCTTTCATAGAGCAGGTTTGAATCACTGTTTCTGTAGTATCTGGAAGTGGGTATTTCGAGCGCTTTCAGGCCTAAGGTGAGAAAGGAAATGTCTTCAAATAAGAACTAGACAGAAGCATTCTCAGAAACTTATTTGTGATGTGTGTCCTCAACTAACAGAGATGAACCTTTGTTTTGATACAGCAGTTTGGAAACACTCTTTTTGTAGAATCTACAAGAGGATATTTTGACAGCATTGAAAATTTCGTTGGAAGCGGGAAAACCTTCATATAAAATCTAGACAGCAGCATTCTCAGAAACTTCTTTGTGATGTTTGCATTCAACTCATAGAGTTGAACATTCCCATTCATACAGCAGGTTTGAGACACTCTTTGTATAGCATGTGGAAATGGATATTTGGAGCGCTTTGAGGCCTATGGTGAAGAAGGAAATATCTTCCCAAAAAAACTAGACGAAAGCATTCTCGCAATCTTGTTTGCCATGTGTGTACTCAACTAACAGAGTTGAACCTATCTTTTGACAGAGCAGTTTTGAAACACTCTTTTTGTGGAATCTGCAAGTGGATATTTGGATAGCTTCGAGGATTTCGTTGGAAACGGGATTACAAATAGAAAGTAGACAGCAGCATTCTCAGAAACTGCTTTGTGATGTTTGCATTCAAGTCACCTAGTTGAACATTCCCTTTCATAGAGCAGGTTTGAATCACTGTTTCTGTCGTATCTGGAAGTGGATATTTCGAGCGTTTTCAGGCCTAAGGTGAGAAAGGAAATGTCTTCAAATAAGAACTAGACAGAAGCATTCTCAGAAACTTATTTGTGATGTGTGTCCTCAACTAACAGAGTTGAACCTTTCTTTTGACACAGCAGTTTGGAAACACTCTTTTTGTAGAATCTACAAGTGGATATTTTGAGAGCATTGAAAATTTCGTTGGAAACGGGAAAACCTTCATATAAAATCTAGACAGAAGCATTCTCAGAAACTTCTTTGTAATGTTTGCATTCAACTCATAGAGTTGAACATTCCCTTTCATACAGCAGGTTTGAAACACTCTTTTTGTAGTATGTGGGCGTGGACATTTGGAGCGCTTTGAGGCCTACGGTGAAAAAGGAAATATCTTCCCATAAAAACTAGACAGAAGCATTCTCAGAAACTTGTTTGTGACGTGTGTATTCAACTAACAGAGTTGAACCTTTCTTTTTACAGAGCAGCTTTGAAACCCTGTTTCTGTGGAATCTGCAATTGGAAATTTCGATAGTTCTGAGGATTTCGTTGCAAACGGGATTACAAATAGAAAGTAGACAGCAGCATTCTCAGAAACTGCTTTGTGATGTTTGCATTCAAGTCACATAGTTGAAAATTCCCTTTCATAGAGCAGGTTTGAATCACTGTTTCTGTAGTATCTGGAAGTGGGTATTTCGAGCGCTTTCAGGCCTAAGGTGAGAAAGGAAATGTCTTCAAATAAGAACTAGACAGAAGCATTCTCAGAAACTTATTTGTGATGTGTGTCCTCAACTAACAGAGATGAACCTTTGTTTTGATACAGCAGTTTGGAAACACTCTTTTTGTAGAATCTACAAGAGGATATTTTGAGAGCATTGAAAATTTCGTTGGAAGCGGGAAAACCTTCATATAAAATCTAGACAGCAGCATTCTCAGAAACTTCTTTGTGATGTTTGCATTCAACTCATAGAGTTGAACATTCCCATTCATACAGCAGGTTTGAGACACTCTTTGTATAGCATGTGGAAATGGATATTTGGAGCGCTTTGAGGCCTATGGTGAAGAAGGAAATATCTTCCCAAAAAAACTAGACGAAAGCATTCTCGGAATCTTGTTTGCCATGTGTGTACTCAACTAACAGAGTTGAACCTATCTTTTGACAGAGCAGTTTTGAAACACTCTTTTTGTGGAATCTGCAAGTGGATATTTGGATAGCTTCGAGGATTTCGTTGGAAACGGGAATATCCTCATTTAAAATCTAGACGAAGCATTCTCAGAACCTGCTTTGTGATGTTTGCATTCAACTCACAGAGCTGAACATTCCCGTTCATAGAGCAGGTTTGAAACACTCTTTCTGTACTATCTGGAAGTGGACATTTCGAGCGCTTTCAGGCCTATGGTGAAAAAGGAAACATCTTCAAATAAAAACTAGACAGAAGCATTCTCAGAAACTTATTTGTGATGTGTGTCCTCAACTCACAGAGTTCAACCTTTGTTTTGATACAGCAGTTTGGAAACACTCTTTTTGTAGAATCTACAAATGGATATTTGGAGACCTTTGAAAATTTCGTTGGACACGGGAATATCTTCATATAAAATCTAGACAAAAGCATTCTCAGAGTCTTCTTTGTGATGTTTGCATTCAACTCATAGAGTTGAACATTCCCTTTCATACAGCACGTTTGAAACACACTTTGTGGAGTATGTGGAAATGGACATTTCGAGCACTCTTAGGCCTAAGGTGAAAAGGGAAATATCTTCAAATAAAAACTAGTCAGCAGCATTCTCAGAAACCTCTTTGTGATGTGTGTACTCAACTAACAGAGTTGAACCTTCCTTTTCACAGAGCAGTTTGGAAACACTCTTTTTGTGGCATTTGCAAGTGGATATTTGGATAGCTTTGAGGATTTCGTTGGAAACGGGAATATTTTCATATAAAATCTAGACAGAAGCATTCTCAGAATCTTCTTTGTGATGTATGCCCTCAATTCACAGAGTTGAACCTTTGTTTGGATACAGCATTTTGGAAACATTCCTTTTGTAGAATCTGCAAGTTGATATTTGGATAGCTTTGAGGATTTCGTTGGAAACGGGAATATCTACATATAAAATCTAGACAGAAGCATTCTCAGAAACCTCTTTGTAATGCTTGCATTCAACTCATAGGTTTCAACATTCCCTATCATAGAGCAGGTTTGAAACACTCTTTTTGTAGTATGTGGAAGTGGACATTTGGAGCGCTTTGAGGCCTACGGTGAAAAAGGAAATATCTTCCCATAAAAACTAGACAGAAGCATTCTCAGAAACTTGTTTGTGACGTGTGTATTCAACTAACAGAGTTGAACCTTTCTTTTTACAGAGCAGCTTTGAAACACGCTTTTTGTGGAATCTGCAATTGGAAATTTCGATAGTTCTGAGGATTTCGTTGGAAACGGGATTACAAATAGAAAGTAGACAGCAGCATTCTCAGAAACTGCTTTGTGATGTTTGCATTCAAGTCACCTAGTTGAACATTCCCTTTCATAGAGCAGGTTTGAATCACTGTTTCTGTCGTATCTGGAAGTGGATATTTCGAGCGTTTTCAGGCCTAAGGTGAGAAAGGAAATGTCTTCAAATAAGAACTAGACAGAAGCATTCTCAGAAACTTATTTGTGATGTGTGTCCTCAACTAACAGAGTTGAACCTTTCTTTTGACACAGCAGTTTGGAAACACTCTTTTTGTAGAATCTACAAGTGGATATTTTGAGAGCATTGAAAATTTCGTTGGAAACGGGAAAACCTTCATATAAAATCTAGACAGAAGCATTCTCAGAAACTTCTTTGTAATGTTTGCATTCAACTCATAGAGTTGAACATTCCCTTTCATACAGCAGGTTTGAAACACTCTTTTTATAGTATGTGGAAGTGGACATTTGGAGCGCTTTGAGGCCTACGGTGAAAAAGGAAATATCTTCCCATAAAAACTAGACAGAAAGCATTCTCAGAAACTTGTTTGTGACGTGTGTATTCAACTAACAGAGTTGAACCTTTCTTTTTACAGAGCAGCTTTGAAACCCTGTTTCTGTGGAATCTGCAATTGGAAATTTCGATAGTTCTGAGGATTTCGTTGGAAACGGGATTACAAATAGAAAGTAGACAGCAGCATTCTCAGAAACTGCTTTGTGATGTTTGCATTCAAGTCACCTAGTTGAACATTCCCTTTCATAGAGCAGGTTTGAATCACTGTTTCTGTCGTATCTGGAAGTGGATATTTCGAGCGTTTTCAGGCCTAAGGTGAGAAAGGAAATGTCTTCAAATAAGAACTAGACAGAAGCATTCTCAGAAACTTATTTGTGATGTGTGTCCTCAACTAACAGAGTTGAACCTTTCTTTTGACACAGCAGTTTGGAAACACTCTTTTTGTAGAATCTACAAGTGGATATTTTGAGAGCATTGAAAATTTCGTTGGAAACGGGAAAACCTTCATATAAAATCTAGACAGAAGCATTCTCAGAAACTTCTTTGTAATGTTTGCATTCAACTCATAGAGTTGAACATTCCCTTTCATACAGCAGGTTTGAAACACTCTTTTTGTAGTATGTGGAAGTGGACATTTGGAGCGCTTTGAGGCCTACGGTGAAAAAGGAAATATCTTCCCATAAAAACTAGACAGAAGCATTCTCAGAAACTTGTTTGTGACGTGTGTATTCAACTAACAGAGTTGAACCTTTCTTTTTACAGAGCAGCTTTGAAACCCTGTTTCTGTGGAATCTGCAATTGGAAATTTCGATAGTTCTGAGGATTTCGTTGGAAACGGGATTACAAATAGAAAGTAGACAGCAGCATTCTCAGAAACTGCTTTGTGATGTTTGCATTCAAGTCACATAGTTGAACATTCCCTTTCATAGAGCAGGTTTGAATCACTGTTTCTGTAGTATCTGGAAGTGGGTATTTCGAGCGCTTTCAGGCCTAAGGTGAGAAAGGAAATGTCTTCAAATCAGAACTAGACAGAAGCATTCTCAGAAACTTATTTGTGATGTGTGTCCTCAACTAAGAGTGTTGTACATTTGTTTGGATACAGCATTTTGGAAACATTCTTTTGTAGAATCTGCAAGTTGATATTTGGATAGCTTTGAGGATTTCGTTGGAAACGGTAATATCTACATATAAAATCTAGACAGAAGCGTTCTCAGTAACTTCTTTGTGATGTTTGCATTCAACTCATAGGTTTCAACATTCCCTTTCATAGAGCAGGTTTGAAACACTCTTTTTGTGGTATGTGGAAGTGGACATTTGGAGCGCTTTGAGGCCTACGGTGAAAAAGGAAATATCTTCCCATAAAAACTAGACAGAAGCATTCTCAGAAACTTGTTTGTGACGTGTGTCCTCAACTAACAGAGTTGAACCTTTGTTTTGATACAGCAGTTTGGAAACACTCTTTTTGTAGAATCTACAAGTGGATATTTTGAGAGCATTGAAAATTTCGTTGAAGCGGGAAAACCTTCATATAAAATCTAGACAGAAGCATTCTCAGAAACTTCTTTGTAATGTTTGCATTCAACTCATAGAGTTGAACATTCCCTTTCATACAGCAGATTTGAAACACTCTTTTTGTAGTATGTGGAAGTGGACATTTGGAGCGCTTAGAGGCCTACGGTGAAAAAGGAAATATCTTTCCATGAAAACTAGACAGAAGCATTCTCAGAAACTTGTTTGTGACGTGTGTATTCAACTAACAGAGTTGAACCTTTCTTTTTACAGAGCAGCTTTGAAACCCTGTTTCTGTGGAATCTGCAATTGGAAATTTCGATAGTTCTGAGGATTTCGTTGGAAACGGGATTACAAATAGAAAGTAGACAGCAGCATTCTCAGAAACTGCTTTGTGATGTTTGCATTCAACTCATAGAGTTGAACATTCCCATTCATACAGCAGGTTTGAGACACTCTTTGTATAGCATGTGGAAATGGATATTTGGAGCGCTTTGAGGCCTATGGTGAAGAAGGAAATATCTTCCCATAAAAACTAGACGAAAGCATTCTCGGAATCTTGTTTGCCATGTGTGTACTCAACTAACAGAGTTGAACCTATCTTTTGACAGAGCAGTTTTGAAACACTCTTTTTGTGGAATCTGCAAGTGGATATTTGGATAGCTTCGAGGATTTCGTTGGAAACGGGAATATCCTCATTTAAAATCTAGACGGAAGCATTCTCAGAACCTGCTTTGTGATGTTTGCATTCAACTCACAGAGCTGAACATTCCCGTTCATAGAGCAGGTTTGAAACACTCTTTCTGTACTATCTGGAAGTGGACATTTCGAGCGCTTTCAGGCCTATGGTGAAAAAGGAAACATCTTCAAATAAAAACTAGACAGAAGCATTCTCAGAAACTTATTTGTGATGTGTGTCCTCAACTCACAGAGTTCAACCTTTGTTTTGATACAGCAGTTTGGAAACACTCTTTTTGTAGAATCTACAAATGGATATTTGGAGACCTTTGAAAATTTCGTTGGACACGGGAATATCTTCATATAAAATCTAGACAAAAGCATTCTCAGAATCTTCTTTGTGATGTTTGCATTCAACTCATAGAGTTGAACATTCCCTTTCATACAGCACGTTTGAAACACACTTTGTGGAGTATGTGGAAATGGACATTTCGAGCACTCTTAGGCCTAAGGTGAAAAGGGAAATATCTTCAAATAAAAACTAGTCAGCAGCATTCTCAGAAACCTCTTTGTGATGTGTGTACTCAACTAACAGAGTTGAACCTTCCTTTTCACAGAGCAGTTTGGAAACACTCTTTTTGTGGCATTTGCAAGTGGATATTTGGATAGCTTTGAGGATTTCGTTGGAAACGGGAATATTTTCATATAAAATCTAGACAGAAGCATTCTCAGAATCTTCTTTGTGATGTATGCCCTCAATTCACAGAGTTGAACCTTTGTTTGGATACAGCATTTTGGAAACATTCCTTTTGTAGAATCTGCAAGTTGATATTTGGATAGCTTTGAGGATTTCGTTGGAAACGGGAATATCTACATATAAAATCTAGACAGAAGCATTCTCAGAAACCTCTTTGTAATGCTTGCATTCAACTCATAGGTTTCAACATTCCCTATCATAGAGCAGGTTTGAAACACTCTTTTTGTAGTATGTGGAAGTGGACATTTGGAGCGCTTTGAGGCCTATGGTGAAAAAGGAAATATCTTCCCATAAAAACTAGACAGAAGCATTCTCAGAAACTTGTTTGTGACGTGTGTATTCAACTAACAGAGTTGAACCTTTCTTTTTACAGAGCAGCTTTGAAACCCTGTTTCTGTGGAATCTGCAATTGGAAATTTCGATAGTTCTGAGGATTTCGTTGGAAACGGGATTACAAATAGAAAGTAGACAGCAGCATTCTCAGAAACTGCTTTGTGATGTTTGCATTCAAGTCACCTAGTTGAACATTCCCTTTCATAGAGCAGGTGTGAATCACTGTTTCTGTCGTATCTGGAAGTGGATATTTCGAGCGTTTTCAGGCCTAAGGTGAGAAAGGAAATGTCTTCAAATAAGAACTAGACAGAAGCATTCTCAGAAACTTATTTGTGATGTGTGTCCTCAACTAACAGAGATGAACCTTTGTTTTGATACAGCAGTTTGGAAACACTCTTTTTGTAGAATCTACAAGAGGATATTTTGAGAGCATTGAAAATTTCGTTGGAAGCGGGAAAACCTTCATATAAAATCTAGACAGCAGCATTCTCAGAAACTTCTTTGTGATGTTTGCATTCAACTCATAGAGTTGAACATTCCCATTCATACAGCAGGTTTGAGACACTCTTTGTATAGCATGTGGAAATGGATATTTGGAGCGCTTTGAGGCCTATGGTGAAGAAGGAAATATCTTCCCAAAAAAACTAGACGAAAGCATTCTCGGAATCTTGTTTGCCATGTGTGTACTCAACTAACAGAGTTGAACCTATCTTTTGACAGAGCAGTTTTGAAACACTCTTTTTGTGGAATCTGCAAGTGGATATTTGGATAGCTTCGAGGATTTCGTTGGAAACGGGAATATCCTCATTTAAAATCTAGACGGAAGCATTCTCAGAACCTGCTTTGTGATGTTTGCATTCAACTCACAGAGCTGAACATTCCCGTTCATAGAGCAGGTTTGAAACACTCTTTCTGTACTATCTGGAAGTGGACATTTCGAGCGCTTTCAGGCCTATGGTGAAAAAGGAAACATCTTCAAATAAAAACTAGACAGAAGCATTCTCAGAAACTTATTTGTGATGTGTGTCCTCAACTCACAGAGTTCAACCTTTGTTTTGATACAGCAGTTTGGAAACACTCTTTTTGTAGAATCTACAAATGGATATTTGGAGACCTTTGAAAATTTCGTTGGACACGGGAATATCTTCATATAAAATCTAGACAAAAGCATTCTCAGAATCTTCTTTGTGATGTTTGCATTCAACTCATAGAGTTGAACGTTCCCTTTCATACAGCACGTTTGAAACACACTTTGTGGAGTATGTGGAAATGGACATTTCGAGCACTCTTAGGCCTAAGGTGAAAAGGGAAATATCTTCAAATAAAAACTAGTCAGCAGCATTCTCAGAAACCTCTTTGTGATGTGTGTACTCAACTAACAGAGTTGAACCTTCCTTTTCACAGAGCAGTTTGGAAACACTCTTTTTGTGGCATTTGCAAGTGGATATTTGGATAGCTTTGAGGATTTCGTTGGAAACGGGAATATTTTCATATAAAATCTAGACAGAAGCATTCTCAGAATCTTCTTTGTGATGTATGCCCTCAATTCACAGAGTTGAACCTTTGTTTGGATACAGCATTTTGGAAACATTCCTTTTGTAGAATCTGCAAGTTGATATTTGGATAGCTTTGAGGATTTCGTTGGAAACGGGAATATCTACATATAAAATCTAGACAGAAGCATTCTCAGAAACCTCTTTGTAATGCTTGCATTCAACTCATAGGTTTCAACATTCCCTATCATAGAGCAGGTTTGAAACACTCTTTTTGTAGTATGTGGAAGTGGACATTTGGAGCGCTTTGAGGCCTACGGTGAAAAAGGAAATATCTTCCCATAAAAACTAGACAGAAGCATTCTCAGAAACTTGTTTGTGACGTGTGTATTCACCTAACAGAGTTGAACCTTTCTTTTTACAGAGCAGCTTTGAAACACGCTTTTTGTGGAATCTGCAATTGGAAATTTCGATAGTTCTGAGGATTTTGTTGGAAACGGGATTACAAATAGAAAGTAGACAGCAGCATTCTCAGAAACTGCTTTGTGATGTTTGCATTCAAGTCACATAGTTGAACATTCCCTTTCATAGAGCAGGTTTGAATCACTGTTTCTGTAGTATCTGGAAGTGGGTATTTCGAGCGCTTTCAGGCCTAAGGTGAGAAAGGAAATGTCTTCAAATAAGAACTAGACAGAAGCATTCTCAGAAACTTATTTGTGATGTGTGTCCTCAACTAACAGAGATGAACCTTTGTTTTGATACAGCAGTTTGGAAACACTCTTTTTGTAGAATCTACAAGAGGATATTTTGAGAGCATTGAAAATTTCGTTGGAAGCGGGAAAACCTTCATATAAAATCTAGACAGCAGCATTCTCAGAAACTTCTTTGTGATGTTTGCATTCAACTCATAGAGTTGAACATTCCCATTCATACAGCAGGTTTGAGACACTCTTTGTATAGCATGTGGAAATGGATATTTGGAGCGCTTTGAGGCCTATGGTGAAGAAGGAAATATCTTCCCAAAAAAACTAGACGAAAGCATTCTCGGAATCTTGTTTGCCATGTGTGTACTCAACTAACAGAGTTGAACCGATCTTTTGACAGAGCAGTTTTGAAACACTCTTTTTGTGGAATCTGCAAGTGGATATTTGGATAGCTTCGAGGATTTCGTTGGAAACGGGAATATCCTCATTTAAAACCTAGACGGAAGCATTCTCAGAACCTGCTTTGTGATGTTTGCATTCAACTCACAGAGCTGAACATTCCCGTTCATAGAGCAGGTTTGAAACACTCTTTCTGTACTATCTGGAAGTGGACATTTCGAGCGCTTTCAGGCCTATGGTGAAAAAGGAAACATCTTCAAATAAAAACTAGACAGAAGCATTCTCAGAAACTTATTTGTGATGTGTGTCCTCAACTCACAGAGTTCAACCTTTGTTTTGATACAGCAGTTTGGAAACACTCTTTTTGTAGAATCTACAAATGGATATTTGGAGACCTTTGAAAATTTCGTTGGACACGGGAATATCTTCATATAAAATCTAGACAAAAGCATTCTCAGAATCTTCTTTGTGATGTTTGCATTCAACTCATAGAGTTGAACATTCCCTTTCATACAGCACGTTTGAAACACACTTTGTGGAGTATGTGGAAATGGACATTTCGAGCACTCTTAGGCCTAAGGTGAAAAGGGAAATATCTTCAAATAAAAACTAGTCAGCAGCATTCTCAGAAACCTCTTTGTGATGTGTGTACTCAACTAACAGAGTTGAACCTTCCTTTTCACAGAGCAGTTTGGAAACACTCTTTTTGTGGCATTTGCAAGTGGATATTTGGATAGCTTTGAGGATTTCGTTGGAAACGGGAATATTTTCATATAAAATCTAGACAGAAGCATTCTCAGAATCTTCTTTGTGATGTATGCCCTCAATTCACAGAGTTGAACCTTTGTTTGGATACAGCATTTTGGAAACATTCCTTTTGCAGAATCTGCAAGTTGATATTTGGATAGCTTTGAGGATTTCGTTGGAAACGGGAATATCTACATATAAAATCTAGACAGAAGCATTCTCAGAAACCTCTTTGTAATGCTTGCATTCAACTCATAGGTTTCAACATTCCCTATCATAGAGCAGGTTTGAAACACTCTTTTTGTAGTATGTGGAAGTGGACATTTGGAGCGCTTTGAGGCCTACGGTGAAAAAGGAAATATCTTCCCATAAAAACTAGACAGAAGCATTCTCAGAAACTTGTTTGTGACGTGTCTATTCAACTAACAGAGTTGAACCTTTCTTTTTACAGAGCAGCTTTGAAACACGCTTTTTGTGGAATCTGCAATTGGAAATTTCGATAGTTCTGAGGATTTCGTTGGAAACGGGATTACAAATAGAAAGTAGACAGCAGCATTCTCAGAAACTTATTTGTGATGTGTGTCTTCAACTAACAGAGTTGAACCTTTCTTTTGACACAGCAGTTTGGAAACACTCTTTTTGTAGAATCTACAAGTGGATATTTTGAGAGCATTGAAAATTTCGTTGGAAACGGGAAAACCTTCATATAAAATCTAGACAGAAGCATTCTCAGAAACTTCTTTGTAATGTTTGCATTCAACTCATAGAGTTGAACATTCCCTTTCATACAGCAGGTTTGAAACACTCTTTT
Organism: Homo sapiens; assembly: GCF_000001405.40. Classification (NCBI taxonomy): domain Eukaryota; kingdom Metazoa; phylum Chordata; class Mammalia; order Primates; family Hominidae; genus Homo; species Homo sapiens. The sequence continues at coordinate 18,822,234 of NC_000015.10, forward strand.
TGTAGTATGTGGAAGTGGACATTTGGAGCGCTTTGAGGCCTACGGTGAAAAAGGAAATATCTTCCCATAAAAACTAGACAGAAGCATTCTCAGAAACTTGTTTGTGACGTGTGTATTCAACTAACAGAGTTGAACCTTTCTTTTTACAGAGCAGCTTTGAAACCCTGTTTCTGTGGAATCTGCAATTGGAAATTTCGATAGTTCTGAGGATTTCGTTGGAAACGGGATTACAAATAGAAAGTAGACAGCAGCATTCTCAGAAACTGCTTTGTGATGTTTGCATTCAAGTCACCTAGTTGAACATTCCCTTTCATAGAGCAGGTTTGAATCACTGTTTCTGTAGTATCTGGAAGTGGGTATTTCGAGCGCTTTCAGGCCTAAGGTGAGAAAGGAAATGTCTTCAAATAAGAACTAGACAGAAGCATTCTCAGAAACTTATTTGTGATGTGTGTCCTCAACTAACAGAGATGAACCTTTGTTTTCATACAGCAGTTTGGAAACACTCTTTTTGTAGAATCTACAAGAGGATATTTTGAGAGCATTGAAAATTTCGTTGGAAGCGGGAAAACCTTCATATAAAATCTAGACAGCAGCATTCTCAGAAACTTCTTTGTGATGTTTGCATTCAACTCATAGAGTTGAACATTCCCATTCATACAGCAGGTTTGAGACACTCTTTGTATAGCATGTGGAAATGGATATTTGGAGCGCTTTGAGGCCTATGGTGAAGAAGGAAATATCTTCCCAAAAAAACTAGACGAAAAGCATTCTCGGAATCTTGTTTGCCATGTGTGTACTCAACTAACAGAGTTGAACCTATCTTTTGAGAGAGCAGTTTTGAAACACTCTTTCTGTGGAATCTGCAAGTGGATATTTGGATAGCTTCGAGGATTTCGTTGGAAACGGGAATATCCTCATTTAAAATCTAGACGGAAGCATTCTCAGAACCTGCTTTGTGATGTTTGCATTCAACTCACAGAGCTGAACATTCCCGTTCATGGAGCAGGTTTGAAACACTCTTTCTGTACTATCTGGAAGTGGACATTTCGAGCGCTTTCAGGCCTATGGTGAAAAAGGAAACATCTTCAAATAAAAACTAGACAGAAGCATTCTCAGAAACTTATTTGTGATGTGTGTCCTCAACTCACAGAGTTCAACCTTTGTTTTGATACAGCAGTTTGGAAACACTCTTTTTGTAGAATCTACAAATGGATATTTGGAGACCTTTGAAAATTTCGTTGGACACGGGAATATCTTCATATAAAATCTAGACAAAAGCATTCTCAGAATCTTCTTTGTGATGTTTGCATTCAACTCATAGAGTTGAACATTCCCTTTCATACAGCACGTTTGAAACACACTTTGTGGAGTATGTGGAAATGGACATTTCGAGCACTCTTAGGCCTAAGGTGAAAAGGGAAATATCTTCAAATAAAAACTAGTCAGCAGCATTCTCAGAAACCTCTTTGTGATGTGTGTACTCAACTAACAGAGTTGAACCTTCCTTTTCACAGAGCAGTTTGGAAACACTCTTTTTGTGGCATTTGCAAGTGGATATTTGGATAGCTTTGAGGATTTCGTTGGAAACGGGAATATTTTCATATAAAATCTAGACAGAAGCATTCTCAGAATCTTCTTTGTGATGTATGCCCTCAATTCACAGAGTTGAACCTTTGTTTGGATACAGCATTTTGGAAACATTCCTTTTGTAGAATCTGCAAGTTGATATTTGGATAGTTTGACGATTTCGTTGGAAACGGGAATATCTACATATAAAATCTAGACAGAAGCATTCTCAGAAACCTCTTTGTAATGCTTGCATTCAACTCATAGGTTTCAACATTCCCTATCATAGAGCAGGTTTGAAACACTCTTTTTGTAGTATGTGGAAGTGGACATTTGGAGCGCTTTGAGGCCTACGGTGAAAAAGGAAATATCTTCCCATAAAAACTAGACAGAAGCATTCTCAGAAACTTGTTTGTGACGTGTGTATTCAACTAACAGAGTTGAACCTTTCTTTTTACAGAGCAGCTTTGAAACACGCTTTTTGTGGAATCTGCAATTGGAAATTTCGATAGTTCTGAGGATTTCGTTGGAAACGGGATTACAAATAGAAAGTAGACAGCAGCATTCTCAGAAACTGCTTTGTGATGTTTGCATTCAAGTCACCTAGTTGAACATTCCCTTTCATAGAGCAGGTTTGAATCACTGTTTCTGTCGTATCTGGAAGTGGATATTTCGAGCGTTTTCAGGCCTAAGGTGAGAAAGGAAATGTCTTCAAATAAGAACTAGACACAAGCATTCTCAGAAACTTATTTGTGATGTGTGTCCTCAACTAACAGAATTGAACCTTTCTTTTGACACAGCAGTTTGGAAACACTCTTTTTGTAGAATCTACAAGTGGATATTTTGAGAGCATTGAAAATTTCGTTGGAAACGGGAAAACCTTCATATAAAATCTAGACAGAAGCATTCTCAGAAACTTCTTTGTAATGTTTGCATTCAACTCATAGAGTTGAACATTCCCTTTCATACAGCAGGTTTGAAACACTCTTTTTGTTGTATGTGGAAGTGGACATTTGGAGCGCTTTGAGGCCTACGGTGAAAAAGGAAATATCTTTCCATAAAAACTAGACAGAAGCATTCTCAGAAACTTGTTTGTGACGTGTGTATTCAACTAACAGAGTTGAACCTTTCTTTTTACAGAGCAGCTTTGAAACCCTGTTTCTGTGGAATCTGCAATTGGAAATTTCGATAGTTCTGAGGATTTCGTTGGAAACGGGATTACAAATAGAAAGTAGACAGCAGCATTCTCAGAAACTGCTTTGTGATGTTTGCATTCAAGTCACCTAGTTGAACATTCCCTTTCATAGAGCAGGTTTGAATCACTGTTTCTGTCGTATCTGGAAGTGGGTATTTCGAGCGCTTTCAGGCCTAAGGTGAGAAAGGAAATGTCTTCAAATAAGAACTAGACAGAAGCATTCTCAGAAACTTATTTGTGATGTGTGTCCTCAACTAACAGAGATGAACCTTTGTTTTGATACAGCAGTTTGGAAACACTCTTTTTGTAGAATCTACAAGAGGATATTTTGAGAGCATTGAAAATTTCGTTGGAAGCGGGAAAACCTTCATATAAAATCTAGACAGCAGCATTCTCAGAAACTTCTTTGTGATGTTTGCATTCAACTCATAGAGTTGAACATTCCCATTCATACAGCAGGTTTGAGACACTCTTTGTATAGCATGTGGAAATGGATATTTGGAGCGCTTTGAGGCCTATGGTGAAGAAGGAAATATCTTCCCAAAAAAACTAGACGAAAGCATTCTCGCAATCTTGTTTGCCATGTGTGTACTCAACTAACAGAGTTGAACCTATCTTTTGACAGAGCAGTTTTGAAACACTCTTTTTGTGGAATCTGCAAGTGGATATTTGGATAGCTTCGAGGATTTCGTTGGAAACGGGAATATCCTCATTTAAAATCTAGACGGAAGCATTCTCGGAACCTGCTTTGTGATGTTTGCATTCAACTCTCAGAGCTGAACATTCCCGTTCATAGAGCAGGTTTGAAACACTCTTTCTGTACTATCTGGAAGTGGACATTTCGAGCGCTTTCAGGCCTATGGTGAAAAAGGAAACATCTTCAAATAAAAACTAGACAGAAGCATTCTCAGAAACTTATTTGTGATGTGTGTCCTCAACTCACAGAGTTCAACCTTTGTTTTGATACAGCAGTTTGGAAACACTCTTTTTGTAGAATCTACAAATGGATATTTGGAGACCTTTGAAAATTTCGTTGGACACGGGAATATCTTCATATAAAATCTAGACAAAAGCATTCTCAGAATCTTCTTTGTGATGTTTGCATTCAACTCATAGAGTTGAACATTCCCTTTCATACAGCACGTTTGAAACACACTTTGTGGAGTATGTGGAAATGGACATTTCGAGCACTCTTAGGCCTAAGGTGAAAAGGGAAATATCTTCAAATAAAAACTAGTCAGCAGCATTCTCAGAAACCTCTTTGTGATGTGTGTCCTCAACTAACAGAGTTGAACCTTCCTTTTCACAGAGCAGTTTGGAAACACTCTTTTTGTGGCATTTGCAAGTGGATATTTGGATAGCTTTGAGGATTTCGTTGGAAACGGGAATATTTTCATATAAAATCTAGACAGAAGCATTCTCAGAATCTTCTTTGTGATGTATTCCCTCAATTCACAGAGTTGAACCTTTGTTTGGATACAGCATTTTGGAAACATTCCTTTTGTAGAATCTGCAAGTTGATATTTGGATAGCTTTGAGGATTTCGTTGGAAACGGGAATATCTACATATAAAATCTAGACAGAAGCATTCTCAGAAACTTCTTTGTAATGCTTGCATTCAACTCATAGGTTTCAACATTCCCTATCATAGAGCAGGTTTGAAACACTCTTTTTGTAGTATGTGGAAGTGGACATTTGGAGCGCTTTGAGGCCTACGGTGAAAAAGGAAATATCTTCCCATAAAAACTAGACAGAAGCATTCTCAGAAACTTGTTTGTGACGTGTGTATTCAACTAACAGAGTTGAACCTTTCTTTTTACAGAGCAGCTTTGAAACACGCTTTTTGTGGAATCTGCAATTGGAAATTTCGATAGTTCTGAGGATTTCGTTGGAAACGGGATTACAAATAGAAAGTAGACAGCAGCATTCTCAGAAACTGCTTTGTGATGTTTGCATTCAAGTCACCTAGTTGAACATTCCCTTTCATAGAGCAGGTTTGAATCACTGTTTCTGTCGTATCTGGAAGTGGATATTTCGAGCGTTTTCAGGCCTAAGGTGAGAAAGGAAATGTCTTCAAATAAGAACTAGACAGAAGCATTCTCAGAAACTTATTTGTGATGTGTGTCCTCAACTAACAGAGTTGAACCTTTCTTTTGACACAGCAGTTTGGAAACACTCTTTTTGTAGAATCTACAAGTGGATATTTTGAGAGCATTGAAAATTTCGTTGGAAACGGGAAAACCTTCATATAAAATCTAGACAGAAGCATTCTCAGAAACTTCTTTGTAATGTTTGCATTCAACTCATAGAGTTGAACATTCCCTTTCATACAGCAGGTTTGAAACACTCTTTTTGTAGTATGTGGAAGTGGACATTTGGAGCGCTTTGAGGCCTACGGTGAAAAAGGAAATATCTTCCCATAAAAACTAGACAGAAGCATTCTCAGAAACTTGTTTGTGACGTGTGTATTCAACAAACAGAGTTGAACCTTTCTTTTTACAGAGCAGCTTTGAAACCCTGTTTCTGTGGAATCTGCAATTGGAAATTTCGATAGTTCTGAGGATTTCGTTGGAAACGGGATTACAAATAGAAAGTAGACAGCAGCATTCTCAGAAACTGCTTTGTGATGTTTGCATTCAAGTCACCTAGTTGAACATTCCCTTTCATAGAGCAGGTTTGAATCACTGTTTCTGTAGTATCTGGAAGTGGGTATTTCGAGCGCTTTCAGGCCTAAGGTGAGAAAGGAAATGTCTTCAAATAAGAACTAGACAGAAGCATTCTCAGAAACTTATTTGTGATGTGTGTCCTCAACTAACAGAGATGAACCTTTGTTTTGATACAGCAGTTTGGAAACACTCTTTTTGTAGAATCTACAAGAGGATATTTTGAGAGCATTGAAAATTTCGTTGGAAGCGGGAAAACCTTCATATAAAATCTAGACAGCAGCATTCTCAGAAACTTCTTTGTGATGTTTGCATTCAACTCATAGAGTTGAACATTCCCATTCATACAGCAGGTTTGAGACACTCTTTGTATAGCATGTGGAAATGGATATTTGGAGCGCTTTGAGGCCTATGGTGAAGAAGGAAATATCTTCCCAAAAAAACTAGACGAAAGCATTCTCGGAATCTTGTTTGCCATGTGTGTACTCAACTAACAGAGTTGAACCTATCTTTTGACAGAGCAGTTTTGAAACACTCTTTTTGTGGAATCTGCAAGTGGATATTTGGATAGCTTCGAGGATTTCGTTGGAAACGGGAATATCCTCATTTAAAATCTAGACGGAAGCATTCTCAGAACCTGCTTTGTGATGTTTGCATTCAACTCACAGAGCTGAACATTCCCGTTCATAGAGCAGGTTTGAAACACTCTTTCTGTACTATCTGGAAGTGGACATTTCGAGCGCTTTCAGGCCTATGGTGAAAAAGGAAACATCTTCAAATAAAAACTAGACAGAAGCATTCTCAGAAACTTATTTGTGATGTGTGTCCTCAACTCACAGAGTTCAACCTTTGTTTTGATACAGCAGTTTGGAAACACTCTTTTTGTAGAATCTACAAATGGATATTTGGAGACCTTTGAAAATTTCGTTGGACACGGGAATATCTTCATATAAAATCTAGACAAAAGCATTCTCAGAATCTTCTTTGTGATGTTTGCATTCAACTCATAGAGTTGAACATTCCCTTTCATACAGCACGTTTGAAACACACTTTGTGGAGTATGTGGAAATGGACATTTCGAGCACTCTTAGGCCTAAGGTGAAAAGGGAAATATCTTCAAATAAAAACTAGTCAGCAGCATTCTCAGAAACCTCTTTGTGATGTGTGTACTCAACTAACAGAGTTGAACCTTCCTTTTCACAGAGCAGTTTGGAAACACTCTTTTTGTGGCATTTGCAAGTGGATATTTGGATAGCTTTGAGGATTTCGTTGGAAACGGGACTATTTTCATATAAAATCTAGACAGAAGCATTCTCAGAATCTTCTTTGTGATGTATTCCCTCAATTCACAGAGTTGAACCTTTGTTTGGATACAGCATTTTGGAAACATTCCTTTTGTAGAATCTGCAAGTTGATATTTGGATAGCTTTGAGGATTTCGTTGGAAACGGGAATATCTACATATAAAATCTAGACAGAAGCATTCTCAGAAACCTCTTTGTAATGCTTGCATTCAACTCATAGGTTTCAACATTCCCTATCATAGAGCAGGTTTGAAACACTCTTTTTGTAGTATGTGGAAGTGGACATTTGGAGCGCTTTGAGGCCTACGGTGAAAAAGGAAATATCTTCCCATAAAAACTAGACAGAAGCATTCTCAGAAACTTGTTTGTGACGTGTGTATTCAACTAACAGAGTTGAACCTTTCTTTTTACAGAGCAGCTTTGAAACACGCTTTTTGTGGAATCTGCAATTGGAAATTTCGATAGTTCTGAGGATTTCGTTGGAAACGGGATTACAAATAGAAAGTAGACAGCAGCATTCTCAGAAACTGCTTTGTGATGTTTGCATTCAAGTCACCTAGTTGAACATTCCCTTTCATAGAGCAGGTTTGAATCACTGTTTCTGTCGTATCTGGAAGTGGATATTTCGAGCGTTTTCAGGCCTAAGGTGAGAAAGGAAATGTCTTCAAATAAGAACTAGACAGAAGCATTCTCAGAAACTTATTTGTGATGTGTGTCCTCAACTAACAGAGTTGAACCTTTCTTTTGACACAGCAGTTTGGAAACACTCTTTTTGTAGAATCTACAAGTGGATATTTTGAGAGCATTGAAAATTTCGTTGGAAACGGGAAAACCTTCATATAAAATCTAGACAGAAGCATTCTCAGAAACTTCTTTGTAATGTTTGCATTCAACTCATAGAGTTGAACATTCCCTTTCATACAGCAGGTTTGAAACACTCTTTTTGTAGTATGTGGACGTGGACATTTGGAGCGCTTTGAGGCCTACGGTGAAAAAGGAAATATCTTCCCATAAAAACTAGACAGAAGCATTCTCAGAAACTTGTTTGTGACGTGTGTATTCAACTAACAGAGTTGAACCTTTCTTTTTACAGAGCAGCTTTGAAACCCTGTTTCTGTGGAATCTGCAATTGGAAATTTCGATAGTTCTGAGGATTTCGTTGGAAACGGGATTACAAATAGAAAGTAGACAGCAGCATTCTCAGAAACTGCTTTGTGATGTTTGCATTCAAGTCACCTAGTTGAACATTCCCTTTCATAGAGCAGGTTTGAATCACTGTTTCTGTCGTATCTGGAAGTGGGTATTTCGAGCGCTTTCAGGCCTAAGGTGAGAAAGGAAATGTCTTCAAATAAGAACTAGACAGAAGCATTCTCAGAAACTTATTTGTGATGTGTGTCCTCAACTAACAGAGATGAACCTTTGTTTTGATACAGCAGTTTGGAAACACTCTTTTTGTAGAATCTACAAGAGGATATTTTGAGAGCATTGAAAATTTCGTTGGAAGCGGGAAAACCTTCATATAAAATCTAGACAGCAGCATTCTCAGAAACTTCTTTGTGATGTTTGCATTCAACTCATAGAGTTGAACATTCCCATTCATACAGCAGGTTTGAGACACTCTTTGTATAGCATGTGGAAATGGATATTTGGAGCGCTTTGAGGCCTATGGTGAAGAAGGAAATATCTTCCCAAAAAAACTAGACGAAAGCATTCTCGCAATCTTGTTTGCCATGTGTGTACTCAACTAACAGAGTTGAACCTATCTTTTGACAGAGCAGTTTTGAAACACTCTTTTTGTGGAATCTGCAAGTGGATATTTGGATAGCTTCGAGGATTTCGTTGGAAACGGGAATATCCTCATTTAAAATCTAGACGGAAGCATTCTCAGAACCTGCTTTGTGATGTTTGCATTCAACTCACAGAGCTGAACATTCCCGTTCATAGAGCAGGTTTGAAACACTCTTTCTGTACTATCTGGAAGTGGACATTTCGAGCGCTTTCAGGCCTATGGTGAAAAAGGAAACATCTTCAAATAAAAACTAGACAGAAGCATTCTCAGAAACTTATTTGTGATGTGTGTCCTCAACTCACAGAGTTCAACCTTTGTTTTGATACAGCAGTTTGGAAACACTCTTTTTGTAGAATCTACAAATGGATATTTGGAGACCTTTGAAAATTTCGTTGGACACGGGAATATCTTCATATAAAATCTAGACAAAAGCATTCTCAGAATCTTCTTTGTGATGTTTGCATTCAACTCATAGAGTTGAACATTCCCTTTCATACAGCACGTTTGAAACACACTTTGTGGAGTATGTGGAAATGGACATTTCGAGCACTCTTAGGCCTAAGGTGAAAAGGGAAATATCTTCAAATAAAAACTAGTCAGCAGCATTCTCAGAAACCTCTTTGTGATGTGTGTACTCAACTAACAGAGTTGAACCTTCCTTTTCACGGAGCAGTTTGGAAACACTCTTTTTGTGGCATTTGCAAGTGGATATTTGGATAGCTTTGAGGATTTCGTAGGAAACGGGAATATTTTCATATAAAATTTAGACAGAAGCATTCTCAGAATCTTCTTTGTGATGTATGCCCTCAATTCACAGAGTTGAACCTTTGTTTGGATACAGCATTTTGGAAACATTCCTTTTGTAGAATCTGCAAGTTGATATTTGGATAGTTTGAGGATTTCGTTGGAAACGGGAATATCTACATATAAAATCTAGACAGAAGCATTCTCAGAAACCTCTTTGTAATGCTTGCATTCAACTCATAGGTTTCAACATTCCCTATCATAGAGCAGGTTTGAAACACTCTTTTTGTAGTATGTGGAAGTGGACATTTGGAGCGCTTTGAGGCCTACGGTGAAAAAGGAAATATCTTCCCATAAAAACTAGACAGAAGCATTCTCAGAAACTTGTTTGTGACGTGTGTATTCAACTAACAGAGTTGAACCTTTCTTTTTACAGAGCAGCTTTGAAACCCTGTTTCTGTGGAATCTGCAATTGGAAATTTCGATAGTTCTGAGGATTTCGTTGGAAACGGGATTACAAATAGAAAGTAGACAGCAGCATTCTCAGAAACTGCTTTGTGATGTTTGCATTCAAGTCACATAGTTGAACATTCCCTTTCATAGAGCAGGTTTGAATCACTGTTTCTGTCGTATCTGGAAGTGGGTATTTCGAGCGCTTTCAGGCCTAAGGTGAGAAAGGAAATGTCTTCAAATAAGTACTTGACAGAAGCATTCTCAGAAACTTATTTGTGATGTGTGTCCTCAACTAACAGAGTATGAACCTTTGTTTTGATACAGCAGTTTGGAAACACTCTTTTTGTAGAATCTACAAGAGGATATTTTGAGAGCATTGAAAATTTCGTTGGAAGCGGGAAAACCTTCATATAAAATCTAGACAGCAGCATTCTCAGAAACTTCTTTGTGATGTTTGCATTCAACTCATAGAGTTGAACATTCCCATTCATACAGCAGGTTTGAGACACTCTTTGTATAGCATGTGGAAATGGATATTTGGAGCGCTTTGAGGCCTATGGTGAAGAAGGAAATATCTTCCCAAAAAAACTAGACGAAAGCATTCTCGGAATCTTGTTTGCCATGTGTGTACTCAACTAACAGAGTTGAACCTATCTTTTGACAGAGCAGTTTTGAAACACTCTTTTTGTGGAATCTGCAAGTGGATATTTGGATAGCTTCGAGGATTTCGTTGGAAACGGGAATATCCTCATTTAAAATCTAGACGGAAGCATTCTCAGAACCTGCTTTGTGATGTTTGCATTCAACTCACAGAGCTGAACATTCCCGTTCATAGAGCAGGTTTGAAACACTCTTTCTGTACTATCTGGAAGTGGACATTTCGAGCGCTTTCAGGCCTATGGTGAAAAAGGAAACATCTTCAAATAAAAACTAGACAGAAGCATTCTCAGAAACTTATTTGTGATGTGTGTCCTCAACTCACAGAGTTCAACCTTTGTTTTGATACAGCAGTTTGGAAACACTCTTTTTGTAGAATCTACAAATGGATATTTGGAGACCTTTGAAAATTTCGTTGGACACGGGAATATCTTCATATAAAATCTAGACAAAAGCATTCTCAGAATCTTCTTTGTGATGTTTGCATTCAACTCATAGCAGTTGAACATTCCCTTTCATACAGCACGTTTGAAACACACTTTGTGGAGTATGTGGAAATGGACATTTCGAGCACTCTTAGGCCTAAGGTGAAAAGGGAAATATCTTCAAATAAAAACTAGTCAGCAGCATTCTCAGAAACCTCTTTGTGATGTGTGTACTCAACTAACAGAGTTGAACCTTCCTTTTCACAGAGCAGTTTGGAAACACTCTTTTTGTGGCATTTGCAAGTGGATATTTGGATAGCTTTGAGGATTTCGTTGGAAACGGGAATATTTTCATATAAAATCTAGACAGAAGCATTCTCAGAATCTTCTTTGTGATGTATGCCCTCAATTCACAGAGTTGAACCTTTGTTTGGATACAGCATTTTGGAAACATTCCTTTTGTAGAATCTGCAAGTTGATATTTGGATAGCTTTGAGGATTTCGTTGGAAACGGGAATATCTACATATAAAATCTAGACAGAAGCATTCTCAGAAACCTCTTTGTAATGCTTGCATTCAACACATAGGTTTCAACATTCCCTATCATAGAGCAGGTTTGAAACACTCTTTTTGTAGTATGTGGAAGTGGACATTTGGAGCGCTTTGAGGCCTACCGTGAAAAAGGTAATATCTTCCAATAAAAACTAGACAGAAGCATTCTCAGAAACTTGTTTGTGACGTGTGTATTCAACTAACAGAGTTGAACCTTTCTTTTTACAGAGCAGCTTTGAAACACGCTTTTTGTGGAATCTGCAATTGGAAATTTCGATAGTTCTGAGGATTTCGTTGGAAACGGGATTACAAATAGAAAGTAGACAGCAGCATTCTCAGAAACTGCTTTGTGATGTTTGCATTCAAGTCACCTAGTTGAACATTCCCTTTCATAGAGCAGGTTTGAATCACTGTTTCTGTCGTATCTGGAAGTGGATATTTCGAGCGTTTTCAGGCCTAAGGTGAGAAAGGAAATGTCTTCAAATAAGAACTAGACAGAAGCATTCTCAGAAACTTATTTGTGATGTGTGTCCTCAACTAACAGAGTTGAACCTTTCTTTTGACACAGCAGTTTGGAAACACTCTTTTTGTAGAATCTACAAGTGGATATTTTGAGAGCATTGAAAATTTCGTTGGAAACGGGAAAACCTTCATATAAAATCTAGACAGAAGCATTCTCAGAAACTTCTTTGTAATGTTTGCATTCAACTCATAGAGTTGAACATTCCCTTTCATACAGCAGGTTTGAAACACTCTTTTTGTAGTATGTGGAAGTGGACATTTGGAGCGCTTTGAGGCCTACGGTGAAAAAGGAAATATCTTCCCATAAAAACTAGACAGAAGCATTCTCAGAAACTTGTTTGTGACGTGTGTATTCAACTAACAGAGTTGAACCTTTCTTTTTACAGAGCAGCTTTGAAACACGCTTTTTGTGGAATCTGCAATTGGAAATTTCGATAGTTCTGAGGATTTCGTTGGAAACGGGATTACAAATAGAAAGTAGACAGCAGCATTCTCAGAAACTGCTTTGTGATGTTTGCATTCAAGTCACCTAGTTGAACATTCCCTTTCATAGAGCAGGTTTGAATCACAGTTTCTGTCGTATCTGGAAGTGGATATTTCGAGCGTTTTCAGGCCTAAGGTGAGAAAGGAAATGTCTTCAAATAAGAACTAGACAGAAGCATTCTCAGAAACTTATTTGTGATGTGTGTCCTCAACTAACAGAGTTGAACCTTTCTTTTGACACAGCAGTTTGGAAACACTCTTTTTGTAGAATCTACAAGTGGATATTTTGAGAGCATTGAAAATTTCGTTGGAAACGGGAAAACCTTCATATAAAATCTAGACAGAAGCATTCTCAGAAACTTCTTTGTAATGTTTGCATTCAACTCATAGAGTTGAACATTCCCTTTCATACAGCAGGTTTGAAACACTCTTTTTGTAGTATGTGGAAGTGGACATTTGGAGCGCTTTGAGGCCTACGGTGAAAAAGGAAATATCTTCCCATAAAAACTAGACAGAAGCATTCTCAGAAACTTGTTTGTGACGTGTGTATTCAACTAACAGAGTTGAACCTTTCTTTTTACAGAGCAGCTTTGAAACACGCTTTTTGTGGAATCTGCAATTGGAAATTTCGATAGTTCTGAGGATTTCGGTGGAAACGGGATTACAAATAGAAAGTAGACAGCAGCATTCTCAGAAACTGCTTTCTGATGTTTGCATTCAAGTCACCTAGTTGAACATTCCCTTTCATAGAGCAGGTTTGAATCACTGTTTCTGTCGTATCTGGAAGTGGATATTTCGAGCGTTTTCAGGCCTAAGGTGAGAAAGGAAATGTCTTCAAATAAGAACTAGACAGAAGCATTCTCAGAAACTTATTTGTGATGTGTGTCCTCAACTAACAGAGTTGAACCTTTCTTTTGACACAGCAGTTTGGAAACACTCTTTTTGTAGAATCTACAAGTGGATATTTTGAGAGCATTGAAAATTTCGTTGGAAACGGGAAAACCTTCATATAAAATCTAGACAGAAGCATTCTCAGAAACTTCTTTGTAATGTTTGCATTCAACTCATAGAGTTGAACATTCCCTTTCATACAGCAGGTTTGAAACACTCTTTTTGTAGTATGTGGAAGTGGACATTTGGAGCGCTTTGAGGCCTACGGTGAAAAAGGAAATATCTTCCCATAAAAACTAGACAGAAGCATTCTCAGAAACTTGTTTGTGACGTGTGTATTCAACTAACAGAGTTGAACCTTTCTTTTTACAGAGCAGCTTTGAAACCCTGTTTCTGTGGAATCTGCAATTGGAAATTTCGATAGATCTGAGGATTTCGTTGGAAACGGGATTACAAATAGAAAGTAGACAGCAGCATTCTCAGAAACTGCTTTGTGATGCTTGCATTCAAGTCACATTGTTGAACATTCCCTTTCATAGAGCAGGTTTGAAACACTGTTTCTGTAGTATCTGGAAGTGGGTATTTCGAGCACTTTCAGGCCTAAGGTGAGAAAGGAAATGTCTTCAAATAAGAACTAGACAGAAGCATTCTCAGAAACTTATTTGTGATGTGTGTCCTCAACTAACAGAGATGAACCTTTGTTTTGATACAGCAGTTTGGAAACACTCTTTTTGTAGAATCTACAAGAGGATATTTTGAGAGCATTGAAAATTTCGTTGGAAGCGGGAAAACCTTCATATAAAATCTAGACAGCAGCATTCTCAGAAACTTCTTTGTGATGTTTGCATTCAACTCATAGAGTTGAACATTCCCATTCATACAGCAGGTTTGAGACACTCTTTGTATAGCATGTGGAAATGGATATTTGGAGCGCTTTGAGGCCTATGGTGAAGAAGGAAATATCTTCCCAAAAAAACTAGACGAAAGCATTCTCGGAATCTTGTTTGCCATGTGTGTACTCAACTAACAGAGTTGAACCTATCTTTTGACAGAGCAGTTTTGAAACACTCTTTTTGTGGAATCTGCAAGTGGATATTTGGATAGCTTCGAGGATTTCGTTGGAAACGGGAATATCCTCATTTAAAATCTAGACGGAAGCATTCTCAGAACCTGCTTTGTGATGTTTGCATTCAACTCACAGAGCTGAACATTCCCGTTCATAGAGCAGGTTTGAAACACTCTTTCTGTACTATCTGGAAGTGGACATTTCGAGCGCTTTCAGGCCTATGGTGAAAAAGGAAACATCTTCAAATAAAAACTAGACAGAAGCATTCTCAGAAACTTATTTGTGATGTGTGTCCTCAACTCACAGAGTTCAACCTTTGTTTTGATACAGCAGTTTGGAAACACTCTTTTTGTAGAATCTACAAATGGATATTTGGAGACCTTTGAAAATTTCGTTGGACACGGGAATATCTTCATATAAAATCTAGACAAAAGCATTCTCAGAATCTTCTTTGTGATGTTTGCATTCAACTCATAGAGTTGAACATTCCCTTTCATACAGCACGTTTGAAACACACTTTGTGGAGTATGTGGAAATGGACATTTCGAGCACTCTTAGGCCTAAGGTGAAAAGGGAAATATCTTCAAATAAAAACTAGTCAGCAGCATTCTCAGAAACCTCTTTGTGATGTGTGTACTCAACTAACAGAGTTGAACCTTCCTTTTCACAGAGCAGTTTGGAAACACTCTTTTTGTGGCATTTGCAAGTGGATATTTGGATAGCTTTGAGGATTTCGTTGGAAACGGGAATATTTTCATATAAAATCTAGACAGAAGCATTCTCAGAATCTTCTTTGTGATGTATGCCCTCAATTCACAGAGTTGAACCTTTGTTTGGATACAGCATTTTGGAAACATTCCTTTTGCAGAATCTGCAAGTTGATATTTGGATAGCTTTGAGGATTTCGTTGGAAACGGGAATATCTACATATAAAATCTAGACAGAAGCATTCTCAGAAACCTCTTTGTAATGCTTGCATTCAACTCATAGGTTTCAACATTCCCTATCATAGAGCAGGTTTGAAACACTCTTTTTGTAGTATGTGGAAGTGGACATTTGGAGCGCTTTGAGGCCTACGGTGAAAAAGGAAATATCTTCCCATAAAAACTAGACAGAAGCATTCTCAGAAACTTGTTTGTGACGTGTGTATTCAACTAACAGAGTTGAACCTTTCTTTTTACAGAGCAGCTTTGAAACCCTGTTTCTGTGGAATCTGCAATTGGAAATTTCGATAGTTCTGAGGATTTCGTTGGAAACGGGATTACAAATAGAAAGTAGACAGCAGCATTCTCAGAAACTGCTTTGTGATGTTTGCATTCAAGTCACCTAGTTGAACATTCCCTTTCATAGAGCAGGTTTGAATCACTGTTTCTGTCGTATCTGGAAGTGGATATTTCGAGCGTTTTCAGGCCTAAGGTGAGAAAGGAAATGTCTTCAAATAAGAACTAGACAGAAGCATTCTCAGAAACTTATTTGTGATGTGTGTCCTCAACTAACAGAGTTGAACCTTTCTTTTGACACAGCAGTTTGGAAACACTCTTTTTGTAGAATCTACAAGTGGATATTTTGAGAGCATTGAAAATTTCTTTGGAAACGGGAAAACCTTCATATAAAATCTAGACAGAAGCATTCTCAGAAACTTCTTTGTAATGTTTGCATTCGACTCATAGAGTTGAACATTCCCTTTCATACAGCAGGTTTGAAACACTCTTTTTGTAGTATGTGGAAGTGGACATTTGGAGCGCTTTGAGGCCTACGGTGAAAAAGGAAATATCTTCCCATAAAAACTAGACAGAAGCATTCTCAGAAACTTGTTTGTGACGTGTGTATTCAACTAACAGAGTTGAACCTTTCTTTTTACAGAGCAGCTTTGAAACCCTGTTTCTGTGGAATCTGCAATTGGAAATTTCGATAGTTCTGAGGATTTCGTTGGAAACGGGATTACAAATAGAAAGTAGACAGCAGCATTCTCAGAAACTGCTTTGTGATGTTTGCATTCAAGTCACATAGTTGAACATTCCCTTTCATAGAGCAGGTTTGAATCACTGTTTCTGTAGTATCTGGAAGTGGGTATTTCGAGCGCTTTCAGGCCTAAGGTGAGAAAGGAAATGTCTTCAAATAAGAACTAGACAGAAGCATTCTCAGAAACTTATTTGTGATGTGTGTCCTCAACTAACAGAGATGAACCTTTGTTTTGATACAGCAGTTTGGAAACACTCTTTTTGTAGAATCTACAAGAGGATATTTTGAGAGCATTGAAAATTTCATGGAAGCGGGAAAACCTTCATATAAAATCTAGACAGCAGCATTCTCAGAAACTTCTTTGTGATGTTTGCATTCAACTCATAGCAGTTGAACATTCCCATTCATACAGCAGGTTTGAGACACTCTTTGTATAGCATGTGGAAATGGATATTTGGAGCGCTTTGAGGCCTATGGTGAAGAAGGAAATATCTTCCCAAAAAAACTAGACGAAAGCATTCTCGGAATCTTGTTTGCCATGTGTGTACTCAACTAACATAGTTGAAACTATCTTTTGACAGAGCAGTTTTGAAACACTCTTTTTGTGGAATCTGCAAGTGGATATTTGGATAGCTTCGAGGATTTCGTTGGAAACGGGAATATCCTCATTTAAAATCTAGACGGAAGCATTCTCAGAACCTGCTTTGTGATGTTTGCATTCAACTCACAGAGCTGAACATTCCCGTTCATAGAGCAGGTTTGAAACACTCTTTCTGTACTATCTGGAAGTGGACATTTCGAGCGCTTTCAGGCCTATGGTGAAAAAGGAAACATCTTCAAATAAAAACTAGACAGAAGCATTCTCAGAAACTTATTTGTGATGTGTGTCCTCAACTCACAGAGTTCAACCTTTGTTTTGATACAGCAGTTTGGAAACACTCTTTTTGTAGAATCTACAAATGGATATTTGGAGACCTTTGAAAATTTCGTTGGACACGGGAATATCTTCATATAAAATCTAGACAAAAGCATTCTCAGAATCTTCTTTGTGATGTTTGCATTCAACTCATAGAGTTGAACATTCCCTTTCATACAGCACGTTTGAAACACACTTTGTGGAGTATGTGGAAATGGACATTTCGAGCACTCTTAGGCCTAAGGTGAAAAGGGAAATATCTTCAAATAAAAACTAGTCAGCAGCATTCTCAGAAACCTCTTTGTGATGTGTGTACTCAACTAACAGAGTTGAACCTTCCTTTTCACAGAGCAGTTTGGAAACACTCTTTTTGTGGCATTTGCAAGTGGATATTTGGATAGCTTTGAGGATTTCGTTGGAAACGGGAATATTTTCATATAAAATCTAGACAGAAGCATTCTCAGAATCTTCTTTGTGATGTATGCCCTCAATTCACAGAGTTGAACCTTTGTTTGGATACAGCATTTTGGAAACATTCCTTTTGTAGAATCTGCAAGTTGATATTTGGATAGCTTTGAGGATTTCGTTGGAAACGGGAATATCTACATATAAAATCTAGACAGAAGCATTCTCAGAAACCTCTTTGTAATGCTTGCATTCAACTCATAGGTTTCAACATTCCCTATCATAGAGCAGGTTTGAAACACTCTTTTTGTAGTATGTGGAAGTGGACATTTGGAGCGCTTTGAGGCCTACCGTGAAAAAGGAAATATCTTCCCATAAAAACTAGACAGAAGCATTCTCAGAAACTTGTTTGTGACGTGTGTATTCAACTAACAGCAGTTGAACCTTTCTTTTTACAGAGCAGCTTTGAAACACGCTTTTTGTGGAATCTGCAATTGGAAATTTCGATAGTTCTGAGGATTTCGTTGGAAACGGGATTACAAATAGAAAGTAGACAGCAGCATTCTCAGAAACTGCTTTGTGATGTTTGCATTCAAGTCACCTAGTTGAACATTCCCTTTCATAGAGCAGGTTTGAATCACTGTTTCTGTAGTATCTGGAAGTGGGTATTTCGAGCGCTTTCAGGCCTAAGGTGAGAAAGGAAATGTCTTCAAATAAGAACTAGAAACAAGCATTCTCAGAAACTTATTTGTGATGTGTGTCCTCAACTGACAGAGTTGAACCTTTCTTTTGACACAGCAGTTTGGAAACACTCTTTTTGTAGAATCTACAAGTGGATATTTTGAGAGCATTGAAAATTTCGTTGGAAACGGGAAAACCTTCATAGAAAATCTAGACAGAAGCATTCTCAGAAACTTCTTTGTAATGTTTGCATTCAACTCATAGAGTTGAACATTCCCTTTCATACAGCAGGTTTGAAACACTCTTTTTGTAGTTTGTGGAAGTGGACATTTGGAGCGCTTTGAGGCCTACGGTGAAAAAGGAAATATCTTCCCATAAAAACTAGACAGAAGCATTCTCAGAAACTTGTTTGTGACGTGTGTATTCAACTAACAGAGTTGAACCTTTCTTTTTACAGAGCAGCTTTGAAACCCTTTTTCTGTGGAATCTGCAATTGGAAATTTCGATAGGTCTGAGGATTTCGTTGGAAACGGGATTACAAATAGAAAGTAGACAGCAGCATTCTCAGAAACTGCTTTGTGATGTTTGCATTCAAGTCACGTAGTTGAACATGTCCTTTCATAGAGCAGGTTTGAATCACTGTTTCTGTAGTATCTGGAAGTGGGTATTTTGAGCGCTTTCAGGCCTAAGGTGAGAAAGGAAATGTCGTCAAATAAGAACTAGACAGAAGCATTCTCAGAAACTTATTTGTGATATGTGTCCTCAACTAACAGAGTTGAACCTTTGTTTTGATACAGCAGTTTGGAAACACTCTTTTTGTAGAATCTACAAGTGTATATTTGGAGAGCATTGAAAATTTCGTTGGAAGCGGGAAAACCTTCATATAAAATCTAGACAGGAGCATTCTCAGAAACTTCTTTGTGATGTTTGCATTCAACTCATAGAGTTGAACATTCCCATTCATACAGCAGGTTTGAGACACTCTTTGTATCGCATGTGGAAATGGATATTTGGAGCGCTTTGAGGCCTATGGTGAAGAAGGAAATATCTTCCCAAAAAAACTAGACGAAAGCATTCTCGGAATCTTGTTTGCCATGTGTGTACTCAACTAACAGAGTTGAACCTATCTTTTGACAGAGCAGTTTTGAAACACTCTTTTTGTGGAATCTGCAAGTGGATATTTGGATAGCTTCGAGGATTTCGTTGGAAACGGGAATATCCTCATTTAAAATCTAGACGGAAGCATTCTCAGAACCTGCTTTGTGATGTTTGCATTCAACTCACAGAGCTGAACATTCCCGTTCATAGAGCAGGTTTGAAACACTCTTTCTGTACTATCTGGAAGTGGACATTTCGAGCGCTTTCAGGCCTATGGTGAAAAAGGAAACATCTTCAAATAAAAACTAGACAGAAGCATTCTCAGAAACTTATTTGTGATGTGTGTCCTCAACTCACAGAGTTCAACCTTTGTTTTGATACAGCAGTTTGGAAACACTCTTTTTGTAGAATCTACAAATGGATATTTGGAGACCTTTGAAAATTTCGTTGGACACGGGAATATCTTCATATAAAATCTAGACAAAAGCATTCTCAGAATCTTCTTTGTGATGTTTGCATTCAACTCATAGAGTTGAACATTCCCTTTCATACAGCACGTTTGAAACACACTTTGTGGAGTATGTGGAAATGGACATTTCGAGCACTCTTAGGCCTAAGGTGAAAAGGGAAATATCTTCAAATAAAAACTAGTCAGCAGCATTCTCAGAAACCTCTTTGTGATGTGTGTACTCAACTAACAGAGTTGAACCTTCCTTTTCACAGAGCAGTTTGGAAACACTCTTTTTGTGGCATTTGCAAGTGGATATTTGGATAGCTTTGAGGATTTCGTTGGAAACGGGAATATTTTCATATAAAATGCTAGACAGAAGCATTCTCAGGAATCTTCTTTGTGATGTATGCCCTCAATTCACAGAGTTGAACCTTTGTTTGGATACAGCATTTTGGAAACATTCCTTTTGTAGAATCTGCAAGTTGATATTTGGATAGCTTTGAGGATTTCGTTGGAAACGGGAATATCTACATATAAAATCTAGACAGAAGCATTCTCAGAAACCTCTTTGTAATGCTTGCATTCAACTCATAGGTTTCAACATTCCCTATCATAGAGCAGGTTTGAAACACTCTTTTTGTAGTATGTGGAAGTGGACATTTGGAGCGCTTTGAGGCCTATGGTGAAAAAGGAAATATCTTCCCATAAAAACTAGACAGAAGCATTCTCAGAAACTTGTTTGTGACGTGTGTATTCAACTAACAGAGTTGAACCTTTCTTTTTACAGAGCAGCTTTGAAACCCTGTTTCTGTGGAATCTGCAATTGGAAATTTCGATAGTTCTGAGGATTTCGTTGGAAACGGGATTACAAATAGAAAGTAGACAGCAGCATTCTCAGAAACTGCTTTGTGATGTTTGCATTCAAGTCACATAGTTGAACATTCCCTTTCATAGAGCAGGTTTGAATCACTGTTTCTGTAGTATCTGGAAGTGGGTATTTCGAGCGCTTTCAGGCCTAAGGTGAGAAAGGAAATGTCTTCAAATAAGAACTAGACAGAAGCATTCTCAGAAACTTATTTGTGATGTGTGTCCTCAACTAACAGAGATGAACCTTTGTTTTGATACAGCAGTTTGGAAACACTCTTTTTGTAGAATCTACAAGAGGATATTTTGAGAGCATTGAAAATTTCGTTGGAAGCGGGAAAACCTTCATATAAAATCTAGACAGCAGCATTCTCAGAAACTTCTTTGTGATGTTTGCATTCAACTCATAGAGTTGAACATTCCCATTCATACAGCAGGTTTGAGACACTCTTTGTATAGCATGTGGAAATGGATATTTGGAGCGCTTTGAGGCCTATGGTGAAGAAGGAAATAACTTCCCAAAAAAACTAGACGAAAGCATTCTCGGAATCTTGTTTGCCATGTGTGTACTCAACTAACAGAGTTGAACCTATCTTTTGGCAGAGCAGTTTTGAAACACTCTTTTTGTGGAATCTGCAAGTGGATATTTGGATAGCTTCGAGGATTTCGTTGGAAACGGGAATATCCTCATTTAAAATCTAGACGGAAGCATTCTCAGAACCTGCTTTGTGATGTTTGCATTCAACTCACAGAGCTGAACATTCCCGTTCATAGAGCAGGTTTGAAACACTCTTTCTGTACTATCTGGAAGTGGACATTTCGAGCGCTTTCAGGCCTATGGTGAAAAAGGAAACATCTTCAAATAAAAACTAGACAGAAGCATTCTCAGAAACTTATTTGTGATGTGTGTCCTCAACTCACAGAGTTCAACCTTTGTTTTGATACAGCAGTTTGGAAACACTCTTTTTGTAGAATCTACAAATGGATATTTGGAGACCTTTGAAAATTTCGTTGGACACGGGAATATCTTCATATAAAATCTAGACAAAAGCATTCTCAGAATCTTCTTTGTGATGTTTGCATTCAACTCATAGAGTTGAACATTCCCTTTCATACAGCACGTTTGAAACACACTTTGTGGAGTATGTGGAAATGGACATTTCGAGCACTCTTAGGCCTAAGGTGAAAAGGGAAATATCTTCAAATAAAAACTAGTCAGCAGCATTCTCAGAAACCTCTTTGTGATGTGTGTACTCAACTAACAGAGTTGAACCTTCCTTTTCACAGAGCAGTTTGGAAACACTCTTTTTGTGGCATTTGCAAGTGGATATTTGGATAGCTTTGAGGATTTCGTTGGAAACGGGAATATTTTCATATAAAATCTAGACAGAAGCATTCTCAGAATCTTCTTTGTGATGTATGCCCCCAATTCACAGAGTTGAACCTTTGTTTGGATACAGCATTTTGGAAACATTCCTTTTGTAGAATCTGCAAGTTGATATTTGGATAGCTTTGAGGATTTCGTTGGAAACGGGAATATCTACATATAAAATCTAGACAGAAGCATTCTCAGAAACCTCTTTGTAATGCTTGCATTCAACTCATAGGTTTCAACATTCCCTATCATAGAGCAGGTTTGAAACACTCTTTTTGTAGTATGTGGAAGTGGACATTTGGAGCGCTTTGAGGCCTATGGTGAAAAAGGAAATATCTTCCCATAAAAACTAGACAGAAGCATTCTCAGAAACTTGTTTGTGACGTGTGTATTCAACTAACAGAGTTGAACCTTTCTTTTTACAGAGCAGCTTTGAAACACGCTTTTTGTGGAATCTGCAATTGGAAATTTCGATAGTTCTGAGGATTTCGGTGGAAACGGGATTACAAATAGAAAGTAGACAGCAGCATTCTCAGAAACTGCTTTCTGATGTTTGCATTCAAGTCACCTAGTTGAACATTCCCTTTCATAGAGCAGGTTTGAATCACTGTTTCTGTCGTATCTGGAAGTGGATATTTCGAGCGTTTTCAGGCCTAAGGTGAGAAAGGAAATGTCTTCAAATAAGAACTAGACAGAAGCATTCTCAGAAACTTATTTGTGATGTGTGTCCTCAACTAACAGAGATGAACCTTTGTTTTGATACAGCAGTTTGGAAACACTCTTTTTGTAGAATCTACAAGAGGATATTTTGAGAGCATTGAAAATTTCGTTGGAAGCGGGAAAACCTTCATATAAAATCTAGACAGCAGCATTCTCAGAAACTTCTTTGTGATGTTTGCATTCAACTCATAGAGTTGAACATTCCCATTCATACAGCAGGTTTGAGACACTCTTTGTATAGTATGTGGAAATGGATATTTGGCGCGCTTTGAGGCCTATGGTGAAGAAGGGAATATCTTCCCAAAAAAACTAGACGAAAGCATTCTCGCAATCTTGTTTGCCATGTGTGTACTCAACTAACAGAGTTGAACCTATCTTTTGACAGAGCAGTTTTGAAACACTCTTTTTGTGGAATCTGCAAATGGATATTTGGATAGCTTCGAGGATTTCGTTGGAAACGGGAATATCCTCATATAAAATCTAGACGGAAGCATTCTCAGAACCTGCTTTGTGATGTTTGCATTCAACTCACAGAGCTGAACATTCCTGTTCATAGAGCAGGTTTGAAACACTCTTTCTGTACTATCTGGAAGTGGACATTTCGAGCGCTTTCAGGCCTATGGTGAAAAAGGAAATATCTTCAAATAAAAACTAGACAGAAGCATTCTCAGAAACTTATTTGTGATGTGTGTCCTCAACTCACAGAGTTCAACCTTTGTTTTGATACAGCAGTTTGGAAACACTCTTTTTGTAGAATCTACAAATGGATATTTGGAGACCATTGAAAATTTCGTTGGACACGGGAATATCTTCATATAAAATCTAGACAAAAGCATTCTCAGAATCTTCTTTGTGATGTTTGCATTCAACTCATAGAGTTGAACATTCCCTTTCATACAGCACGTTTGGAACACACTTTGTGGAGTATGTGGAAAGGGACATTTCGAGCACTCTTAGGCCTAAGGTGAAAAGGGAAATATCTTCAAATAAAAACTAGCCAGCAGCATTCTCAGAAACCTCTTTGTGATGTGTGTACTCAACTAACAGAGTTGAACCTTCCTTTTCACAGAGCAGTTTGGAAACACTCTTTTTGTGGCATTTGCAAGTGGATATTTGGATAGCTTTGAGGATTTCGTTGGAAACGGGAATATTTTCATATAAAATCTAGACAGAAGCATTCTCAGAATCTTCTTTGTGATGTATGCCCTCAATTCACAGAGTTGAACCTTTGTTTGGATACAGCATTTTGGAAACATTCCTTTTGTAGAATCTGCAAGTTGATATTTGGATAGCTTTGAGGATTTCGTTGGAAACGGGAATATCTACATATAAAATCTAGACAGAAGCATTCTCAGAAACCTCTTTGTAATGCTTGCATTCAACTCATAGGTTTCAACATTCCCTATCATAGAGCAGGTTTGAAACACTCTTTTTGTAGTATGTGGAAGTGGACATTTGGAGCGCTTTGAGGCCTACGGTGAAAAAGGAAATATCTTCCCATAAAAACTAGACAGAAGCATTCTCAGAAACTTGTTTGTGACGTGTGTATTCAACTAACAGAGTTGAACCTTTCTTTTTACAGAGCAGCTTTGAAACACGCTTTTTGTGGAATCTGCAATTGGAAATTTCGATAGTTCTGAGGATTTCGTTGGAAACGGGATTACAAATAGAAAGTAGACAGCAGCATTCTCAGAAACTGCTTTGTGATGTTT
This sequence comes from Homo sapiens, assembly GCF_000001405.40. NCBI lineage: Eukaryota > Metazoa > Chordata > Mammalia > Primates > Hominidae > Homo > Homo sapiens. The sequence goes on from NC_000015.10 coordinate 18,846,727, forward strand.
GCATTCAAGTCACCTAGTTGAACATTCCCTTTCATAGAGCAGGTTTGAATCACTGTTTCTGTCGTATCTGGAAGTGGATATTTCGAGCGTTTTCAGGCCTAAGGTGAGAAAGGAAATGTCTTCAAATAAGAACTAGACAGAAGCATTCTCAGAAACTTATTTGTGATGTGTGTCCTCAACTAACAGAGTTGAACCTTTCTTTTGACACAGCAGTTTGGAAACACTCTTTTTGTAGAATCTACAAGTGGATATTTTGAGAGCATTGAAAATTTCGTTGGAAACGGGAAAACCTTCATATAAAATCTAGACAGAAGCATTCTCAGAAACTTCTTTGTAAAGTTTGCATTCAACTCACAGAGTTGAACATTCCCTTTCATACAGCAGGTTTGAAACACTCTTTTTGTAGTATGTGGAAGTGGACATTTGGAGCGCTTTGAGGCCTACGGTGAAAAAGGAAATATCTTCCCATAAAAACTAGACAGAAGCATTCTCAGAAACTTGTTTGTGACGTGTGTATTCAACTAACAGAGTTGAACCTTTCTTTTTACAGAGCAGCTTTGAAACCCTGTTTCTGTGGAATCTGCAATTGGAAATTTCGATAGTTCTGAGGATTTCGTTGGAAACGGGATTACAAATAGAAAGTAGACAGCAGCATTGCTCAGAAACTGCTTTGTGATGTTTGCATTCAAGTCACCTAGTTGAACATTCCCTTTCATAGAGCAGGTTTGAATCACTGTTTCTGTCGTATCTGGAAGTGGATATTTCGAGCGTTTTCAAGCCTAAGGTGAGAAAGGAAATGTCTTCAAATAAGAACTAGACAGAAGCATTCTCAGAAACTTATTTGTGATGTGTGTCCTCAACTAACAGAGATGAACCTTTGTTTTGATACAGCAGTTTGGAAACACTCTTTTTGTAGAATCTACAAGAGGATATTTTGAGAGCATTGAAAATTTCGTTGGAAGCGGGAAAACCTTCATATAAAAATCTAGACAGCAGCATTTCTCAGAAACTTCTTTGTGATGTTTGCATTCAACTCATAGAGTTGAACATTCCCATTCATACAGCAGGTTTGAGACACTCTTTGTATAGCATGTGGAAATGGATATTTGGAGCGCTTTGAGGCCTATGGTGAAGAAGGAAATATCTTCCCAAAAAAACTAGACGAAAGCATTCTCGGAATCTTGTTTGCCATGTGTGTACTCAACTAACAGAGTTGAACCTATCTTTTGACAGAGCAGTTTTGAAACACTCTTTTTGTGGAATCTGCAAGTGGATATTTGGATAGCTTCGAGGATTTCGTTGGAAACGGGAATATCCTCATTTAAAATCTAGACGGAAGCATTCTCAGAACCTGCTTTGTGATGTTTGCATTCAACTCACAGAGCTGAACATTCCCGTTCATAGAGCAGGTTTGAAACACTCTTTCTGTACTATCTGGAAGTGGACATTTCGAGCGCTTTCAGGCCTATGGTGAAAAAGGAAACATCTTCAAATAAAAACTAGACAGAAGCATTCTCAGAAACTTATTTGTGATGTGTGTCCTCAACTCACAGAGTTCAACCTTTGTTTTGATACAGCAGTTTGGAAACACTCTTTTTGTAGAATCTACAAATGGATATTTGGAGACCTTTGAAAATTTCGTTGGACACGGGAATATCTTCATATAAAATCTAGACAAAAGCATTCTCAGAATCTTCTTTGTGATGTTTGCATTCAACTCATAGAGTTGAACATTCCCTTTCATACAGCACGTTTGAAACACACTTTGTGGAGTATGTGGAAATGGACATTTCGAGCACTCTTAGGCCTAAGGTGAAAAGGGAAATATCTTCAAATAAAAACTAGTCAGCAGCATTCTCAGAAACCTCTTTGTGATGTGTGTACTCAACTAACAGAGTTGAACCTTCCTTTTCACAGAGCAGTTTGGAAACACTCTTTTTGTGGCATTTGCAAGTGGATATTTGGATAGCTTTGAGGATTTCGTTGGAAACGGGAATATTTTCATATAAAATCTAGACAGAAGCATTCTCAGAATCTTCTTTGTGATGTATGCCCTCAATTCACAGAGTTGAACCTTTGTTTGGATACAGCATTTTGGAAACATTCCTTTTGTAGAATCTGCAAGTTGATATTTGGATAGCTTTGAGGATTTCGTTGGAAACGGGAATATCTACATATAAAATCTAGACAGAAGCATTCTCAGAAACCTCTTTGTAATGCTTGCATTCAACTCATAGGTTTCAACATTCCCTATCATAGAGCAGGTTTGAAACACTCTTTTTGTAGTATGTGGAAGTGGACATTTGGAGCGCTTTGAGGCCTACGGTGAAAAAGGAAATATCATCCCATAAAAACTAGACAGAAGCATTCTCAGAAACTTGTTTGTGACGTGTGTATTCAACTAACAGAGTTGAACCTTTCTTTTTACAGAGCAGCTTTGAAACACGCTTTTTGTGGAATCTGCAATTGGAAATTTCGATAGTTGCTGAGGATTTCGTTGGAAACGGGATTACAAATAGAAAGTAGACAGCAAGCATTCTCAGAAACTTATTTGTGATGTGTGTCCTCAACTAACAGAGTTGAACCTTTCTTTTGACACAGCAGTTTGGAAACACTCTTTTTGTAGAATCTACAAGTGGATATTTTGAGAGCATTGAAAATTTCGTTGGAAACGGGAAAACCTTCATATAAAATCTAGACAGAGCATTCTCAGAAACTTCTTTGTAATGTTTGCATTCAACTCATAGAGTTGAACATTCCCTTTCATACAGCAGGTTTGAAACACTCTTTTTGTAGTATGTGGAAGTGGACATTTGGAGCGCTTTGAGGCCTACGGTGAAAAAGGAAATATCTTCCCATAAAAACTAGACAGAAGCATTCTCAGAAACTTGTTTGTGACGTGTGTATTCAACTAACAGAGTTGAACCTTTCTTTTTACAGAGCAGCTTTGAAACACGCTTTTTGTGGAATCTGCAATTGGAAATTTCGATAGTTCTGAGGATTTCGTTGGAAACGGGATTACAAATAGAAAGTAGACAGCAGCATTCTCAGAAACTGCTTTGTGATGTTTGCATTCAAGTCACCTAGTTGAACATTCCCTTTCATAGAGCAGGTTTGAATCACAGTTTCTGTCGTATCTGGAAGTGGATATTTCGAGCGCTTTCAGGCCTAAGGTGAGAAAGGAAATGTCTTCAAATAAGAACTAGACAGAAGCATTCTCAGAAACTTATTTGTGATGTGTGTCCTCAACTAACAGAGATGAACCTTTGTTTTGATACAGCAGTTTGGAAACACTCTTTTTGTAGAATCTACAAGAGGATATTTTGAGAGCATTGAAAATTTCGTTGGAAGCGGGAAAACCTTCATATAAAATCTAGACAGCAGCATTCTCAGAAACTTCTTTGTGATGTTTGCATTCAACTCATAGAGTTGAACATTCCCATTCATACAGCAGGTTTGAGACACTCTTTGTATAGCATGTGGAAATGGATATTTGGAGCGCTTTGAGGCCTATGGTGAAGAAGGAAATATCTTCCCAAAAAAACTAGACGAAAGCATTCTCGGAATCTTGTTTGCCATGTGTGTACTCAACTAACAGAGTTGAACCTATCTTTTGACAGAGCAGTTTTGAAACACTCTTTTTGTGGAATCTGCAAGTGCATATATGGATAGCTTCGAGGATTTCGTTGGAAACGGGAATATCCTCATTTAAAATCTAGACGGAAGCATTCTCAGAACCTGCTTTGTGATGTTTGCATTCAACTCACAGAGCTGAACATTCCCGTTCATAGAGCAGGTTTGAAACACTCTTTCTGTACTATCTGGAAGTGGACATTTCGAGCGCTTTCAGGCCTATGGTGAAAAAGGAAACATCTTCAAATAAAAACTAGACAGAAGCATTCTCAGAAACTTATTTGTGATGTGTGTCCTCAACTCACAGAGTTCAACCTTTGTTTTGATACAGCAGTTTGGAAACACTCTTTTTGTAGAATCTACAAATGGATATTTGGAGACCTTTGAAAATTTCGTTGGACACGGGAATATCTTCATATAAAATCTAGACAAAAGCATTCTCAGAATCTTCTTTGTGATGTTTGCATTCAACTCATAGAGTTGAACATTCCCTTTCATACAGCACGTTTGAAACACACTTTGTGGAGTATGTGGAAATGGACATTTCGAGCACTCTTAGGCCTAAGGTGAAAAGGGAAATATCTTCAAATAAAAACTAGTCAGCAGCATTCTCAGAAACCTCTTTGTGATGTGTGTACTCAACTAACAGAGTTGAACCTTCCTTTTCACAGAGCAGTTTGGAAACACTCTTTTTGTGGCATTTGCAAGTGGATATTTGGATAGCTTTGAGGATTTCGTTGGAAACGGGAATATTTTCATATAAAATCTAGACAGAAGCATTCTCAGAATCTTCTTTGTGATGTATGCCCTCAATTCACAGAGTTGAACCTTTGTTTGGATACAGCATTTTGGAAACATTCCTTTTGTAGAATCTGCAAGTTGATATTTGGATAGCTTTGAGGATTTCGTTGGAAACGTGAATATCTACATATAAAATCTAGACAGAAGCATTCTCAGAAACCTCTTTGTAATGCTTGCATTCAACTCATAGGTTTCAACATTCCCTATCATAGAGCAGGTTTGAAACACTCTTTTTGTAGTATGTGGAAGTGGACATTTGGAGCGCTTTGAGGCCTACGGTGAAAAAGGAAATATCTTCCCATAAAAACTAGACAGAAGCATTCTCAGAAACTTGTTTGTGACGTGTGTATTCAACTAACAGAGTTGAACCTTTCTTTTTACAGAGCAGCTTTGAAACACGCTTTTTGTGGAATCTGCAATTGGAAATTTCGATAGTTCTGAGGATTTCGTTGGAAACGGGATTACAAATAGAAAGTAGACAGCAGCATTCTCAGAAACTGCTTTGTGATGTTTGCATTCAAGTCACCTAGTTGAACATTCCCTTTCATAGAGCAGGTTTGAATCACTGTTTCTGTCGTATCTGGAAGTGGATATTTCGAGCGTTTTCAGGCCTAAGGTGAGAAAGGAAATGTCTTCAAATAAGAACTAGACAGAAGCATTCTCAGAAACTTATTTGTGATGTGTGTCCTCAACTAACAGAGTTGAACCTTTCTTTTGACACAGCAGTTTGGAAACACTCTTTTTGTAGAATCTACAAGTGGATATTTTGAGAGCATTGAAAATTTCGTTGGAAACGGGAAAACCTTCATATAAAATCTAGACAGAAGCATTCTCAGAAACTTCTTTGTAATGTTTGCATTCAACTCATAGAGTTGAACATTCCCTTTCATACAGCAGGTTTGAAACACTCTTTTTGTAGTATGTGGACGTGGACATTTGGAGCGCTTTGAGGCCTACGGTGAAAAAGGAAATATCTTCCCATAAAAACTAGACAGAAGCATTCTCAGAAACTTGTTTGTGACGTGTGTATTCAACTAACAGAGTTGAACCTTTCTTTTTACAGAGCAGCTTTGAAACCCTGTTTCTGTGGAATCTGCAATTGGAAATTTCGATAGTTCTGAGGATTTCGTTGGAAACGGGATTACAAATAGAAAGTAGACAGCAGCATTCTCAGAAACTGCTTTGTGATGTTTGCATTCAAGTCACCTAGTTGAACATTCCCTTTCATAGAACAGGTTTGAATCACTGTTTCTGTAGTATCTGGAAGTGGGTATTTCGAGCGCTTTCAGGCCTAAGGTGAGAAAGGAAATGTCTTCAAATAAGAACTAGACAGAAGCATTCTCAGAAACTTATTTGTGATGTGTGTCCTCAACTAACAGAGATGAACCTTTGTTTTGATACAGCAGTTTGGAAACACTCTTTTTGTAGAATCTACAAGAGGATATTTTGAGAGCATTGAAAATTTCGTTGGAAGCGGGAAAACCTTCATATAAAATCTAGACAGCAGCATTCTCAGAAACTTCTTTGTGATGTTTGCATTCAACTCATAGAGTTGAACATTCCCATTCATACAGCAGGTTTGAGACACTCTTTGTATAGCATGTGGAAATGGATATTTGGAGCGCTTTGAGGCCTATGGTGAAGAAGGAAATATCTTCCCAAAAAAACTAGACGAAAGCATTCTCGGAATCTTGTTTGCCATGTGTGTACTCAACTAACAGAGTTGAACCTATCTTTTGACAGAGCAGTTTTGAAACACTCGTTTTGTGGAATCTGCAAGTGGATATTTGGATAGCTTCGAGGATTTCGTTGGAAACGGGAATATCCTCATTTAAAATCTAGACGGAAGCATTCTCAGAACCTGCTTTGTGATGTTTGCATTCAACTCACAGAGCTGAACATTCCCGTTCATAGAGCAGGTTTGAAACACTCTTTCTGTACTATCTGGAAGTGGACATTTCGAGCGCTTTCAGGCCTATGGTGAAAAAGGAAACATCTTCAAATAAAAACTAGACAGAAGCATTCTCAGAAACTTATTTGTGATGTGTGTCCTCAACTCACAGAGTTCAACCTTTGTTTTGATACAGCAGTTTGGAAACACTCTTTTTGTAGAATCTACAAATGGATATTTGGAGACCTTTGAAAATTTCGTTGGACACGGGAATATCTTCATATAAAATCTAGACAAAAGCATTCTCAGAATCTTCTTTGTGATGTTTGCATTCAACTCATAGAGTTGAACATTCCCTTTCATACAGCACGTTTGAAACACACTTTGTGGAGTATGTGGAAATGGACATTTCGAGCACTCTTAGGCCTAAGGTGAAAAGGGAAATATCTTCAAATAAAAACTAGTCAGCAGCATTCTCAGAAACCTCTTTGTGATGTGTGTACTCAACTAACAGAGTTGAACCTTCCTTTTCACAGAGCAGTTTGGAAACACTCTTTTTGTGGCATTTGCAAGTGGATATTTGGATAGCTTTGAGGATTTCGTTGGAAACGGGAATATTTTCATATAAAATCTAGACAGAAGCATTCTCAGAATCTTCTTTGTGATGTATGCCCTCAATTCACAGAGTTGAACCTTTGTTTGGATACAGCATTTTGGAAACATTCCTTTTGTAGAATCTGCAAGTTGATATTTGGATAGTTTGAGGATTTCGTTGGAAACGGGAATATCTACATATAAAATCTAGACAGAAGCATTCTCAGAAACCTCTTTGTAATGCTTGCATTCAACTCATAGGTTTCAACATTCCCTATCATAGAGCAGGTTTGAAACACTCTTTTTGTAGTATGTGGAAGTGGACATTTGGAGCGCTTTGAGGCCTACGGTGAAAAAGGAAATATCTTCCCATAAAAACTAGACAGAAGCATTCTCAGAAACTTGTTTGTGACGTGTGTATTCAACTAACAGAGTTGAACCTTTCTTTTTACAGAGCAGCTTTGAAACCCTGTTTCTGTGGAATCTGCAATTGGAAATTTCGATAGTTCTGAGGATTTCGTTGGAAACGGGATTACAAATAGAAAGTAGACAGCAGCATTCTCAGAAACTGCTTTGTGATGTTTGCATTCAAGTCACCTAGTTGAACATTCCCTTTCATAGAGCAGGTTTGAATCACTGTTTCTGTCGTATCTGGAAGTGGATATTTCGAGCGTTTTCAGGCCTAAGGTGAGAAAGGAAATGTCTTCAAATAAGAACTAGACAGAAGCATTCTCAGAAACTTATTTGTGATGTGTGTCCTCAACTAACAGAGTTGAACCTTTCTTTTGACACAGCAGTTTGGAAACACTCTTTTTGTAGAATCTACAAGTGGATATTTTGAGAGCATTGAAAATTTCGTTGGAAACGGGGAAAACCTTCATATAAAATCTAGACAGAAGCATTCTCAGAAACTTCTTTGTAATGCTTGCATTCAACTCATAGAGTTGAACATTCCCTTTCATACAGCAGGTTTGAAACACTCTTTTTGTAGTATGTGGACGTGGACATTTGGAGCGCTTTGAGGCCTACGGTGAAAAAGGGAATATCTTCCCATAAAAACTAGACAGAAGCATTCTCAGAAACTTGTTTGTGACGTGTGTATTCAACTAACAGAGTTGAACCTTTCTTTTTACAGAGCAGCTTTGAAACCCTGTTTCTGTGGAATCTGCAATTGGAAATTTCGATAGTTCTGAGGATTTCGTTGGAAACGGGATTACAAATAGAAAGTAGACAGCAGCATTCTCGGAATCTTGTTTGTCATGTGTGTACTCAACTAACAGAGTTGAACCTATCTTTTGACAGAGCAGTTTTGAAAAACTCTTTTGTGGAATCTGCAAATGGATATTTGGATAGCTTTGAGGATTTCGTTGGAAACGGGAATAACTTCATATAAAATCTAGACAGAAGCATTCTCAGAATCTTGTTTGTGATGAATGTCCTCAATTAACAGAGTTGAACCTTTGTTTGGATACAGCATTTTGAAACATTCCTTTCGTAGAGTCTGCAATTTGATATTTGGATAGCTTTGAGGATTTCGTTGGAAACGGGAATATCTACATATAAAATCTAGACAGAAGCATTCTCAGAAACTTCTTTGTGATGTTTGCATTCAACTCATAGAGTTGAACATTCCCATTTCATACAGCAGGTTTGAGACACTCTTTGTATAGCATGTGGAAATGGATATTTGGAGCGCTTTGAGGCCTATGGTGAAGAAGGAAATATCTTCCCAAAAAAACTAGACGAAAGCATTCTCGGAATCTTGTTTGCCATGTGTGTACTCAACTAACAGAGTTGAACCTATCTTTTGACAGAGCAGTTTTGAAACACTCTTTTTGTGGAATCTGCAAGTGGATATTTGGATAGCTTCGAGGATTTCGTTGGAAACGGGAATATCCTCATTTAAAATCTAGACGGAAGCATTCTCAGAACCTGCTTTGTGATGTTTGCATTCAACTCACAGAGCTGAACATTCCCGTTCATAGAGCAGGTTTGAAACACTCTTTCTGTACTATCTGGAAGTGGACATTTCGAGCGCTTTCAGGCCTATGGTGAAAAAGGAAACATCTTCAAATAAAAACTAGACAGAAGCATTCTCAGAAACTTATTTGTGATGTGTGTCCTCAACTCACAGAGTTCAACCTTTGTTTTGATACAGCAGTTTGGAAGCACTCTTTTTGTAGAATCTACAAATGGATATTTGGAGACCTTTGAAAATTTCGTTGGACACGGGAATATCTTCATATAAAATCTAGACAAAAGCATTCTCAGAATCTTCTTTGTGATGTTTGCATTCAACTCATAGAGTTGAACATTCCCTTTCATACAGCACGTTTGAAACACACTTTGTGGAGTATGTGGAAATGGACATTTCGAGCACTCTTAGGCCTAAGGTGAAAAGGGAAATATCTTCAAATAAAAACTAGTCAGCAGCATTCTCAGAAACCTCTTTGTGATGTGTGTACTCAACTAACAGAGTTGAACCTTCCTTTTCACAGAGCAGTTTGGAAACACTCTTTTTGTGGCATTTGCAAGTGGATATTTGGATAGCTTTGAGGATTTCGTTGGAAACGGGAATATTTTCATATAAAATCTAGACAGAAGCATTCTCAGAATCTTCTTTGTGATGTATGCCCTCAATTCACAGAGTTGAACCTTTGTTTGGATACAGCATTTTGGAAACATTCCTTTTGTAGAATCTGCAAGTTGATATTTGGATAGCTTTGAGGATTTCGTTGGAAACGGGAATATCTACATATAAAATCTAGACAGAAGCATTCTCAGAAACCTCTTTGTAATGCTTGCATTCAACTCATAGGTTTCAACATTCCCTATCATAGAGCAGGTTTGAAACACTCTTTTTGTAGTATGTGAAAGTGGACATTTGGAGCGCTTTGAGGCCTACGGTGAAAAAGGAAATATCTTCCCATAAAAACTAGACAGAAGCATTCTCAGAAACTTGTTTGTGACGTGTGTATTCAACTAACAGAGTTGAACCTTTCTTTTTACAGAGCAGCTTTGAAACACGCTTTTTGTGGAATCTGCAATTGGAAATTTCGATAGTTCTGAGGATTTCGTTGGAAACGGGATTACAAATAGAAAGTAGACAGCAGCATTCTCAGAAACTGCTTTGTGATGTTTGCATTCAAGTCACCTAGTTGAACATTCCCTTTCATAGAGCAGGTTTGAATCACTGTTTCTGTCGTATCTGGAAATGGATATTTCGAGCGTTTTCAGGCCTAAGGTGAGAAAGGAAATGTCTTCAAATAAGAACTAGACAGAAGCATTCTCAGAAACTTATTTGTGATGTGTGTCCTCAACTAACAGAGATGAACCTTTGTTTTGATACAGCAGTTTGGAAACACTCTTTTTGTAGAATCTACAAGAGGATATTTTGAGAGCATTGAAAATTTCGTTGGAAGCGGGAAAACCTTCATATAAAATCTAGACAGCAGCATTCTCAGAAACTTCTTTGTGATGTTTGCATTCAACTCATAGAGTTGAACATTCCCATTCATACAGCAGGTTTGAGACACTCTTTGTATAGCATGTGGAAATGGATATTTGGAGCGCTTTGAGGCCTATGGTGAAGAAGGAAATATCTTCCCATAAAAACTAGACAGAAGCATTCTCAGAAACTTGTTTGTGACGTGTGTATTCAACTAACAGAGTTGAACCTTTCTTTTTACAGAGCAGCTTTGAAACCCTGTTTCTGTGGAATCTGCAATTGGAAATTTCGATAGTTCTGAGGATTTCGTTGCAAACGGGATTACAAATAGAAAGTAGACAGCAGCATTCTCAGAAACTGCTTTGTGATGCTTGCATTCAAGTCACATTGTTGAACATTCCCTTTCATAGAGCAGGTTTGAAACACTGTTTCTGTAGTATCTGGAAGTGGGTATTTCGAGCACTTTCAGGCCTAAGGTGAGAAAGGAAATGTCTTCAAATAAGAACTAGACAGAAGCATTCTCAGAAACTTATTTGTGATGTGTGTCCTCAACTAACAGAGATGAACCTTTGTTTTGATACAGCAGTTTGGAAACACTCTTTTTGTAGAATCTACAAGAGGATATTTTGAGAGCATTGAAAATTTCGTTGGAAGCGGGAAAACCTTCATATAAAATCTAGACAGCAGCATTCTCAGAAACTTCTTTGTGATGTTTGCATTCAACTCATAGAGTTGAACATTCCCATTCATACAGCAGGTTTGAGACACTCTTTGTATAGCATGTGGAAATGGATATTTGGAGCGCTTTGAGGCCTATGGTGAAGAAGGAAATATCTTCCCAAAAAAACTAGACGAAAGCATTCTCGCAATCTTGTTTGCCATGTGTGTACTCAACTAACGGAGTTGAACCTATCTTTTGACAGAGCAGTTTTGAAACACTCTTTTTGTGGAATCTGCAAGTGGATATTTGGATAGCTTCGAGGATTTCGTTGGAAACGGGAATATCCTCATTTAAAATCTAGACGGAAGCATTCTCAGAACCTGCTTTGTGATGTTTGCATTCAACTCACAGAGCTGAACATTCCCGTTCATAGAGCAGGTTTGAAACACTCTTTCTGTACTATCTGGAAGTGGACATTTCGAGCGCTTTCAGGCCTATGGTGAAAAAGGAAACATCTTCAAATAAAAACTAGACAGAAGCATTCTCAGAAACTTATTTGTGATGTGTGTCCTCAACTCACAGAGTTCAACCTTTGTTTTGATACAGCAGTTTGGAAACAATCTTTATTTGGAGACCTTTGAAAATTTCGTTGGACACGGGAATATCTTCATATAAAATCTAGACAAAAGCATTCTCAGAATCTTCTTTGTGATGTTTGCATTCAACTCATAGAGTTGAACATTCCCTTTCATACAGCACGTTTGAAACACACTTTGTGGAGTATGTGGAAATGGACATTTCGAGCACTCTTAGGCCTAAGGTGAAAAGGGAAATATCTTCAAATAAAAACTAGTCAGCAGCATTCTCAGAAACCTCTTTGTGATGTGTGTACTCAACTAACAGAGTTGAACCTTCCTTTTCACAGAGCAGTTTGGAAACACTCTTTTTGTGGCATTTGCAAGTGGATATTTGGATAGCTTTGAGGATTTCGTTGGAAACGGGAATATTTTCATATAAAATCTAGACAGAAGCATTCTCAGAATCTTCTTTGTGATGTATGCCCTCAATTCACAGAGTTGAACCTTTGTTTGGATACAGCATTTTGGAAACATTCCTTTTGTAGAATCTGCAAGTTGATATTTGGATAGCTTTGAGGATTTCGTTGGAAACGGGAATATCTACATATAAAATCTAGACAGAAGCATTCTCAGAAACCTCTTTGTAATGCTTGCATTCAACTCATAGGTTTCAACATTCCCTATCATAGAGCAGGTTTGAAACACTCTTTTTGTAGTATGTGGAAGTGGACATTTGGAGCGCTTTGAGGCCTACCGTGAAAAAGGAAATATCTTCCCATAAAAACTAGACAGAAGCATTCTCAGAAACTTGTTTGTGACGTGTGTATTCAACTAACAGAGTTGAACCTTTCTTTTTACAGAGCAGCTTTGAAACACGCTTTTTGTGGAATCTGCAATTGGAAATTTCGATAGTTCTGAGGATTTCGTTGGAAACGGGATTACAAATAGAAAGTAGACAGCAGCATTCTCAGAAACTGCTTTGTGATGTTTGCATTCAAGTCACCTAGTTGAACATTCCCTTTCATAGAGCAGGTTTGAATCACTGTTTCTGTCGTATCTGGAAGTGGATATTTCGAGCGTTTTCAGGCCTAAGGTGAGAAAGGAAATGTCTTCAAATAAGAACTAGACAGAAGCATTCTCAGAAACTTATTTGTGATGTGTGTCCTCAACTAACAGAGTTGAACCTTTCTTTTGACACAGCAGTTTGGAAACACTCTTTTTGTAGAATCTACAAGTGGATATTTTGAGAGCATTGAAAATTTCGTTGGAAACGGGAAAACCTTCATATAAAATCTAGACAGAAGCATTCTCAGAAACTTCTTTGTAATGTTTGCATTCGACTCATAGAGTTGAACATTCCCTTTCATACAGCAGGTTTGAAACACTCTTTTTATAGTATGTGGAAGTGGACATTTGGAGCGCTTTGTGGCCTACGGTGAAAAAGGAAATATCTTCCCATAAAAACTAGACAGAAGCATTCTCAGAAACTTGTTTGTGACGTGTGTATTCAACTAACAGAGTTGAACCTTTCTTTTTACAGAGCAGCTTTGAAACCCTGTTTCTGTGGAATCTGCAATTGGAAATTTCGATAGATCTGAGGATTTCGTTGGAAACGGGATTACAAATAGAAAGTAGACAGCAGCATTCTCAGAAACTGCTTTGTGATGCTTGCATTCAAGTCACATTGTTGAACATTCCCTTTCATAGAGCAGGTTTGAAACACTGTTTCTGTAGTATCTGGAAGTGGGTATTTCGAGCACTTTCAGGCCTAAGGTGAGAAAGGAAATGTCTTCAAATAAGAACTAGACAGAAGCATTCTCAGAAACTTATTTGTGATGTGTGTCCTCAACTAACAGAGATGAACCTTTGTTTTGATACAGCAGTTTGGAAACACTCTTTTTGTAGAATCTACAAGAGGATATTTTGAGAGCATTGAAAATTTCGTTGGAAGCGGGAAAACCTTCATATAAAATCTAGACAGCAGCATTCTCAGAAACTTCTTTGTGATGTTTGCATTCAACTCATAGAGTTGAACATTCCCATTCATACAGCAGGTTTGAGACACTCTTTGTATAGCATGTGGAAATGGATATTTGGAGCGCTTTGAGGCCTATGGTGAAGAAGGAAATATCTTCCCAAAAAAACTAGACGAAAGCATTCTCGGAATCTTGTTTGCCATGTGTGTACTCAACTAACAGAGTTGAACCTATCTTTTGACAGAGCAGTTTTGAAACACTCTTTTTGTGGAATCTGCAAGTGGATATTTGGATAGCTTCGAGGATTTCGTTGGAAACGGGAATATCCTCATTTAAAACCTAGACGGAAGCATTCTCAGAACCTGCTTTGTGATGTTTGCATTCAACTCACAGAGCTGAACATTCCCGTTCATAGAGCAGGTTTGAAACACTCTTTCTGTACTATCTGGAAGTGGACATTTCGAGCGCTTTCAGGCCTATGGTGAAAAAGGAAACATCTTCAAATAAAAACTAGACAGAAGCATTCTCAGAAACTTATTTGTGATGTGTGTCCTCAACTCACAGAGTTCAACCTTTGTTTTGATACAGCAGTTTGGAAACACTCTTTTTGTAGAATCTACAAATGGATATTTGGAGACCTTTGAAAATTTCGTTGGACACGGGAATATCTTCATATAAAATCTAGACAAAAGCATTCTCAGAATCTTCTTTGTGATGTTTGCATTCAACTCATAGAGTTGAACATTCCCTTTCATACAGCACGTTTGAAACACACTTTGTGGAGTATGTGGAAATGGACATTTCGAGCACTCTTAGGCCTAAGGTGAAAAGGGAAATATCTTCAAATAAAAACTAGTCAGCAGCATTCTCAGAAACCTCTTTGTGATGTGTGTACTCAACTAACAGAGTTGAACCTTCCTTTTCACAGAGCAGTTTGGAAACACTCTTTTTGTGGCATTTGCAAGTGGATATTTGGATAGCTTTGAGGATTTCGTTGGAAACGGGAATATTTTCATATAAAATCTAGACAGAAGCATTCTCAGAATCTTCTTTGTGATGTATGCCCTCAATTCACAGAGTTGAACCTTTGTTTGGATACAGCATTTTGGAAACATTCCTTTTGTAGAATCTGCAAGTTGATATTTGGATAGCTTTGAGGATTTCGTTGGAAACGGGAATATCTACATATAAAATCTAGACAGAAGCATTCTCAGAAACCTCTTTGTAATGCTTGCATTCAACTCATAGGTTTCAACATTCCCTATCATAGAGCAGGTTTGAAACACTCTTTTTGTAGTATGTGGAAGTGGACATTTGGAGCGCTTTGAGGCCTACCGTGAAAAAGGAAATATCTTCCCATAAAAACTAGACAGAAGCATTCTCAGAAACTTGTTTGTGACGTGTGTATTCAACTAACAGAGTTGAACCTTTCTTTTTACAGAGCAGCTTTGAAACCCTGTTTCTGTGGAATCTGCAATTGGAAATTTCGATAGTTCTGAGGATTTCGTTGGAAACGGGATACAAATAGAAAGTAGACAGCAGCATTCTCAGAAACTGCTTTGTGATGTTTGCATTCAAGTCACCTAGTTGAACATTCCCTTTCATAGAGCAGGTTTGAATCACTGTTTCTGTCGTATCTGGAAGTGGATATTTCGAGCGTTTTCAGGCCTAAGGTGAGAAAGGAAATGTCTTCAAATAAGAACTAGACAGAAGCATTCTCAGAAACTTATTTGTGATGTGTGTCCTCAACTAACAGAGTTGAACCTTTCTTTTGACACAGCAGTTTGGAAACACTCTTTTTGTAGAATCTACAAGTGCATATTTTGAGAGCATTGAAAATTTCGTTGGAAACGGGAAAACCTTCATATAAAATCTAGACAGAAGCATTCTCAGAAACTTCTTTGTAATGTTTGCATTCAACTCATAGAGTTGAACATTCCCTTTCATACACCAGGTTTGAAACACTCTTTTTGTAGTATGTGGAAGTGGACATTTGGAGCGCTTTGAGGCCTACGGTGAAAAAGGAAATATCTTCCCATAAAAACTAGACAGAAGCATTCTCAGAAACTTGTTTGTGACGTGTGTATTCAACTAACAGAGTTGAACCTTTCTTTTTACAGAGCAGCTTTGAAACCCTGTTTCTGTGGAATCTGCAATTGGAAATTTCGATAGTTCTGAGGATTTCGTTGCAAACGGGATTACAAATAGAAAGTAGACAGCAGCATTCTCAGAAACTGCTTTGTGATGTTTGCATTCAAGTCACCTAGTTGAACATTCCCTTTCATAGAGCAGGTTTGAATCACTGTTTCTGTAGTATCTGGAAGTGGGTATTTCGAGCGCTTTCAGGCCTAAGGTGAGAAAGGAAATGTCTTCAAATAAGAACTAGACAGAAGCATTCTCAGAAACTTATTTGTGATGTGTGTCCTCAACTAACAGAGATGAACCTTTGTTTTGATACAGCAGTTTGGAAACACTCTTTTTGTAGAATCTACAAGAGGATATTTTGAGAGCATTGAAAATTTCGTTGGAAGCGGGAAAACCTTCATATAAAATCTAGACAGCAGCATTCTCAGAAACTTCTTTGTGATGTTTGCATTCAACTCATAGAGTTGAACATTCCCATTCATACAGCAGGTTTGAGACACTCTTTGTATAGCATGTGGAAATGGATATTTGGAGCGCTTTGAGGCCTATGGTGAAGAAGGAAATATCTTCCCAAAAAAACTAGACGAAAGCATTCTCGGAATCTTGTTTGCCATGTGTGTACTCAACTAACAGAGTTGAACCTATCTTTTGACAGAGCAGTTTTGAAACACTCTTTTTGTGGAATCTGCAAGTGGATATTTGGATAGCTTCGAGGATTTCGTTGGAAACGGGAATATCCTCATTTAAAATCCTAGACGGAAGCATTCTCAGAACCTGCTTTGTGATGTTTGCATTCAACTCACGGAGCTGAACATTCCCGTTCATAGAGCAGGTTTGAAACACTCTTTCTGTACTATCTGGAAGTGGACATTTCGAGCACTTTCAGGCCTATGGTGAAAAAGGAAACATCTTCAAATAAAAACTAGACAGAAGCATTCTCAGAAACTTATTTGTGATGTGTGTCCTCAACTCACAGAGTTCAACCTTTGTTTTGATACAGCAGTTTGGAAACACTCTTTTTGTAGAATCTACAAATGGATATTTGGAGACCTTTGAAAATTTCGTTGGACACGGGAATATCTTCATATAAAATCTAGACAAAAGCATTCTCAGAATCTTCTTTGTGATGTTTGCATTCAACTCATAGAGTTGAACATTCCCTTTCATACAGCACGTTTGAAACACACTTTGTGGAGTATGTGGAAATGGACATTTCGAGCACTCTTAGGCCTAAGGTGAAAAGGGAAATATCTTCAAATAAAAACTAGTCAGCAGCATTCTCAGAAACCTCTTTGTGATGTGTGTACTCAACTAACAGAGTTGAACCTTCCTTTTCACAGAGCAGTTTGGAAACACTCTTTTTGTGGCATTTGCAAGTGGATATTTGGATAGCTTTGAGGATTTCGTTGGAAACGGGAATATTTTCATATAAAATCTAGACAGGAAAGCATTCTCAGAATCTTCTTTGTGATGTATGCCCTCAATTCACAGAGTTGAACCTTTGTTTGGATACAGCATTTTGGAAACATTCCTTTTGTAGAATCTGCAAGTTGATATTTGGATAGCTTTGAGGATTTCATTGGAAACGGGAATATCTACATATAAAATCTAGACAGAAGCATTCTCAGAAACCTCTTTGTAATGCTTGCATTCAACTCATAGGTTTCAACATTCCCTATCATAGAGCAGGTTTGAAACACTCTTTTTGTAGTATGTGGAAGTGGACATTTGGAGCGCTTTGAGGCCTACGGTGAAAAAGGAAATATCTTCCCATAAAAACTAGACAGAAGCATTCTCAGAAACTTGTTTGTGACGTGTGTATTCAACAAACAGAGTTGAACCTTTCTTTTTACAGAGCAGCTTTGAAACACGCTTTTT
The DNA here is from genome assembly GCF_000001405.40 of Homo sapiens. Lineage (NCBI taxonomy): Eukaryota > Metazoa > Chordata > Mammalia > Primates > Hominidae > Homo > Homo sapiens. The sequence continues at coordinate 18,864,332 of NC_000015.10, forward strand.
GTGGAATCTGCAATTGGAAATTTCGATAGTTCTGAGGATTTCGTTGGAAACGGGATTACAAATAGAAAGTAGACAGCAGCATTCTCAGAAACTGCTTTGTGATGTTTGCATTCAAGTCACCTAGTAGAACATTCCCTTTCATAGAGCAGGTTTGAATCACTGATTCTGTCGTATCTGGAAGTGGATATTTCGAGCGTTTTCAGGCCTAAGGTGAGAAAGGAAATGTCTTCAAATAAGAACTAGACAGAAGCATTCTCAGAAACTTATTTGTGATGTGTGTCCTCAACTAACAGAGTTGAACCTTTCTTTTGACACAGCAGTTTGGAAACACTCTTTTTGTAGAATCTACAAGTGGATATTTTGAGAGCATTGAAAATTTCGTTGGAAACGGGAAAACCTTCATATAAAATCTAGACAGAAGCATTCTCAGAAACTTCTTTGTAATGTTTGCATTCAACTCATAGAGTTGAACATTCCCTTTCATACAGCAGGTTTGAAACACTCTTTTTGTAGTATGTGGAAGTGGACATTTGGAGCGCTTTGAGGCCTACGGTGAAAAAGGAAATATCTTCCCATAAAAACTAGACAGAAGCAATCTCAGAAACTTGTTTGTGACGTGTGTATTCAACTAACAGAGTTGAACCTTTCTTTTTACAGAGCAGCTTTGAAACACGCTTTTTGTGGAATCTGCAATTGGAAATTTCGATAGTTCTGAGGATTTCGTTGGAAACGGGATTACAAATAGAAAGTAGACAGCAGCATTCTCAGAAACTGCTTTGTGATGTTTGCATTCAAGTCACCTAGTTGAACATTCCCTTTCATAGAGCAGGTTTGAATCACAGTTTCTGTCGTATCTGGAAGTGGGTATTTCGAGCGCTTTCAGGCCTAAGGTGAGAAAGGAAATGTCTTCAAATAAGAACTAGACAGAAGCATTCTCAGAAACTTATTTGTGATGTGTGTCCTCAACTAACAGAGATGAACCTTTGTTTTGATACAGCAGTTTGGAAACACTCTTTTTGTAGAATCTACAAGAGGATATTTTGAGAGCATTGAAAATTTCGTTGGAAGCGGGAAAACCTTCATATAAAATCTAGACAGCAGCATTCTCAGAAACTTCTTTGTGATGTTTGCATTCAACTCATAGAGTTGAACATTCCCATTCATACAGCAGGTTTGAGACACTCTTTGTATAGCATGTGGAAATGGATATTTGGAGCGCTTTGAGGCCTATGGTGAAGAAGGAAATATCTTCCCAAAAAAACTAGACGAAAGCATTCTCGGAATCTTGTTTGCCATGTGTGTACTCAACTAACAGAGTTGAACCTATCTTTTGACAGAGCAGTTTTGAAACACTCTTTTTGTGGAATCTGCAAGTGGATATTTGGATAGCTTCGAGGATTTCGTTGGAAACGGGAATATCCTCATTTAAAATCTAGACGGAAGCATTCTCAGAACCTGCTTTGTGATGTTTGCATTCAACTCACAGAGCTGAACATTCCCGTTCATAGAGCAGGTTTGAAACACTCTTTCTGTACTATCTGGAAGTGGACATTTCGAGCGCTTTCAGGCCTATGGTGAAAAAGGAAACATCTTCAAATAAAAACTAGACAGAAGCATTCTCAGAAACTTATTTGTGATGTGTGTCCTCAACTCACAGAGTTCAACCTTTGTTTTGATACAGCAGTTTGGAAACACTCTTTTTGTAGAATCTACAAATGGATATTTGGAGACCTTTGAAAATTTCATTGGACACGGGAATATCTTCATATAAAATCTAGACAAAAGCATTCTCAGAATCTTCTTTGTGATGTTTGCATTCAACTCATAGAGTTGAACATTCCCTTTCATACAGCACGTTTGAAACACACTTTGTGGAATATGTGGAAATGGACATTTCGAGCACTCTTAGGCCTAAGGTGAAAAGGGAAATATCTTCAAATAAAAACTAGTCAGCAGCATTCTCAGAAACCTCTTTGTGATGTGTGTACTCAACTAACAGAGTTGAACCTTCCTTTTCACAGAGCAGTTTGGAAACACTCTTTTTGTGGCATTTGCAAGTGGATATTTGGATAGCTTTGAGGATTTCGTTGGAAACGGGAATATTTTCATATAAAATCTAGACAGAAGCATTCTCAGAATCTTCTTTGTGATGTATGCCCTCAATTCACAGAGTTGAACCTTTGTTTGGATACAGCATTTTGGAAACATTCCTTTTGTAGAATCTGCAAGTTGATATTTGGATAGCTTTGAGGATTTCGTTGGAAACGGGAATATCTACATATAAAATCTAGACAGAAGCATTCTCAGAAACCTCTTTGTAATGCTTGCATTCAACTCATAGGTTTCAACATTCCCTATCATAGAGCAGGTTTGAAACACTCTTTTTGTAGTATGTGGAAGTGGACATTTGGAGCGCTTTGAGGCCTACGGTGAAAAAGGAAATATCTTCCCATAAAAACTAGACAGAAGCATTCTCAGAAACTTGTTTGTGACGTGTGTATTCAACTAACAGAGTTGAACCTTTCTTTTTACAGAGCAGCTTTGAAACACGCTTTTTGTGGAATCTGCAATTGGAAATTTCGATAGTTCTGAGGATTTCGTTGGAAACGGGATTACAAAGAGAAAGTAGACAGCAGCATTCTCAGCAAACTTATTTGTGATGTGTGTCCTCAACTAACAGAGTTGAACCTTTCTTTTGACACAGCAGTTTGGAAACACTCTTTTTGTAGAATCTACAAGTGGATATTTTGAGAGCATTGAAAATTTCGTTGGAAACGGGAAAACCTTCATATAAAATCTAGACAGAAGCATTCTCAGAAACTTCTTTGTAATGTTTGCATTCAACTCATAGAGTTGAACATTCCCTTTCATACAGCAGGTTTGAAACACTCTTTTTGTAGTATGTGGAAGTGGACATTTGGAGCGCTTTGAGGCCTACGGTGAAAAAGGAAATATCTTCCCATAAAAACTAGACAGAAGCATTCTCAGAAACTTGTTTGTGACGTGTGTATTCAACTAACAGAGTTGAACCTTTCTTTTTACAGAGCAGCTTTGAAACCCTGTTTCTGTGGAATCTGCAATTGGAAATTTCGATAGTTCTGAGGATTTCGTTGGAAACGGGATTACAAATAGAAAGTAGACAGCAGCATTCTCAGAAACTGCTTTGTGATGTTTGCATTCAAGTCACCTAGTTGAACATTCCCTTTCATAGAGCAGGTTTGAATCACTGTTTCTGTAGTATCTGGAAGTGGGTATTACGAGCGCTTTCAGGCCTAAGGTGAGAAAGGAAATGTCTTCAAATAAGAACTAGACAGAAGCATTCTCAGAAACTTATTTGTGATGTGTGTCCTCAACTAACAGAGATGAACCTTTGTTTTGATACAGCAGTTTGGAAACACTCTTTTTGTAGAATCTACAAGAGGATATTTTGAGAGCATTGAAAATTTCGTTGGAAGCGGGAAAACCTTCATATAAAATCTAGACAGCAGCATTCTCAGAAACTTCTCTGTGATGTTTGCATTCAACTCATAGAGTTGAACATTCCCATTCATACAGCAGGTTTGAGACACTCTTTGTATAGCATGTGGAAATGGATATTTGGAGCGCTTTGAGGCCTATGGTGAAGAAGGAAATATCTTCCCAAAAAAACTAGACGAAAGCATTCTCGCAATCTTGTTTGCCATGTGTGTACTCAACTAACAGAGTTGAACCTATCTTTTGACAGAGCAGTTTTGAAACACTCTTTTTGTGGAATCTGCAAGTGGATATTTGGATAGCTTCGAGGATTTCGTTGGAAACGGGAATATCCTCATTTAAAATCTAGACGGAAGCATTCTCAGAACCTGCTTTGTGATGTTTGCATTCAACTCACAGAGCTGAACATTCCCGTTCATAGAGCAGGTTTGAAACACTCTTTCTGTACTATCTGGAAGTGGACATTTCGAGCGCTTTCAGGCCTATGGTGAAAAAGGAAACATCTTCAAATAAAAACTAGACAGAAGCATTCTCAGAAACTTATTTGTGATGTGTGTCCTCAACTCACAGAGTTCAACCTTTGTTTTGATACAGCAGTTTGGAAACACTCTTTTTGTAGAATCTACAAATGGATATTTGGAGACCTTTGAAAATTTCGTTGGACACGGGAATATCTTCATATAAAATCTAGACAAAAGCATTCTCAGAATCTTCTTTGTGATGTTTGCATTCAACTCATAGAGTTGAACATTCTCTTTCATACAGCACGTTTGAAACACACTTTGTGGAGTATGTGGAAATGGACATTTCGAGCACTCTTAGGCCTAAGGTGAAAAGGGAAATATCTTCAAATAAAAACTAGTCAGCAGCATTCTCAGAAACCTCTTTGTGATGTGTGTACTCAACTAACAGAGTTGAACCTTCCTTTTCACAGAGCAGTTTGGAAACACTCTTTTTGTAGAATCTACAAGTGGATATTTTGAGAGCATTGAAAATTTCGTTGGAAACGGGAAAACCTTCATATAAAATCTAGACAGAAGCATTCTCAGAAACTTCTTTGTAATGTTTGCATTCGACTCATAGAGTTGAACATTCCCTTTCATACAGCAGGTTTGAAACACTCTTTTTGTAGTATGTGGAAGTGGACATTTGGAGCGCTTTGAGGCCTACGGTGAAAAAGGAAATATCTTCCCATAAAAACTAGACAGAAGCATTCTCAGAAACTTGTTTGTGACGTGTGTATTCAACTAACAGAGTTGAACCTTTCTTTTTACAGAGCAGCTTTGAAACCCTGTTTCTGTGGAATCTGCAATTGGAAATTTCGATAGTTCTGAGGATTTCGTTGGAAACGGGATTACAAATAGAAAGTAGACAGCAGCATTCTCAGAAACTGCTTTGTGATGTTTGCATTCAAGTCACATAGTTGAACATTCCCTTTCATAGAGCAGGTTTGAATCACTGTTTCTGTAGTATCTGGAAGTGGGTATTTCGAGCGCTTTCAGGCCTAAGGTGAGAAAGGAAATGTCTTCAAATAAGAACTAGACAGAAGCATTCTCAGAAACTTATTTGTGATGTGTGTCCTCAACTAACAGAGATGAACCTTTGTTTTGATACAGCAGTTTGGAAACACTCTTTTTGTAGAATCTACAAGAGGATATTTTGAGAGCATTGAAAATTTCGTTGGAAGCGGGAAAACCTTCATATAAAATCTAGACAGCAGCATTCTCAGAAACTTCTTTGTGATGTTTGCATTCAACTCATAGAGTTGAACATTCCCATTCATACAGCAGGTTTGAGACACTCTTTGTATAGCATGTGGAAATGGATATTTGGAGCGCTTTGAGGCCTATGGTGAAGAAGGAAATATCTTCCCAAAAAAACTAGACGAAAGCATTCTCGGAATCTTGTTTGCCATGTGTGTACTCAACTAACAGAGTTGAACCTATCTTTTGACAGAGCAGTTTTGAAACACTCTTTTTGTGGAATCTGCAAGTGGATATTTGGATAGCTTCGAGGATTTCGTTGGAAACGGGAATATCCTCATTTAAAATCTAGACGGAAGCATTCTCAGAACCTGCTTTGTGATGTTTGCATTCAACTCACAGAGCTGAACATTCCCGTTCATAGAGCAGGTTTGAAACACTCTTTCTGTACTATCTGGAAGTGGACATTTCGAGCGCTTTCAGGCCTATGGTGAAAAAGGAAACATCTTCAAATAAAAACTAGACAGAAGCATTCTCAGAAACTTATTTGTGATGTGTGTCCTCAACTCACAGAGTTCAACCTTTGTTTTGATACAGCAGTTTGGAAACACTCTTTTTGTAGAATCAACAAATGGGTATTTGGAGACCTTTGAAAATTTCGTTGGACACGGGAATATCTTCATATAAAATCTAGACAAAAGCATTCTCAGAATCTTCTTTGTGATGTTTGCATTCAACTCATAGAGTTGAACATTCCCTTTCATACAGCACGTTTGAAACACACTTTGTGGAGTATGTGGAAATGGACATTTCGAGCACTCTTAGGCCTAAGGTGAAAAGGGAAATATCTTCAAATAAAAACTAGTCAGCAGCATTCTCAGAAACCTCTTTGTGATGTGTGTACTCAACTAACAGAGTTGAACCTTCCTTTTCACAGAGCAGTTTGGAAACACTCTTTTTGTGGCATTTGCAAGTGGATATTTGGATAGCTTTGAGGATTTCGTTGGAAACGGGAATATTTTCATATAAAATCTAGACAGAAGCATTCTCAGAATCTTCTTTGTGATGTATGCCCTCAATTCACAGAGTTGAACCTTTGTTTGGATACAGCATTTTGGAAACATTCCTTTTGTAGAATCTGCAAGTTGATATTTGGATAGTTTGAGGATTTCGTTGGAAACGGGAATATCTACATATAAAATCTAGACAGAAGCATTCTCAGAAACCTCTTTGTAATGCTTGCATTCAACTCATAGGTTTCAACATTCCCTATCATAGAGCAGGTTTGAAACACTCTTTTTGTAGTATGTGGAAGTGGACATTTGGAGCGCTTTGAGGCCTACCGTGAAAAAGGAAATATCTTCCCATAAAAACTAGACAGAAGCATTCTCAGAAACTTGTTTGTGACGTGTGTATTCAACTAACAGAGTTGAACCTTTCTTTTTACAGAGCAGCTTTGAAACCCTGTTTCTGTGGAATCTGCAATTGGAAATTTCGATAGTTCTGAGGATTTCGTTGCAAACGGGATTACAAATAGAAAGTAGACAGCAGCATTCTCAGAAACTGCTTTGTGATGTTTGCATTCAAGTCACCTAGTTGAACATTCCCTTTCATAGAGCAGGTTTGAATCACTGTTTCTGTAGTATCTGGAAGTGGGTATTTCGAGCGCTTTCAGGCCTAAGGTGAGAAAGGAAATGTCTTCAAATAAGAACTAGACAGAAGCATTCTCAGAAACTTATTTGTGATGTGTGTCCTCAACTAACAGAGATGAACCTTTGTTTTGATACAGCAGTTTGGAAACACTCTTTTTGTAGAATCTACAAGAGGATATTTTGAGAGCATTGAAAATTTCGTTGGAAGCGGGAAAACCTTCATATAAAATCTAGACAGCCAGCATTCTCAGCAAACTTCTTTGTGATGTTTGCATTCAACTCATAGAGTTGAACATTCCCATTCATACAGCAGGTTTGAGACACTCTTTGTATAGCATGTGGAAATGGATATTTGGAGCGCTTTGAGGCCTATGGTGAAGAAGGAAATATCTTCCCAAAAAAACTAGACGAAAGCATTCTCGGAATCTTGTTTGCCATGTGTGTACTCAACTAACAGAGTTGAACCTATCTTTTGACAGAGCAGTTTTGAAACACTCTTTTTGTGGAATCTGGAAATGGATATTTGGAAAGCTTCGAGGATTTCGTTGGAAACGGGAATATCCTCATATAACATCTAGACGGAAGCATTCTCAGAACCTGCTTTGTGATGTTTGCATTCAACTCACAGAGCTGAACATTCCCGTTCATAGAGCAGGTTTGAAACACTCTTTCTGTACTATCTGGAAGTGGACATTTCGAGCGCTTTCAGGCCTATGGTGAAAAAGGAAACATCTTCAAATAAAAACTAGACAGGAAGCATTCTCAGAAACTTATTTGTGATGTGTGTCCTCAACTCACAGAGTTCAACCTTTGTTTTGATACAGCAGTTTGGAAACACTCTTTTTGTAGAATCTACAAATGGATATTTGGAGACCTTTGAAAATTTCGTTGGACACGGGAATATCTTCATATAAAATCTAGACAAAAGCATTCTCAGAATCTTCTTTGTGATGTTTGCATTCAACTCATAGAGTTGAACATTCCCTTTCATACAGCACGTTTGAAACACACTTTGTGGAGTATGTGGAAATGGACATTTCGAGCACTCTTAGGCCTAAGGTGAAAAGGGAAATATCTTCAAATAAAAACTAGTCAGCAGCATTCTCAGAAACCTCTTTGTGATGTGTGTACTCAACTAACAGAGTTGAACCTTCCTTTTCACAGAGCAGTTTGGAAACACTCTTTTTGTGGCATTTGCAAGTGGATATTTGGATAGCTTTGAGGATTTCGTTGGAAACGGGAATATTTTCATATAAAATCTAGACAGAAGCATTCTCAGAATCTTCTTTGTGATGTATGCCCTCAATTCACAGAGTTGAACCTTTGTTTGGATACAGCATTTTGGAAACATTCCTTTTGTAGAATCTGCAAGTTGATATTTGGATAGTTTGAGGATTTCGTTGGAAACGGGAATATCTACATATAAAGTCTAGACAGAAGCATTCTCAGAAACCTCTTTGTAATGCTTGCATTCAACTCATAGGTTTCAACATTCCCTATCATAGAGCAGGTTTGAAACACTCTTTTTGTAGTATGTGGAAGTGGACATTTGGAGCGCTTTGAGGCCTACGGTGAAAAAGGAAATATCTTCCCATAAAAACTAGACAGAAGCATTCTCAGAAACTTGTTTGTGACGTGTGTATTCAACTAACAGAGTTGAACCTTTCTTTTTACAGAGCAGCTTTGAAACACGCTTTTTGTGGAATCTGCAATTGGAAATTTCGATAGTTCTGAGGATTTCGTTGGAAACGGGATTACAAATAGAAAGTAGACAGCAGCATTCTCAGAAACTGCTTTGTGATGTTTGCATTCAAGTCACCTAGTTGAACATTCCCTTTCATAGAGCAGGTTTGAATCACTGTTTCTGTCGTATCTGGAAGTGGATATTTCGAGCGTTTTCAGGCCTAAGGTGAGAAAGGAAATGTCTTCAAATAAGAACTAGACAGAAGCATTCTCAGAAACTTATTTGTGATGTGTGTCCTCAACTAACAGAGTTGAACCTTTCTTTTGACACAGCAGTTTGGAAACACTCTTTTTGTAGAATCTACAAGTGGATATTTTGAGAGCATTGAAAATTTCGTTGGAAACGGGAAAACCTTCATATAAAATCTAGACAGAAGCATTCTCAGAAACTTCTTTGTAATGTTTGCATTCAACTCATAGAGTTGAACATTCCCTTTCATACAGCAGGTTTGAAACACTCTTTTTGTAGTATGTGGAAGTGGACATTTGGAGCGCTTTGAGGCCTACGGTGAAAAAGGAAATATCTTCCCATAAAAACTAGACAGAAGCATTCTCAGAAACTTGTTTGTGACGTGTGTATTCAACTAACAGAGTTGAACCTTTCTTTTTACAGAGCAGCTTTGAAACCCTGTTTCTGTGGAATCTGCAATTGGAAATTTCGATAGTTCTGAGGATTTTGTTGGAAACGGGATTACAAATAGAAAGTAGACAGCAGCATTCTCAGAAACTGCTTTGTGATGTTTGCATTCAAGTCACCTAGTTGAACATTCCCTTTCATAGAGCAGGTTTGAGTCACTGTTTCTGTAGTATCTGGAAGTGGGTATTTCGAGCGCTTTCAGGCCTAAGGTGAGAAAGGAAATGTCTTCAAATAAGAACTAGACAGAAGCATTCTCAGAAACTTATTTGTGATGTGTGTCCTCAACTAACAGAGATGAACCTTTGTTTTGATACAGCAGTTTGGAAACACTCTTTTTGTAGAATCTACAAGAGGATATTTTGAGAGCATTGAAAATTTCGTTGGAAGCGGGAAAACCTTCATATAAAATCTAGACAGCAGCATTCTCAGAAACTTCTTTGTGATGTTTGCATTCAACTCATAGAGTTGAACATTCCCATTCATACAGCAGGTTTGAGACACTCTTTGTATAGCATGTGGAAATGGATATTTGGAGCGCTTTGAGGCCTATGGTGAAGAAGGAAATATCTTCCCAAAAAAACTAGACGAAAGCATTCTCGCAATCTTGTTTGCCATGTGTGTACTCAACTAACAGAGTTGAACCTATCTTTTGACAGAGCAGTTTTGAAACACTCTTTTTGTGGAATCTGCAAGTGGATATTTGGATAGCTTCGAGGATTTCGTTGGAAACGGGAATATCCTCATTTAAAATCTAGACGGAAGCATTCTCAGAACCTGCTTTGTGATGTTTGCATTCAACTCACAGAGCTGAACATTCCCGTTCATAGAGCAGGTTTGAAACACTCTTTCTGTACTATCTGGAAGTGGACATTTCGAGCGCTTTCAGGCCTATGGTGAAAAAGGAAACATCTTCAAATAAAAACTAGACAGAAGCATTCTCAGAAACTTATTTGTGATGTGTGTCCTCAACTCACAGAGTTCAACCTTTGTTTTGATACAGCAGTTTGGAAACACTCTTTTTGTAGAATCTACAAATGGATATTTGGAGACCTTTGAAAATTTCGTTGGACACGGGAATATCTTCATATAAAATCTAGACAAAAGCATTCTCAGAATCTTCTTTGTGATGTTTGCATTCAACTCATAGAGTTGAACATTCCCTTTCATACAGCACGTTTGAAACACACTTTGTGGAGTATGTGGAAATGGACATTTCGAGCACTCTTAGGCCTAAGGTGAAAAGGGAAATATCTTCAAATAAAACTAGTCAGCCAGCATTCTCAGAACCTCTTTGTGTTGTGTGTACTCAACTAACAGAGTTGAACCTTCCTTTTCACAGAGCAGTTTGGAAACACTCTTTTTGTGGCATTTGCAAGTGGATATTTGGATAGCTTTGAGGATTTCGTTGGAAACGGGAATATTTTCATATAAAATCTAGACAGAGCATTCTCAGAATCTTCTTTGTGATGTATGTCCTCAATTCACAGAGTTGAACCTTTGTTTGGATACAGCATTTTGGAAACATTCCTTTTGTAGAATCTGCAAGTTGATATTTGGATAGCTTTGAGGATTTCGTTGGAAACGGGAATATCTACATATAAAATCTAGACAGAAGCATTCTCAGAAACCTCTTTGTAATGCTTGCATTCAACTCATAGGTTTCAACATTCCCTATCATAGAGCAGGTTTGAAACACTCTTTTTGTAGTATGTGGAAGTGGACATTTGGAGCGCTTTGAGGCCTACGGTGAAAAAGGAAATATCTTCCCATAAAAACTAGACAGAAGCATTCTCAGAAACTTGTTTGTGACGTGTGTATTCAACTAACAGAGTTGAACCTTTCTTTTTACAGAGCAGCTTTGAAACACGCTTTTTGTGGAATCTGCAATTGGAAATTTCGATAGTTCTGAGGATTTCGTTGGAAACGGGATTACAAATAGAAAGTAGACAGCAGCATTCTCAGAAACTGCTTTGTGATGTTTGCATTCAAGTCACCTAGTTGAACATTCCCTTTCATAGAGCAGGTTTGAATCACTGTTTCTGTCGTATCTGGAAGTGGATATTTCGAGCGTTTTCAGGCCTAAGGTGAGAAAGGAAATGTCTTCAAATAAGAACTAGACAGAAGCATTCTCAGAAACTTATTTGTGATGTGTGTCCTCAACTAACAGAGTTGAACCTTTCTTTTGACACAGCAGTTTGGAAACACTCTTTTTGTAGAATCTACAAGTGGATATTTTCAGAGCATTGAAAATTTCGTTGGAAACGGGAAAACCTTCATATAAAATCTAGACAGAAGCATTCTCAGAAACTTCTTTGTAATGTTTGCATTCAACTCATAGAGTTGAACATTCCCTTTCATACAGCAGGTTTGAAACACTCTTTTTGTAGTATGTGGAAGTGGACATTTGGAGCGCTTTGAGGCCTACGGTGAAAAAGGAAATATCTTCCCATAAAAACTAGACAGAAGCATTCTCAGAAACTTGTTTGTGACGTGTGTATTCAACTAACAGAGTTGAACCTTTCTTTTTACAGAGCAGCTTTGAAACCCTGTTTCTGTGGAATCTGCAATTGGAAATTTCGATAGTTCTGAGGATTTCGTTGGAAACGGGATTACAAATAGAAAGTAGACAGCAGCATTCTCAGAAACTGCTTTGTGATGTTTGCATTCAAGTCACCTAGTTGAACATTCCTTTTCATAGAGCAGGTTTGAATCACTGTTTCTGTAGTATCTGGAAGTGGGTATTTCGAGCGCTTTCAGGCCTAAGGTGAGAAAGGAAATGTCTTCAAATAAGAACTAGACAGAAGCATTCTCAGAAACTTATTTGTGATGTGTGTCCTCAACTAACAGAGATGAACCTTTGTTTTGATACAGCAGTTTGGAAACACTCTTTTTGTAGAATCTACAAGAGGATATTTTGAGAGCATTGAAAATTTCGTTGGAAGCGGGAAAACCTTCATATAAAATCTAGACAGCAGCATTCTCAGAAACTTCTTTGTGATGTTTGCATTCAACTCATAGAGTTGAACATTCCCATTCATACAGCAGGTTTGAGACACTCTTTGTATAGCATGTGGAAATGGATATTTGGAGCGCTTTGAGGCCTATGGTGAAGAAGGAAATATCTTCCCAAAAAAACTAGACGAAAGCATTCTCGGAATCTTGTTTGCCATGTGTGTACTCAACTAACAGAGTTGAACCTATCTTTTGACAGAGCAGTTTTGAAACACTCTTTTTGTGGAATCTGCAAGTGGATATTTGGATAGCTTCGAGGATTTCGTTGGAAACGGGAATATCCTCATTTAAAATCTAGACGGAAGCATTCTCAGAACCTGCTTTGTGATGTTTGCATTCAACTCACAGAGCTGAACATTCCCGTTCATAGAGCAGGTTTGAAACACTCTTTCTGTACTATCTGGAAGTGGACATTTCGAGCGCTTTCAGGCCTATGGTGAAAAAGGAAATATCTTCAAATAAAAACTAGACAGAAGCATTCTCAGAAACTTATTTGTGATGTGTGTCCTCAACTCACAGAGTTCAACCTTTGTTTTGATACAGCAGTTTGGAAACACTCTTTTTGTAGAAACTACAAATGGATATTTGGAGACCTTTGAAAATTTCGTTGGACACGGGAATATCTTCATATAAAATCTAGACAAAAGCATTCTCAGAATCTTCTTTGTGATGTTTGCATTCAACTCATAGAGTTGAACATTCCCTTTCATACAGCACGTTTGAAACACACTTTGTGGAGTATGTGGAAATGGACATTTCGAGCACTCTTAGGCCTAAGGTGAAAAGAGAAATATCTTCAAATAAAAACTAGTCAGCAGCATTCTCAGAAACCTCTTTGTGATGTGTGTACTCAACTAACAGAGTTGAACCTTCCTTTTCACAGAGCAGTTTGGAAACACTCTTTTTGTGGCATTTGCAAGTGGATATTTGGATAGCTTTGAGGATTTCGTTGGAAACGGGAATATTTTCATATAAAATCTAGACAGAAGCATTCTCAGAATCTTCTTTGTGATGTATGCCCTCAATTCACAGAGTTGAACCTTTGTTTGGATACAGCATTTTGGAAACATTCCTTTTGTAGAATCTGCAAGTTGATATTTGGATAGCTTTGAGGATTTCGTTGGAAACGGGAATATCTACATATAAAATCTAGACAGAAGCATTCTCAGAAACTTCTTTGTAATGCTTGCATTCAACTCATAGGTTTCAACATTCCCTATCATAGAGCAGGTTTGAAACACTCTTTTTGTAGTATGTGGAAGTGGACATTTGGAGCGCCTTGAGGCCTACGGTGAAAAAGGAAATATCTTCCCATAGAAACTAGACAGAAGCATTCTCAGAAACTTGTTTGTGACGTGTGTATTCAACTAACAGAGTTGAACCTTTCTTTTTACAGAGCAGCTTTGAAACACGCTTTTTGTGGAATCTGCAATTGGAAATTTCGATAGTTCTGAGGATTTCGTTGGAAACGGGATTACAAATAGAAAGTAGACAGCAGCATTCTCAGAAACTGCTTTGTGATGTTTGCATTCAAGTCACCTAGTTGAACATTCCCTTTCATAGAGCAGGTTTGAATCACTGTTTCTGTCGTATCTGGAAGTGGATATTTCGAGCGTTTTCAGGCCTAAGGTGAGAAAGGAAATGTCTTCAAATAAGAACTAGACAGAAGCATTCTCAGAAACTTATTTGTGATGTGTGTCCTCAACTAACAGAGTTGAACCTTTCTTTTGACACAGCAGTTTGGAAACACTCTTTTTGTAGAATCTACAAGTGGATATTTTGAGAGCATTGAAAATTTCGTTGGAAACGGGAAAACCTTCATATAAAATCTAGACAGAAGCATTCTCAGAAACTTCTTTGTAATGTTTGCATTCAACTCATAGAGTTGAACATTCCCTTTCATACAGCAGGTTTGAAACACTCTTTTTGTAGTATGTGGACGTGGACATTTGGAGCGCTTTGAGGCCTACGGTGAAAAAGGAAATATCTTCCCATAAAAACTAGACAGAAGCATTCTCAGAAACTTGTTTGTGACGTGTGTATTCAACTAACAGAGTTGAACCTTTCTTTTTACAGAGCAGCTTTGAAACCCTGTTTCTGTGGAATCTGCAATTGGAAATTTCGATAGTTCTGAGGATTTCGTTGGAAACGGGATTACAAATAGAAAGTAGACAGCAGCATTCTCAGAAACTGCTTTGTGATGTTTGCATTCAAGTCACCTAGTTGAACATTCCCTTTCATAGAGCAGGTTTGAATCACTGTTTCTGTAGTATCTGGAAGTGGGTATTTCGAGCGCTTTCAGGCCTAAGGTGAGAAAGGAAATGTCTTCAAATAAGAACTAGACAGAAGCATTCTCAGAAACTTATTTGTGATGTGTGTCCTCAACTAACAGAGATGAACCTTTGTTTTGATACAGCAGTTTGGAAACACTCTTTTTGTAGAATCTACAAGAGGATATTTTGAGAGCATTGAAAATTTCGTTGGAAGCGGGAAAACCTTCATATAAAATCTAGACAGCAGCATTCTCAGAAACTTCTTTGTGATGTTTGCATTCAACTCATAGAGTTGAACATTCCCATTCATACAGCAGGTTTGAGACACTCTTTGTATAGCATGTGGAAATGGATATTTGGAGCGCTTTGAGGCCTATGGTGAAGAAGGAAATATCTTCCCAAAAAAACTAGACGAAAGCATTCTCGGAATCTTGTTTGCCATGTGTGTACTCAACTAACAGAGTTGAACCTATCTTTTGACAGAGCAGTTTTGAAACACTCTTTTTGTGGAATCTGCAAGTGGATATTTGGATAGCTTCGAGGATTTCGTTGGAAACGGGAATATCCTCATTTAAAATCTAGACGGAAGCATTCTCAGAACCTGCTTTGTGATGTTTGCATTCAACTCACAGAGCTGAACATTCCCGTTCATAGAGCAGGTTTGAAACACTCTTTCTGTACTATCTGGAAGTGGACATTTCGAGCGCTTTCAGGCCTATGGTGAAAAAGGAAACA
Organism: Homo sapiens; assembly: GCF_000001405.40. Classification (NCBI taxonomy): domain Eukaryota; kingdom Metazoa; phylum Chordata; class Mammalia; order Primates; family Hominidae; genus Homo; species Homo sapiens. The sequence continues at coordinate 18,879,561 of NC_000015.10, forward strand.
TCTTCAAATAAAAACTAGACAGAAGCATTCTCAGAAACTTATTTGTGATGTGTGTCCTCAACTCACAGAGTTCAACCTTTGTTTTGATACAGCAGTTTGGAAACACTCTTTTTGTAGAATCTACAAATGGATATTTGGAGACCTTTGAAAATTTCGTTGGACACGGGAATATCTTCATATAAAATCTAGACAAAAGCATTCTCAGAATCTTCTTTGTGATGTTTGCATTCAACTCATAGATTTGAACGTTCCCTTTCATACAGCACGTTTGAAACACACTTTGTGGAGTATGTGGAAATGGACATTTCGAGCACTCTTAGGCCTAAGGTGAAAAGGGAAATATCTTCAAATAAAAACTAGTCAGCAGCATTCTCAGAAACCTCTTTGTGATGTGTGTACTCAACTAACAGAGTTGAACCTTCCTTTTCACAGAGCAGTTTGGAAACACTCTTTTTGTGGCATTTGCAAGTGGATATTTGGATAGCTTTGAGGATTTCGTTGGAAACGGGAATATTTTCATATAAAATCTAGACAGAAGCATTCTCAGAATCTTCTTTGTGATGTATGCCCTCAATTCACAGAGTTGAACCTTTGTTTGGATACAGCATTTTGGAAACATTCCTTTTGTAGAATCTGCAAGTTGATATTTGGATAGTTTGAGGATTTCGTTGGAAACGGGAATATCTACATATAAAATCTAGACAGAAGCATTCTCAGAAACCTCTTTGTAATGCTTGCATTCAACTCATAGGTTTCAACATTCCCTATCATAGAGCAGGTTTGAAACACTCTTTTTGTAGTATGTGGAAGTGGACATTTGGAGCGCTTTGAGGCCTACGGTGAAAAAGGAAATATCTTCCCATAAAAACTAGACAGAAGCATTCTCAGAAACTTGTTTGTGACGTGTGTATTCAACTAACAGAGTTGAACCTTTCTTTTTACAGAGCAGCTTTGAAACACGCTTTTTGTGGAATCTGCAATTGGAAATTTCGATAGTTCTGAGGATTTCGTTGGAAACGGGATTACAAATAGAAAGTAGACAGCAGCATTCTCAGAAACTGCTTTGTGATGTTTGCATTCAAGTCACCTAGTTGAACATTCCCTTTCATAGAGCAGGTTTGAATCACTGTTTCTGTCGTATCTGGAAGTGGATATTTCGAGCGTTTTCAGGCCTAAGGTGAGAAAGGAAATGTCTTCAAATAAGAACTAGACAGAAGCATTCTCAGAAACTTATTTGTGATGTGTGTCCTCAACTAACAGAGTTGAACCTTTCTTTTGACACAGCAGTTTGGAAACACTCTTTTTGTAGAATCTACAAGTGGATATTTTGAGAGCATTGAAAATTTCGTTGGAAACGGGAAAACCTTCATATAAAATCTAGAACAGAAGCATTCTCAGAAACTTCTTTGTAATGTTTGCATTCAACTCATAGAGTTGAACATTCCCTTTCATACAGCAGGTTTGAAACACTCTTTTTGTAGTATGTGGAAGTGGACATTTGGAGCGCTTTGAGGCCTACGGTGAAAAAGGAAATATCTTCCCATAAAAACTAGACAGAAGCATTCTCAGAAACTTGTTTGTGACGTGTGTATTCAACTAACAGAGTTGAACCTTTCTTTTTACAGAGCAGCTTTGAAACCCTGTTTCTGTGGAATCTGCAATTGGAAATTTCGATAGTTCTGAGGATTTCGTTGGAAACGGTATTACAAATAGAAAGTAGACAGCAGCATTCTCAGAAACTGCTTTGTGATGTTTGCATTCAAGTCACATAGTTGAACATTCCCTTTCATAGAGCAGGTTTGAATCACTGTTTCTGTAGTATCTGGAAGTGGGTATTTCGAGCGCTTTCAGGCCTAAGGTGAGAAAGGAAATGTCTTCAAATAAGAACTAGACAGAAGCATTCTCAGAAACTTATTTGTGATGTGTGTCCTCAACTAACAGAGTTGAACCTTTGTTTTGACACAGCAGTTTGGAAACACTCTTTTTGTAGAATCTACAAGTGGATATTTTGAGAGCATTGAAAATTTCGTTGGAAGCGGGAAAACCTTCATATAAAATCTAGACAGAAGCATTCTCAGAAACTTCTTTGTAATGTTTGCATTCAACTCATAGAGTTGAACATTCCCTTTCATACAGCAGGTTTGAAACACTCTTTTTGTAGTATGTGGAAGTGGACATTTGGGAGCGCTTTGAGGCCTACGGTGAAAAAGGAAATATCTTCCCATAAAAACTAGACAGAAGCATTCTCAGAAACTTGTTTGTGACGTGTGTATTCAACTAACAGAGTTGAACCTTTCTTTTTACAGAGCAGCTTTGAAACCCTGTTTCTGTGGAATCTGCAATTGGAAATTTCGATAGTTCTGAGGATTTCGTTGGAAACGGGATTACAAATAGAAAGTAGACAGCAGCATTCTCAGAAACTGCTTTGTGATGTTTGCATTCAAGTCACATAGTTGAACATTCCCTTTCATAGAGCAGGTTTGAATCACTGTTTCTGTAGTATCTGGAAGTGGGTATTTCGAGCGCTTTCAGGCCTAAGGTGAGAAAGGAAATGTCTTCAAATAAGAACTAGACAGAAGCATTCTCAGAAACTTATTTGTGATGTGTGTCCTCAACTAACAGAGTTGAACCTTTCTTTTGACACAGCAGTTTGGAAACACTCTTTTTGTAGAATATACAAGAGGATATTTTCAGAGCATTGAAAATTTCGTTGGAAGCGGGAAAACCTTCATATAAAATCTAGACAGCAGCATTCTCAGAAACTTCTTTGTGATGTTTGCATTCAACTCATAGAGTTGAACATTCCCATTCATACAGCAGGTTTGAGACACTCTTTGTATAGCATGTGGAAATGGATATTTGGAGCGCTTTGAGGCCTATGGTGAAGAAGGAAATATCTTCCCAAAAAAACTAGACGAAAGCATTCTCGCAATCTTGTTTGCCATGGGTGTACTCAACTAACAGAGTTGAACCTATCTTTTGACAGAGCAGTTTTGAAACACTCTTTTTGTGGAATCTGCAAGTGGATATTTGGATAGCTTCGAGGATTTCATTGGAAACGGGAATATCCTCATTTAAAATCTAGACGGAAGCATTCTCAGAACCTGCTTTGTGATGTTTGCATTCAACTCACAGAGCTGAACATTCCCGTTCATAGAGCAGGTTTGAAACACTCTTTCTGTACTATCTGGAAGTGGACATTTCGAGCGCTTTCAGGCCTATGGTGAAAAAGGAAACATCTTCAAATAAAAACTAGACAGAAGCATTCTCAGAAACTTATTTGTGATGTGTGTCCTCAACTCACAGAGTTCAACCTTTGTTTTGATACAGCAGTTTGGAAACACTCTTTTTGTAGAATCTACAAATGGATATTTGGAGACCTTTGAAAATTTCGTTGGACACGGGAATATCTTCATATAAAATCTAGACAAAAGCATTCTCAGAATCTTCTTTGTGATATTTGCATTCAACTCATAGAGTTGAACATTCCCTTTCATACAGCACGTTTGAAACACACTTTGTGGAGTATGTGGAAATGGACATTTCGAGCACTCTTAGGCCTAAGGTGAAAAGGGAAATATCTTCAAATAAAAACTAGTCAGCAGCATTCTCAGAAACCTCTTTGTGATGTGTGTACTCAACTAACAGAGTTGAACCTTCCTTTTCACAGAGCAGTTTGGAAACACTCTTTTTGTGGCATTTGCAAGTGGATATTTGGATAGCTTTGAGGATTTCGTTGGAAACGGGAATATTTTCATATAAAATCTAGACAGAAGCATTCTCAGAATCTTCTTTGTGATGTATGCCCTCAATTCACAGAGTTGAACCTTTGTTTGGATACAGCATTTTGGAAACATTCCTTTTGTAGAATCTGCAAGTTGATATTTGGATAGCTTTGAGGATTTCGTTGGAAACGGGAATATCTACATATAAAATCTAGACAGAAGCATTCTCAGAAACCTCTTTGTAATGCTTGCATTCAACTCATAGGTTTCAACATTCCCTATCATAGAGCAGGTTTGAAACACTCTTTTTGTAGTATGTGGAAGTGGACATTTGGAGCGCTTTGAGGCCTACGGTGAAAAAGGAAATATCTTCCCATAAAAACTAGACAGAAGCATTCTCAGAAACTTGTTTGTGACGTGTGTATTCAACTAACAGAGTTGAACCTTTCTTTTTACAGAGCAGCTTTGAAACACGCTTTTTGTGGAATCTGCAATTGGAAATTTCGATAGTTCTGAGGATTTCGTTGGAAACGGGATTACAAATAGAAAGTAGACAGCAGCATTCTCAGAAACTGCTTTGTGATGTTTGCATTCAAGTCACCTAGTTGAACATTCCCTTTCATAGAGCAGGTTTGAATCACTGTTTCTGTCGTATCTGGAAGTGGATATTTCGAGCGTTTTCAGGCCTAAGGTGAGAAAGGAAATGTCTTCAAATAAGAACTAGACAGAAGCATTCTCAGAAACTTATTTGTGATGTGTGTCCTCAACTAACAGAGTTGAACCTTTCTTTTGACACAGCAGTTTGAAAACACTCTTTTTGTAGAATCTACAAGTGGATATTTTGAGAGCATTGAAAATTTCGTTGGAAACGGGAAAACCTTCATATAAAATCTAGACAGAAGCATTCTCAGAAACTTCTTTGTAATGTTTGCATTCAACTCATAGAGTTGAACATTCCCTTTCATACAGCAGGTTTGAAACACTCTTTTTGTAGTATGTGGAAGTGGACATTTGGAGCGCTTTGAGGCCTACGGTGAAAAAGGAAATATCTTCCCATAAAAACTAGACAGAAGCATTCTCAGAAACTTGTTTGTGACGTGTGTATTCAACTAACAGAGTTGAACCTTTCTTTTTACAGAGCAGCTTTGAAACCCTGTTTCTGTGGAATCTGCAATTGGAAATTTCGATAGTTCTGAGGATTTCGTTGGAAACGGGATTACAAATAGAAAGTAGACAGCAGCATTCTCAGAAACTGCTTTGTGATGTTTGCATTCAAGTCACATAGTTGAACATTCCCTTTCATAGGAGCAGGTTTGAATCACTGTTTCTGTAGTATCTGGAAGTGGGTATTTCGAGCGCTTTCAGGCCTAAGGTGAGAAAGGAAATGTCTTCAAATAAGAACTAGACAGAAGCATTCTCAGAAACTTATTTGTGATGTGTGTCCTCAACTAACAGAGATGAACCTTTGTTTTGATACAGCAGTTTGGAAACACTCTTTTTGTAGAATCTACAAGAGGATATTTTGAGAGCATTGAAAATTTCGTTGGAAGCGGGAAAACCTTCATATAAAATCTAGACAGCAGCATTCTCAGAAACTTCTTTGTGATGTTTGCATTCAACTCATAGAGTTGAACATTCCCATTCATACAGCAGGTTTGAGACACTCTTTGTATAGCATGTGGAAATGGATATTTGGAGCGCTTTGAGGCCTATGGTGAAGAAGGAAATATCTTCCCAAAAAAACTAGACGAAAGCATTCTCGCAATCTTGTTTGCCATGTGTGTACTCAACTAACAGAGTTGAACCTATCTTTTGACAGAGCAGTTTTGAAACACTCTTTTTGTGGAATCTGCAAGTGGATATTTGGATAGCTTCGAGGATTTCTTTGGAAACGGGAATATCCTCATTTAAAATCTAGACGGAAGCATTCTCAGAACCTGCTTTGTGATGTTTGCATTCAACTCACAGAGCTGAACATTCCCGTTCATAGAGCAGGTTTGAAACACTCTTTCTGTACTATCTGGAAGTGGACATTTCGAGCGCTTTCAGGCCTATGGTGAAAAAGGAAACATCTTCAAATAAAAACTAGACAGAAGCATTCTCAGAAACTTATTTGTGATGTGTGTCCTCAACTCACAGAGTTCAACCTTTGTTTTGATACAGCAGTTTGGAAACACTCTTTTTGTAGAATCTACAAATGGATATTTGGAGACCTTTGAAAATTTCGTTGGACACGGGAATATCTTCATATAAAATCTAGACAAAAGCATTCTCAGAATCTTCTTTGTGATGTTTGCATTCAACTCATAGAGTTGAACATTCCCTTTCATACAGCACGTTTGAAACACACTTTGTGGAGTATGTGGAAATGGACATTTCGAGCACTCTTAGGCCTAAGGTGAAAAGGGAAATATCTTCAAATAAAAACTAGTCAGCAGCATTCTCAGAAACCTCTTTGTGATGTGTGTACTCAATTAACAGAGTTGAACCTTCCTTTTCACAGAGCAGTTTGGAAACACTCTTTTTGTGGCATTTGCAAGTGGATATTTGGATAGCTTTGAGGATTTCGTTGGAAACGGGAATATTTTCATATAAAATCTAGACAGAAGCATTCTCAGAATCTTCTTTGTGATGTATGCCCTCAATTCACAGAGTTGAACCTTTGTTTGGATACAGCATTTTGGAAACATTCCTTTTGTAGAATCTGCAAGTTGATATTTGGATAGCTTTGAGGATTTCGTTGGAAACGGGAATATCTACATATAAAATCTAGACAGAAGCATTCTCAGAAACCTCTTTGTAATGCTTGCATTCAACTCATAGGTTTCAACATTCCCTATCATAGAGCAGGTTTGAAACACTCTTTTTGTAGTATGTGGAAGTGGACATTTGGAGCGCTTTGAGGCCTACGGTGAAAAAGGAAATATCTTCCCATAAAAACTAGACAGAAGCATTCTCAGAAACTTGTTTGTGACGTGTGTATTCAACTAACAGAGTTGAACCTTTCTTTTTACAGAGCAGCTTTGAAACACGCTTTTTGTGGAATCTGCAATTGGAAATTTCGATAGTTCTGAGGATTTCGTTGGAAACGGGATTACAAATAGAAAGTAGACAGCAGCATTCTCAGAAACTGCTTTGTGATGTTTGCATTCAAGTCACCTAGTTGAACATTCCCTTTCATAGAGCAGGTTTGAATCACTGTTTCTGTCGTATCTGGAAGTGGATATTTCGAGCGTTTTCAGGCCTAAGGTGAGAAAGGAAATGTCTTCAAATAAGAACTAGACAGAAGCATTCTCAGAAACTTATTTGTGATGTGTGTCCTCAACTAACAGAGTTGAACCTTTCTTTTGACACAGCAGTTTGGAAACACTCTTTTTGTAGAATCTACAAGTGGATATTTTGAGAGCATTGAAAATTTCGTTGGAAACGGGAAAACCTTCATATAAAATCTAGACAGAAGCATTCTCAGAAACTTCTTTGTAATGTTTGCATTCAACTCATAGAGTTGAACATTCCCTTTCATACAGCAGGTTTGAAACACTCTTTTTGTAGTATGTGGAAGTGGACATTTGGAGCGCTTTGAGGCCTACGGTGAAAAAGGAAATATCTTCCCATAAAAACTAGACAGAAGCATTCTCAGAAACTTGTTTGTGACGTGTGTATTCAACTAACAGAGTTGAACCTTTCTTTTTACAGAGCAGCTTTGAAACCCTGTTTCTGTGGAATCTGCAATTGGAAATTTCGATAGTTCTGAGGATTTCGTTGGAAACGGGATTACAAATAGAAAGTAGACAGCAGCATTCTCAGAAACTGCTTTGTGATGTTTGCATTCAAGTCACCTAGTTGAACATTCCCTTTCATAGAGCAGGTTTGAATCACTGTTTCTGTAGTATCTGGAAGTGGGTATTTCGAGCGCTTTCAGGCCTAAGGTGAGAAAGGAAATGTCTTCAAATAAGAACTAGACAGAAGCATTCTCAGAAACTTATTTGTGATGTGTGTCCTCAACTAACAGAGATGAACCTTTGTTTTGATACAGCAGTTTGGAAACACTCTTTTTGTAGAATCTACAAGAGGATATTTTGAGAGCATTGAAAATTTCGTTGGAAGCGGGAAAACCTTCATATAAAATCTAGACAGCAGCATTCTCAGAAACTTCTTTGTGATGTTTGCATTCAACTCATAGAGTTGAACATTCCCATTCATACAGCAGGTTTGAGACACTCTTTGTATAGCATGTGGAAATGGATATTTGGAGCGCTTTGAGGCCTATGGTGAAGAAGGAAATATCTTCCCAAAAAAACTAGACGAAAGCATTCTCGGAATCTTGTTTGCCATGTGTGTACTCAACTAACAGAGTTGAACCTATCTTTTGACAGAGCAGTTTTGAAACACTCTTTTTGTGGAATCTGCAAGTGGATATTTGGATAGCTTCGAGGATTTCGTTGGAAACGGGAATATCCTCATTTAAAATCTAGACGGAAGCATTCTCAGAACCTGCTTTGTGATGTTTGCATTCAACTCACAGAGCTGAACATTCCCGTTCATAGAGCAGGTTTGAAACACTCTTTCTGTACTATCTGGAAGTGGACATTTCGAGCGCTTTCAGGCCTATGGTGAAAAAGGAAACATCTTCAAATAAAAACTAGACAGAAGCATTCTCAGAAACTTATTTGTGATGTGTGTCCTCAACTCACAGAGTTCAACCTTTGTTTTGATACAGCAGTTTGGAAACACTCTTTTTGTAGAATCTACAAATGGATATTTGGAGACCTTTGAAAATTTCGTTGGACACGGGAATATCTTCATATAAAATCTAGACAAAAGCATTCTCAGAATCTTCTTTGTGATGTTTGCATTCAACTCATAGAGTTGAACATTCCCTTTCATACAGCACGTTTGAAACACACTTTGTGGAGTATGTGGAAATGGACATTTCGAGCACTCTTAGGCCTAAGGTGAAAAGGGAAATATCTTCAAATAAAAACTAGTCAGCAGCATTCTCAGAAACCTCTTTGTGATGTGTGTACTCAACTAACAGAGTTGAACCTTCCTTTTCACAGAGCAGTTTGGAAACACTCTTTTTGTGGCATTTGCAAGTGGATATTTGGATAGCTTTGAGGATTTCGTTGGAAACGGGAATATTTTCATATAAAATCTAGACAGAAGCATTCTCAGAATCTTCTTTGTGATGTATGCCCTCAATTCACAGAGTTGAACCTTTGTTTGGATACAGCATTTTGGAAACATTCCTTTTGCAGAATCTGCAAGCTGATATTTGGATAGCTTTGAGGATTTCGTTGGAAACGGGAATATCTACATATAAAATCTAGACAGAAGCATTCTCAGAAACCTCTTTGTAATGCTTGCATTCAACTCATAGGTTTCAACATTCCCTATCATAGAGCAGGTTTGAAACACTCTTTTTGTAGTATGTGGAAGTGGACATTTGGAGCGCTTTGAGGCCTACCGTGAAAAAGGAAATATCTTCCCATAAAAACTAGACAGAAGCATTCTCAGAAACTTGTTTGTGACGTGTGTATTCAACTAACAGAGTTGAACCTTTCTTTTTACAGAGCAGCTTTGAAACCCTGTTTCTGTGGAATCTGCAATTGGAAATTTCGATAGTTCTGAGGATTTCGTTGGAAACGGGATTACAAATAGAAAGTAGACAGCAGCATTCTCAGAAACTGCTTTGTGATGTTTGCATTCAAGTCACATAGTTGAACATTCCCTTTCATAGAGCAGGTTTGAATCACTGTTTCTGTAGTATCTGGAAGTGGGTATTTCGAGCGCTTTCAGGCCTAAGGTGAGAAAGGAAATGTCTTCAAATAAGAACTAGACAGAAGCATTCTCAGAAACTTATTTGTGATGTGTGTCCTCAACTAACAGAGATGAACCTTTGTTTTGATACAGCAGTTTGGAAACACTCTTTTTGTAGAATCTACAAGAGGATATTTTGAGAGCATTGAAAATTTCGTTGGAAGCGGGAAAACCTTCATATAAAATCTAGACAGCAGCATTCTCAGAAACTTCTTTGTGATGTTTGCATTCAACTCATAGAGTTGAACATTCCCTTTCATACAGCAGGTTTGAAACACTCTTTTTGTAGTATGTGGAAGTGGACATTTGGAGCGCTTTGAGGCCTACGGTGAAAAAGGAAATATCTTCCCATAAAAACTAGACAGAAGCATTCTCAGAAACTTGTTTGTGACGTGTGTATTCAACTAACAGAGTTGAACCTTTCTTTTTACAGAGCAGCTTTGAAACCCTGTTTCTGTGGAATCTGCAATTGGAAATTTCGATAGTTCTGAGGATTTCGTTGGAAACGGGATTACAAATAGAAAGTAGACAGCAGCATTCTCAGAAACTGCTTTGTGATGTTTGCATTCAAGTCACCTAGTTGAACATTCCCTTTCATAGAGCAGGTTTGAATCACTGTTTCTGTCGTATCTGGAAGTGGATATTTCGAGCGTTTTCAGGCCTAAGGTAAGAAAGGAAATGTCTTCAAATAAGAACTAGACAGAAGCATTCTCAGAAACTTATTTGTGATGTGTGTCCTCAACTAACAGAGATGAACCTTTGTTTTGATACAGCAGTTTGGAAACACTCTTTTTGTAGAATCTACAAGAGGATATTTTGAGAGCATTGAAAATTTCGTTGGAAGCGGGAAAACCTTCATATAAAATCTAGACAGCAAGCATTCTCAGAAACTTCTTTGTGATGTTTGCATTCAACCTCATAGAGTTGAACATTCCCATTCATACAGCAGGTTTGAGACACTCTTTGTATAGCATGTTTAAATGGATATTTGGAGCGCTTTGAGGCCTATGGTGAAGAAGGAAATATCTTCCCAAAAAAACTAGACGAAAGCATTCTCGCAATCTTGTTTGCCATGTGTGTACTCAACTAACAGAGTTGAACCTATCTTTTGACAGAGCAGTTTTGAAACACTCTTTTTGTGGAATCTGCAAGTGGATATTTGGATAGCTTCGAGGATTTCGTTGGAAACGGGAATATCCTCATTTAAAATCTAGACGGAAGCATTCTCAGAACCTGCTTTGTGATGTTTGCATTCAACTCACAGAGCTGAACATTCCCGTTCATAGAGCAGGTTTGAAACACTCTTTCTGTACTATCTGGAAGTGGACATTTCGAGCGCTTTCAGGCCTATGGTGAAAAAGGAAACATCTTCAAATAAAAACTAGACAGAAGCATTCTCAGAAACTTATTTGTGATGTGTGTCCTCAACTCACAGAGTTCAACCTTTGTTTTGATACAGCAGTTTGGAAACACTCTTTTTGTAGAATCTACAAATGGATATTTGGAGACCTTTGAAAATTTCGTTGGACACGGGAATATCTTCATATAAAATCTAGACAAAAGCATTCTCAGAATCTTCTTTGTGATGTTTGCATTCAACTCATAGAGTTGAACATTCCCTTTCATACAGCACGTTTGAAACACACTTTGTGGAGTATGTGGAAATGGACATTTCGAGCACTCTTAGGCCTAAGGTGAAAAGGGAAATATCTTCAAATAAAAACTAGTCAGCAGCATTCTCAGAAACCTCTTTGTGATGTGTGTACTCAACTAACAGAGTTGAACCTTCCTTTTCACAGAGCAGTTTGGAAACACTCTTTTTGTGGCATTTGCAAGTGGATATTTGGATAGCTTTGAGGATTTCGTTGGAAACGGGAATATTTTCATATAAAATCTAGACAGAAGCATTCTCAGAATCTTCTTTGTGATGTATGCCCTCAATTCACAGAGTTGAACCTTTGTTTGGATACAGCATTTTGGAAACATTCCTTTTGTAGAATCTGCAAGTTGATATTTGGATAGCTTTGAGGATTTCGTTGGAAACGGGAATATCTACATATAAAATCTAGACAGAAGCATTCTCAGAAACCTCTTTGTAATGCTTGCATTCAACTCATAGGTTTCAACATTCCCTATCATAGAGCAGGTTTGAAACACTCTTTTTGTAGTATGTGGAAGTGGACATTTGGAGCGCTTTGAGGCCTACGGTGAAAAAGGAAATATCTTCCCATAAAAACTAGACAGAAGCATTCTCAGAAACTTGTTTGTGACGTGTGTATTCAACTAACAGAGTTGAACCTTTCTTTTTACAGAGCAGCTTTGAAACACGCTTTTTGTGGAATCTGCAATTGGAAATTTCGATAGTTCTGAGGATTTCGTTGGAAACGGGATTACAAATAGAAAGTAGACAGCAGCATTCTCAGAAACTGCTTTGTGATGTTTGCATTCAAGTCACCTAGTTGAACATTCCCTTTCATAGAGCAGGTTTGAATCACTGTTTCTGTCGTATCTGGAAGTGGATATTTCGAGCGTTTTCAGGCCTAAGGTGAGAAAGGAAATGTCTTCAAATAAGAACTAGACAGAAGCATTCTCAGAAACTTATTTGTGATGTGTGTCCTCAACTAACAGAGTTGAACCTTTCTTTTGACACAGCAGTTTGGAAACACTCTTTTTGTAGAATCTACAAGTGGATATTTTGAGAGCATTGAAAATTTCGTTGGAAACGGGAAAACCTTTCTATAAAATCTAGACAGAAGCATTCTCAGAAACTTCTTTGTAATGTTTGCATTCAACTCATAGAGTTGAACATTCCCTTTCATACAGCAGGTTTGAAACACTCTTTTTGTAGTATGTGGAAGTGGACATTTGGAGCGCTTTGAGGCCTACGGTGAAAAAGGAAATATCTTCCCATAAAAACTAGACAGAAGCATTCTCAGAAACTTGTTTGTGACGTGTGTATTCAACTAACAGAGTTGAACCTTTCTTTTTACAGAGCAGCTTTGAAACCCTGTTTCTGTGGAATCTGCAATTGGAAATTTCGATAGTTCTGAGGATTTCGTTGGAAACGGGATTACAAATAGAAAGTAGACAGCAGCATTCTCAGAAACTGCTTTGTGATGTTTGCATTCAAGTCACCTAGTTGAACATTCCCTTTCATAGAGCAGGTTTGAATCACTGTTTCTGTAGTATCTGGAAGTGTGTATTTCGAGATCTTTCAGGCCTAAGGTGAGAAAGGAAATGTCTTCAAATAAGAACTAGACAGAAGCATTCTCAGAAACTTATTTGTGATGTGTGTCCTCAACTAACAGAGATGAACCTTTGTTTTGATACAGCAGTTTGGAAACACTCTTTTTGTAGAATCTACAAGAGGATATTTTGAGAGCATTGAAAATTTCGTTGGAAGCGGGAAAACCTTCATATAAAATCTAGACAGCAGCATTCTCAGAAACTACTTTGTGATGTTTGCATTCAACTCATAGAGTTGAACATTCCCATTCATACAGCAGGTTTGAGACACTCTTTGTATAGCATGTGGAAATGGATATTTGGAGCGCTTTGAGGACTATGGTGAAGAAGGAAATATCTTCCCAAAAAAACTAGACGAAAGCATTCTCGGAATCTTGTTTGCCATGTGTGTACTCAACTAACAGAGTTGAACTTATCTTTTGACAGAGCAGTTTTGAAACACTCTTTTTGTGGAATCTGCAAGTGGATATTTGGATAGCTTCGAGGATTTCGTTGGAAACGGGAATATCCTCATTTAAAATCTAGACGGAAGCATTCTCAGAACCTGCTTTGTGATGTTTGCATTCAACTCACAGAGCTGAACATTCCCGTTCATAGAGCAGGTTTGAAACACTCTTTCTGTACTATCTGGAAGTGGACATTTCGAGCGCTTTCAGGCCTATGGTGAAAAAGGAAACATCTTCAAATACAAACTAGACAGAAGCATTCTCAGAAACTTATTTGTGATGTGTGTCCTCAACTCACAGAGTTCAACCTTTGTTTTGATACAGCAGTTTGGAAACACTCTTTTTGTAGAATCTACAAATGGATATTTGGAGACCTTTGAAAATTTCGTTGGACACGGGAATATCTTCATATAAAATCTAGACAAAAGCATTCTCAGAATCTTCTTTGTGATGTTTGCATTCAACTCATAGAGTTGAACATTCCCTTTCATACAGCACGTTTGAAACACACTTTGTGGAGTATGTGGAAATGGACATTTCGAGCACTCTTAGGCCTAAGGTGAAAAGGGAAATATCTTCAAATAAAAACTAGTCAGCAGCATTCTCAGAAACCTCTTTGTGATGTGTGTACTCAACTAACAGAGTTGAACCTTCCTTTTCACAGAGCAGTTTGGAAACACTCTTTTTGTGGCATTTGCAAGTGGATATTTGGATAGCTTTGAGGATTTCGTTGGAAACGGGAATATTTTCATATAAAATCTAGACAGAAGCATTCTCAGAATCTTCTTTGTGATGTATGCCCTCAATTCACAGAGTTGAACCTTTGTTTGGATACAGCATTTTGGAAACATTCCTTTTGTAGAATCTGCAAGTTGATATTTGGATAGCTTTGAGGATTTCGTTGGAAACGGGAATATCTACATATAAAATCTAGACAGAAGCATTCTCAGAAACCTCTTTGTAATGCTTGCATTCAACTCATAGGTTTCAACATTCCCTATCATAGAGCAGGTTTGAAACACTCTTTTTGTAATATGTGGAAGTGGACATTTGGAGCGCTTTGACGCCTACCGTGAAAAAGGAAATATCTTCCCATAAAAACTAGACAGAAGCATTCTCAGAAACTTGTTTGTGACGTGTGTATTCAACTAACAGAGTTGAACCTTTCTTTTTACAGAGCAGCTTTGAAACCCTGTTTCTGTGGAATCTGCAATTGGAAATTTCGATAGTTCTGAGGATTTCGTTGGAAACGGGATTACAAATAGAAAGTAGACAGCAGCATTCTCAGAAACTGCTTTGTGATGTTTGCATTCAAGTCACCTAGTTGAACATTCCCTTTCATAGAGCAGGTTTGAATCACTGTTTCTGTAGTATCTGGAAGTGGGTATTTCGAGCGCTTTCAGGCCTAAGGTGAGAAAGGAAATGTCTTCAAATAAGAACTAGACAGAAGCATTCTCAGAAACTTATTTGTGATGTGTGTCCTCAACTAACAGAGATGAACCTTTGTTTTGATACAGCAGTTTGGAAACACTCTTTTTGTAGAATCTACAAGAGGATATTTTGAGAGCATTGAAAATTTCGTTGGAAGCGGGAAAACCTTCATATAAAATCTAGACAGCAGCATTCTCAGAAACTTCTTTGTGATGTTTGCATTCAACTCATAGAGTTGAACATTCCCATTCATACAGCAGGTTTGAGACACTCTTTGTATAGCATGTGGAAATGGATATTTGGAGCGCTTTGAGGCCTATGGTGAAGAAGGAAATATCTTCCCAAAAAAACTAGACGAAAGCATTCTCGGAATCTTGTTTGCCATGTGTGTACTCAACTAACAGAGTTGAACCTATCTTTTGAGAGAGCAGTTTTGAAACACTCTTTCTGTGGAATCTGCAAGTGGATATTTGGATAGCTTCGAGGATTTCGTTGGAAACGGGAATATCCTCATTTAAAATCTAGACGGAAGCATTCTCAGAACCTGCTTTGTGATGTTTGCATTCAACTCACAGAGCTGAACATTCCCGTTCATAGAGCAGGTTTGAAACACTCTTTCTGTACTATCTGGAAGTGGACATTTCGAGCGCTTTCAGGCCTATGGTGAAAAAGGAAACATCTTCAAATAAAAACTAGACAGAAGCATTCTCAGAAACTTATTTGTGATGTGTGTCCTCAACTCACAGAGTTCAACCTTTGTTTTGATACAGCAGTTTGGAAACACTCTTTTTGTAGAATCTACAAATGGATATTTGGAGACCTTTGAAAATTTCGTTGGACACGGGAATATCTTCATATAAAATCTAGACAAAAGCATTCTCAGAATCTTCTTTGTGATGTTTGCATTCAACTCATAGAGTTGAACATTCCCTTTCATACAGCACGTTTGAAACACACTTTGTGGAGTATGTGGAAATGGACATTTCGAGCACTCTTAGGCCTAAGGTGAAAAGGGAAATATCTTCAAATAAAAACTAGTCAGCAGCATTCTCAGAAACCTCTTTGTGATGTGTGTACTCAACTAACAGAGTTGAACCTTCCTTTTCACAGAGCAGTTTGGAAACACTCTTTTTGTGGCATTTGCAAGTGGATATTTGGATAGCTTTGAGGATTTCGTTGGAAACGGGAATATTTTCATATAAAATCTAGACAGAAGCATTCTCAGAATCTTCTTTGTGATGTATGCCCTCAATTCACAGAGTTGAACCTTTGTTTGGATACAGCATTTTGGAAACATTCCTTTTGTAGAATCTGCAAGTTGATATTTGGATAGCTTTGAGGATTTCGTTGGAAACGGGAATATCTACATATAAAATCTAGACAGAAGCATTCTCAGAAACCTCTTTGTAATGCTTGCATTCAACTCATAGGTTTCAAAATTCCCTATCATAGAGCAGGTTTGAAACACTCTTTTTGTAGTATGTGGAAGTGGACATTTGGAGCGCTTTGAGGCCTACGGTGAAAAAGGAAATATCTTCCCATAAAAACTAGACAGAAGCATTCTCAGAAACTTGTTTGTGACGTGTGTATTCAACTAACAGAGTTGAACCTTTCTTTTTACAGAGCAGCTTTGAAACACGCTTTTTGTGGAATCTGCAATTGGAAATTTCGATAGTTCTGAGGATTTCGGTGGAAACGGGATTACAAATAGAAAGTAGACAGCAGCATTCTCAGAAACTGCTTTGTGATGTTTGCATTCAAGTCACCTAGTTGAACATTCCCTTTCATAGAGCAGGTTTGAATCACTGTTTCTGTCGTATCTGGAAGTGGATATTTCGAGCGTTTTCAGGCCTAAGGTGAGAAAGGAAATGTCTTCAAATAAGAACTAGACAGAAGCATTCTCAGAAACTTATTTGTGATGTGTGTCCTCAACTAACAGAGATGAACCTTTGTTTTGATACAGCAGTTTGGAAACACTCTTTTTGTAGAATCTACAAGAGGATATTTTGAGAGCATTGAAAATTTCGTTGGAAGCGGGAAAACCTTCATATAAAATCTAGACAGCAGCATTCTCAGAAACTTCTTTGTGATGTTTGCATTCAACTCATAGAGTTGAACATTCCCATTCATACAGCAGGTTTGAGACACTCTTTGTATAGCATGTGGAAATGGATATTTGGAGCGCTTTGAGGCCTATGGTGAAGAAGGAAATATCTTCCCAAAAAAACTAGACGAAAGCATTCTCGCAATCTTGTTTGCCATGTGTGTACTCAACTAACAGGGTTGAACCTATCTTTTGACAGAGCAGTTTTGAAACACTCTTTTTGTGGAATCTGCAAGTGGATATTTGGATAGCTTCGAGGATTTCGTTGGAAACGGGAATATCCTCATTTAAAATCTAGACGGAAGCATTCTCAGAACCTGCTTTGTGATGTTTGCATTCAACTCACAGAGCTGAACATTCCCGTTCATAGAGCAGGTTTGAAACACTCTTTCTGTACTATCTGGAAGTGGACATTTCGAGCGCTTTCAGGCCTATGGTGAAAAAGGAAACATCTTCAAATAAAAACTAGAGAGAAGCATTCTCAGAAACTTATTTGTGATGTGTGTCCTCAACTCACAGAGTTCAACCTTTGTTTTGATACAGCAGTTTGGAAACACTCTTTTTGTAGAATCTACAAATGGATATTTGGAGACCTTTGAAAATTTCGTTGGACACGGGAATATCTTCATATAAAATCTAGACAAAAGCATTCTCAGAATCTTCTTTGTGATGTTTGCATTCAACTCATAGAGTTGAACATTACCTTTCATACAGCACGTTTGAAACACACTTTGTGGAGTATGTGGAAATGGACATTTCGAGCACTCTTAGGCCTAAGGTGAAAAGTGAAATATCTTCAAATAAAAACTAGTCAGCAGCATTCTCAGAAACCTCTTTGTGATGTGTGTACTCAACTAACAGAGTTGAACCTTCCTTTTCACAGAGCAGTTTGGAAACACTCTTTTTGTGGCATTTGCAAGTGGATATTTGGATAGCTTTGAGGATTTCGTTGGAAACGGGAATATTTTCATATAAAATCTAGACAGAAGCATTCTCAGAATCTTCTTTGTGATGTATGCCCTCAATTCACAGAGTTGAACCTTTGTTTGGATACAGCATTTTGGAAACATTCCTTTTGTAGAATCTGCAAGTTGATATTTGGATAGCTTTGAGGATTTCGTTGGAAACGGGAATATCTACATATAAAATCTAGACAGAAGCATTCTCAGAAACCTCTTTGTAATGCTTGCATTCAACTCATAGGTTTCAACATTCCCTATCATAGAGCAGGTTTGAAACACTCTTTTTGTAGTATGTGGAAGTGGACATTTGGAGCGCTTTGAGGCCTACGGTGAAAAAGGAAATATCTTCCCATAAAAACTAGACAGAAGCATTCTCAGAAACTTGTTTGTGACGTGTGTATTCAACTAACAGAGTTGAACCTTTCTTTTTACAGAGCAGCTTTGAAACACGTTTTTTGTGGAATCTGCAATTGGAAATTTCGATAGTTCTGAGGATTTCGTTGGAAACGGGATTACAAATAGAAAGTAGACAGCAGCATTCTCAGAAACTGCTTTGTGATGTTTGCATTCAAGTCACCTAGTTGAACATTCCCTTTCATAGAGCAGGTTTGAATCACTGTTTCTGTAGTATCTGGAAGTGGGTATTTCGAGCGCTTTCAGGCCTAAGGTGAGAAAGGAAATGTCTTCAAATAAGAACTAGACAGAAGCATTCTCAGAAACTTATTTGTGATGTGTGTCCTCAACTGACAGAGTTGAACCTTTCTTTTGACACAGCAGTTTGGAAACACTCTTTTTGTAGAATCTACAAGTGGATATTTTGAGAGCATTGAAAATTTCGTTGGAAACGGGAAAACCTTCATAGAAAATCTAGACAGAAGCATTCTCAGAAACTTCTTTGTAATGTTTGCATTCAACTCATAGAGTTGAACATTCCCTTTCATACAGCAGGTTTGAAACACTGTTTTTGTAGTTTGTGGAAGTGGACATTTGGAGCGCTTTGAGGCCTACGGTGAAAAAGGAAATATCTTCCCATAAAAACTAGACAGAAGCATTCTCAGAAACTTGTTTGTGACGTGTGTATTCAACTAACAGAGTTGAACCTTTCTTTTTACAGAGCAGCTTTGAAACCCTGTTTCTGTGGAATCTGCAATTGGAAATTTCGATAGTTCTGAGGATTTCGTTGGAAACGGGATTACAAATAGAAAGTAGACAGCAGCATTCTCAGAAACTGCTTTGTGATGTTTGCATTCAAGTCACCTAGTTGAACATTCCCTTTCATAGAGCAGGTTTGAATCACTGTTTCTGTAGTATCTGGAAGTGGGTATTTCGAGCGCTTTCAGGCCTAAGGTGAGAAAGGAAATGTCTTCAAATAAGAACTAGACAGAAGCATTCTCAGAAACTTATTTGTGATGTGTGTCCTCAACTAACAGAGATGAACCTTTGTTTTGATACAGCAGTTTGGAAACACTCTTTTTGTAGAATCTACAAGAGGATATTTTGAGAGCATTGAAAATTTCGTTGGAAGCGGGAAAACCTTCATATAAAATCTAGACAGCAGCATTCTCAGAAACTTCTTTGTGATGTTTGCATTCAACTCATAGAGTTGAACATTCCCATTCATACAGCAGGTTTGAGACACTCTTTGTATAGCATGTGGAAATGGATATTTGGAGCGCTTTGAGGCCTATGGTGAAGAAGGAAATATCTTCCCAAAAAAACTAGACGAAAGCATTCTCGCAATCTTGTTTGCCATGTGTGTACTCAACTAACAGAGTTGAACCTATCTTTTGACAGAGCAGTTTTGAAACACTCTTTTTGTGGAATCTGCAAGTGGATATTTGGATAGCTTCGAGGATTTCGTTGGAAACGGGAATATCCTCATTTAAAATCTAGACGGAAGCATTCTCAGAACCTGCTTTGTGATGTTTGCATTCAACTCACAGAGCTGAACATTCCCGTTCATAGAGCAGGTTTGAAACACTCTTTCTGTACTATCTGGAAGTGGACATTTCGAGCGCTTTCAGGCCTATGGTGAAAAAGGAAACATCTTCAAATAAAAACTAGACAGAAGCATTCTCAGAAACTTATTTGTGATGTGTGTCCTCAACTCACAGAGTTCAACCTTTGTTTTGATACAGCAGTTTGGAAACACTCTTTTTGTAGAATCTACAAATGGATATTTGGAGAACTTTGAAAATTTCGTTGGACACGGGAATATCTTCATATAAAATCTAGACAAAAGCATTCTCAGAATCTTCTTTGTGATGTTTGAATTCAACTCATAGAGTTGAACATTCCCTTTCATACAGCACGTTTGAAACACACTTTGTGGAGTATGTGGAAATGGACATTTCGAGCACTCTTAGGCCTAAGGTGAAAAGGGAAATATCTTCAAATAAAAACTAGTCAGCAGCATTCTCAGAAACCTCTTTGTGATGTGTGTACTCAACTAACAGAGTTGAACCTTCCTTTTCACAGAGCAGTTTGGAAACACTCTTTTTGTGGCATTTGCAAGTGGATATTTGGATAGCTTTGAGGATTTCGTTGGAAACGGGAATATTTTCATATAAAATCTAGACAGAAGCATTCTCAGAATCTTCTTTGTGATGTATGCCCTCAATTCACAGAGTTGAACCTTTGTTTGGATACAGCATTTTGGAAACATTCCTTTTGCAGAATCTGCAAGCTGATATTTGGATAGCTTTGAGGATTTCGTTGGAAACGGGAATATCTACATATAAAATCTAGACAGAAGCATTCTCAGAAACCTCTTTGTAATGCTTGCATTCAACTCATAGGTTTCAACATTCCCTATCATAGAGCAGGTTTGAAACACTCTTTTTGTAGTATGTGGAAGTGGACATTTGGAGCGCTTTGAGGCCTACCGTGAAAAAGGAAATATCTTCCCATAAAAACTAGACAGAAGCATTCTCAGAAACTTGTTTGTGACGTGTGTATTCAACTAACAGAGTTGAACCTTTCTTTTTACAGAGCAGCTTTGAAACCCTGTTTCTGTGGAATCTGCAATTGGAAATTTCGATAGTTCTGAGGATTTCGTTGGAAACGGGATTACAAATAGAAAGTAGACAGCAGCATTCTCAGAAACTGCTTTGTGATGTTTGCATTCAAGTCACCTAGTTGAACATTCCCTTTCATAGAGCAGGTTTGAATCACTGTTTCTGTCGTATCTGGAAGTGGATATTTCGAGCGTTTTCAGGCCTAAGGTGAGAAAGGAAATGTCTTCAAATAAGAACTAGACAGAAGCATTCTCAGAAACTTATTTGTGATGTGTGTCCTCAACTAACAGAGTTGAACCTTTCTTTTGACACAGCAGTTTGGAAACACTCTTTTTGTAGAATCTACAAGTGGATATTTTGAGAGCATTGAAAATTTCGTTGGAAACGGGAAAACCTTCATATAAAATCTAGACAGAAGCATTCTCAGAAACTTCTTTGTAATGTTTGCATTCAACTCATAGAGTTGAACATTCCCTTTCATACAGCAGGTTTGAAACACTCTTTTTGTAGTATGTGGACGTGGACATTTGGAGCGCTTTGAGGCCTACGGTGAAAAAGGAAATATCTTCCCATAAAAACTAGACAGAAGCATTCTCAGAAACTTGTTTGTGACGTGTGTATTCAACTAACAGAGTTGAACCTTTCTTTTTACAGAGCAGCTTTGAAACCCTGTTTCTGTGGAATCTGCAATTGGAAATTTCGATAGTTCTGAGGATTTCGTTGGAAACGGGATTACAAATAGAAAGTAGACAGCAGCATTCTCAGAAACTGCTTTGTGATGTTTGCATTCAAGTCACCTAGTTGAACATTCCCTTTCATAGAGCAGGTTTGAATCACTGTTTCTGTCGTATCTGGAAGTGGGTATTTCGAGCGCTTTCAGGCCTAAGGTGAGAAAGGAAATGTCTTCAAATAAGAACTAGACAGAAGCATTCTCAGAAACTTATTTGTGATGTGTGTCCTCAACTAACAGAGATGAACCTTTGTTTTGATACAGCAGTTTGGAAACACTCTTTTTGTATAATCTACAAGAGGATATGTTGAGAGCATTGAAAATTTCGTTGGAAGCGGGAAAACCTTCATATAAAATCTAGACAGCAGCATTCTCAGAAACTTCTTTGTGATGTTTGCATTCAACTCATAGAGTTGAACATTCCCATTCATACAGCAGGTTTGAGACACTCTTTGTATAGCATGTGGAAATGGATATTTGGAGCGCTTTGAGGCCTATGGTGAAGAAGGAAATATCTTCCCCAAAAAACTAGACGAAAGCATTCTCGGAATCTTGTTTGCCATGTGTGTACTCAACTAACAGAGTTGAACCTATCTTTTGACAGAGCAGTTTTGAAACACTCTTTTTGTGGAATCTGCAAGTGGATATTTGGATAGCTTCGAGGATTTCGTTGGAAACGGGAATATCCTCATTTAAAATCTAGACGGAAGCATTCTCAGAACCTGCTTTGTGATGTTTGCATTCAACTCACAGAGCTGAACATTCCCGTTCATAGAGCAGGTTTGAAACACTCTTTCTGTACTATCTGGAAGTGGACATTTCGAGCGCTTTCAGGCCTATGGTGAAAAAGGAAACATCTTCAAATAAAAACTAGACAGAAGCATTCTCAGAAACTTATTTGTGATGTGTGTCCTCAACTCACAGAGTTCAACCTTTGTTTTGATACAGCAGTTTGGAAACACTCTTTTTGTAGAATCTACAAATGGATATTTGGAGACCTTTGAAAATTTCGTTGGACACGGGAATATCTTCATATAAAATCTAGACAAAAGCATTCTCAGAATCTTCTTTGTGATGTTTGCATTCAACTCATAGAGTTGAACATTCCCTTTCATACAGCACGTTTGAAACACACTTTGTGGAGTATGTGGAAATGGACATTTCGAGCACTCTTAGGCCTAAGGTGAAAAGGGAAATATCTTCAAATAAAAACTAGTCAGCAGCATTCTCAGAAACCTCTTTGTGATGTGTGTACTCAACTAACAGAGTTGAACCTTCCTTTTCACAGAGCAGTTTGGAAACACTCTTTTTGTGGCATTTGCAAGTGGATATTTGGATAGCTTTGAGGATTTCGTTGGAAACGGGAATATTTTCATATAAAATCTAGACAGAAGCATTCTCAGAATCTTCTTTGTGATGTATGCCCTCAATTCACAGAGTTGAACCTTTGTTTGGATACAGCATTTTGGAAACATTCCTTTTGTAGAATCTGCAAGTTGATATTTGGATAGCTTTGAGGATTTCGTTGGAAACGGGAATATCTACATATAAAATCTAGACAGAAGCATTCTCAGAAACCTCTTTGTAATGCTTGCATTCAACTCATAGGTTTCAACATTCCCTATCATAGAGCAGGTTTGAAACACTCTTTTTGTAGTATGTGGAAGTGGACATTTGGAGCGCTTTGAGGCCTACGGTGAAAAAGGAAATATCTTCCCATAAAAACTAGACAGAAGCATTCTCAGAAACTTGTTTGTGACGTGTGTATTCAACTAACAGAGTTGAACCTTTCTTTTTACAGAGCAGCTTTGAAACACGCTTTTTGTGGAATCTGCAATTGGAAATTTCGATAGTTCTGAGGATTTCGTTGGAAACGGGATTACAAATAGAAAGTAGACAGCAGCATTCTCAGAAACTGCTTTGTGATGTTTGCATTCAAGTCACCTAGTTGAACATTCCCTTTCATAGAGCAGGTTTGAATCCCTGTTTCTGTCGTATCTGGAAGTGGATATTTCGAGCGTTTTCAGGCCTAAGGTGAGAAAGGAAATGTCTTCAAATAAGAACTAGACAGAAGCATTCTCAGAAACTTATTTGTGATGTGTGTCCTCAACTAACAGAGATGAAACTTTGTTTTGACACAGCAGTTTAGAAACACTCTTTTTGTAGAATCTACAAGAGGATATTTTGAGAGCATTGAAAATTTCATTGGAAGCAGGAAAACCTTCATATAAAATCTAGACAGCAGCATTCTCAGAAACTTCTTTGTGATGTTTGCATTCAACTCATAGAGTTGAACATTTCCATTCATACAGCAGGTTTGAGACACTCTTTGTATAGCATGTGGAAATGGATATTTGGAGCGCTTTGAGGCCTATGGTGAAGAAGGAAATATCTTCCCAAAAAAACTAGACGAAAGCATTCTCGGAATCTTGTTTGCCATGTGTGTACTCAACTAACAGAGTTGAACCTATCTTTTGACAGAGCAGTTTTGAAACACTCTTTTTGTGGAATCTGCAAGTGGATATTTGGATAGCTTCGAGGATTTCGTTGGAAACGGGAATATCCTCATTTAAAATCTAGACGGAAGCATTCTCAGAACCTGCTTTGTGATGTTTGCATTCAACTCACAGAGCTGAACATTCCCGTTCATAGAGCAGGTTTGAAACACTCTTTCTGTACTATCTGGAAGTGGACATTTCGAGCGCTTTCAGGCCTATGGTGAAAAAGGAAACATCTTCAAATAAAAACTAGACAGAAGCATTCTCAGAAACTTATTTGTGATGTGTGTCCTCAACTCACAGAGTTCAACCTTTGTTTTGATACAGCAGTTTGGAAACAATCTTTATTTGGAGACCTTTGAAAATTTCGTTGGACACGGGAATATCTTCATATAAAATCTAGACAAAAGCATTCTCAGAATCTTCTTTGTGATGTTTGCATTCAACTCATAGAGTTGAACATTCCCTTTCATACAGCACGTTTGAAACACACTTTGTGGAGTATGTGGAAATGGACATTTCGAGCACTCTTAGGCCTAAGGTGAAAAGGGAAATATCTTCAAATAAAAACTAGTCAGCAGCATTCTCAGAAACCTCTTTGTGATGTGTGTACTCAACTAACAGAGTTGAACCTTCCTTTTCACAGAGCAGTTTGGAAACACTCTTTTTGTGGCATTTGCAAGTGGATATTTGGATAGATTTGAGGATTTCGTTGGAAACGGGAATATTTTCATATAAAATCTAGACAGAAGCATTCTCAGAATCTTCTTTGTGATGTATGCCCTCAATTCACAGAGTGGAACCTTTGTTTGGATACAGCATTTAGGAAACATTCCTTTTGTAGAATCTGCAAGTTGATATTTGGATAGCTTTGAGGATTTCGTTGGAAACGGGAATATCTACATATAAAATCTAGACAGAAGCATTCTCAGAAACCTCTTTGTAATGTTTGCATTCAACTCATAGGTTTCAACATTCCCTATCATAGAGCAGGTTTGAAACACTCCTTTTGTAGTATGTGGAAGTGGACATTTGGAGCGCTTTGAGGCCTACGGTGAAAAAGGAAATATCTTCCCATAAAAACTAGACAGAAGCATTCTCAGAAACTTGTTTGTGACGTGTGTATTCAACTAACAGAGTTGAACCTTTCTTTTTACAGAGCAGCTTTGAAACCCTGTTTCTGTGGAATCTGCAATTGGAAATTTCGATAGTTCTGAGGATTTCGTTGGAAACGGGATTACAAATAGAAAGTAGACAGCAGCATTCTCAGAAACTGCTTTGTGATGTTTGCATTCAAGTCACATAGTTGAACATTCCCTTTCATAGAGCAGGTTTGAATCACTGTTTCTGTAGTATCTGGAAGTGGGTATTTCGAGCGCTTTCAGGCCTAAGGTGAGAAAGGAAATGTCTTCAAATAAGAACTAGACAGAAGCATTCTCAGAAACTTATTTGTGATGTGTGTCCTCAACTAACAGAGATGAACCTTTGTTTTGATACAGCAGTCTGGAAACACTCTTTTTGTAGAATCTACAAGAGGATATTTTGAGAGCATTGAAAATTTCGTTGGAAGCGGGAAAACCTTCATATAAAATCTAGACAGCAGCATTCTCAGAAACTTCTTTGTGATGTTTGCATTCAACTCATAGAGTTGAACATTCCCATTCATACAGCAGGGTTGAGACACTCTTTGTATAGCATGTGGAAATGGATATTTGGAGCGCTTTGAGGCCTATGGTGAAGAAGGAAATATCTTCCCAAAAAAACTAGACGAAAGCATTCTCGGAATCTTGTTTGCCATGTGTGTACTCAACTAACAGAGTTGAACCTATCTTTTGACAGAGCAGTTTTGAAACACTCTTTTTGTGGAATCTGCAAGTGGATATTTGGATAGCTTCGAGGATTTCGTTGGAAACGGGAATATCCTCATTTAAAATCTAGACGGAAGCATTCTCAGAACCTGCTTTGTGATGTTTGCATTCAACTCACAGAGCTGAACATTCCCGTTCATAGAGCAGGTTTGAAACACTCTTTCTGTACTATGTGGAAGTGGACATTTCGAGCGCTTTCAGGCCTATGGTGAAAAAGGAAACATCTTCAAATAAAAACTAGACAGAAGCATTCTCAGAAACTTATTTGTGATGTGTGTCCTCAACTCACAGAGTTCAACCTTTGTTTTGATACAGCAGTTTGGAAACACTCTTTTTGTAGAATCTACAAATGGATATTTGGAGACCTTTGAAAATTTCGTTGGACACGGGAATATCTTCATATAAAATCTAGACAAAAGCATTCTCAGAATCTTCTTTGTGATGTTTGCATTCAACTCATAGAGTTGAACATTCCCTTTCATACAGCACGTTTGAAACACACTTTGTGGAGTATGTGGAAATGGACATTTCGAGCACTCTTAGGCCTAAGGTGAAAAGGGAAATATCTTCAAATAAAAACTAGTCAGCAGCATTCTCAGAAACCTCTTTGTGATGTGTGTACTCAACTAACAGAGTTGAACCTTCCTTTTCACAGAGCAGTTTGGAAACACTCTTTTTGTGGCATTTGCAAGTGGATATTTGGATAGCTTTGAGGATTTCGTTGGAAACGGGAATATTTTCATATAAAATCTAGACAGAAGCATTCTCAGAATCTTCTTTGTGATGTATGCCCTCAATTCACAGAGTTGAACCTTTGTTTGGATACAGCATTTTGGAAACATTCCTTTTGTAGAATCTGCAAGTTGATATTTGGATAGCTTTGAGGATTTCGTTGGAAACGGGAATATCTACATATAAAATCTAGACAGAAGCATTCTCAGAAACCTCTTTGTAATGCTTGCATTCAACTCATAGGTTTCAACATTCCCTATCATAGAGCAGGTTTGAAACACTCTTTTTGTAGTATGTGGAAGTGGACATTTGGAGCGCTTTGAGGCCTACGGTGAAAAAGGAAATATCTTCCCATAAAAACTAGACAGAAGCATTCTCAGAAACTTGTTTGTGACGTGTGTATTCAACTAACAGAGTTGAACCTTTCTTTTTACAGAGCAGCTTTGAAACCCTGTTTCTGTGGAATCTGCAATTGGAAATTTCGATAGTTCTGAGGATTTCGTTGGAAACGGGATTACAAATAGAAAGTAGACAGCAGCATTCTCAGAAACTGCTTTGTGATGTTTGCATTCAAGTCACCTAGTGGAACATTCCCTTTCATAGAGCAGGTTTGAATCACTGTTTCTGTAGTATCTGGAAGTGGGTATTTCGAGCGCTTTCAGGCCTAAGGTGAGAAAGGAAATGTCTTCAAATAAGAACTAGACAGAAGCATTCTCAGAAACTTATTTGTGATGTGTGTCCTCAACTAACAGAGATGAACCTTTGTTTTGATACAGCAGTTTGGAAACACTCTTTTTGTAGAATCTACAAGAGGATATTTTGAGAGCATTGAAAATTTCGTTGGAAGCGGGAAAACCTTCATATAAAATCTAGACAGCAGCATTCTCAGAAACTTCTTTGTGATGTTTGCATTCAACTCATAGAGTTGAACATTCCCATTCATACAGCAGGTTTGAGACACTCTTTGTATAGCATGTGGAAATGGATATTTGGAGCGCTTTGAGGCCTATGGTGAAGAAGGAAATATCTTCCCAAAAAAACTAGACGAAAGCATTCTCGGAATCTTGTTTGCCATGTGTGTACTCAACTAACAGAGTTGAACCTATCTTTTGACAGAGCAGTTTTGAAACACTCTTTTTGTGGAATCTGCAAGTGGATATTTGGATAGCTTCGAGGATTTCGTTGGAAACGGGAATATCCTCATTTAAAATCTAGACGGAAGCATTCTCAGAACCTGCTTTGTGATGTTTGCATTCAACTCACAGAGCTGAACATTCCCGTTCATAGAGCAGGTTTGAAACACTCTTTCTGTACTATCTGGAAGTGGACATTTCGAGCGCTTTCAGGCCTATGGTGAAAAAGGAAACATCTTCAAATAAAAACTAGACAGAAGCATTCTCAGAAACTTATTTGTGATGTGTGTCCTCAACTCACAGAGTTCAACCTTTGTTTTGATACAGCAGTTTGGAAACACTCTTTTTGTAGAATCTACAAATGGATATTTGGAGACCTTTGAAAATTTCGTTGGACACGGGAATATCTTCATATAAAATCTAGACAAAAGCATTCTCAGAATCTTCTTTGTGATGTTTGCATTCAACTCATAGAGTTGAACATTCCCTTTCATACAGCACGTTTGAAACACACTTTGTGGAGTATGTGGAAATGGACATTTCGAGCACTCTTAGGCCTAAGGTGAAAAGGGAAATATCTTCAAATAAAAACTAGTCAGCAGCATTCTCAGAAACCTCTTTGTGATGTGTGTACTCAACTAACAGAGTTGAACCTTCCTTTTCACAGAGCAGTTTGGAAACACTCTTTTTGTGGCATTTGCAAGTGGATATTTGGATAGCTTTGAGGATTTCGTTGGAAACGGGAATATTTTCATATAAAATTTAGACAGAAGCATTCTCAAAATCTTCTTTGTGATGTATGCCCTCAATTCACAGAGTTGAACCTTTGTTTGGATACAGCATTTTGGAAACATTCCTTTTGTAGAATCTGCAAGTTGATATTTGGATAGCTTTGAGGATTTCGTTGGAAACGGGAATATCTACATATAAAATCTAGACAGAAGCATTCTCAGAAACCTCTTTGTAATGCTTGCATTCAACTCATAGGTTTCAACATTCCCTATCATAGAGCAGGTTTGAAACACTCTTTTTGTAGTATGTGGAAGTGGACATTTGGAGCGCTTTGAGGCCTACGGTGAAAAAGGAAATATCTTCCCATAAAAACTAGACAGAAGCATTCTCAGAAACTTGTTTGTGACGTGTGTATTCAACTAACAGAGTTGAACCTTTCTTTTTACAGAGCAGCTTTGAAACACGCTTTTTGTGGAATCTGCAATTGGAAATTTCGATAGTTCTGAGGATTTCGTTGGAAACGGGATTACAAATAGAAAGTAGACAGCAGCATTCTCAGAAACTGCTTTGTGATGTTTGCATTCAAGTCACCTAGTTGAACATTCCCTTTCATAGAGCAGGTTTGAATCACTGTTTCTGTCGTATCTGGAAGTGGATATTTCGAGCGTTTTCAGGCCTAAGGTGAGAAAGGAAATGTCTTCAAATAAGAACTAGACAGAAGCATTCTCAGAAACTTATTTGTGATGTGTGTCCTCAACTAACAGAGTTGAACCTTTCTTTTGACACAGCAGTTTGGAAACACTCTTTTTGTAGAATCTACAAGTGGATATTTTGAGAGCATTGAAAATTTCGTTGGAAACGGGAAAACCTTCATATAAAATCTAGACAGAAGCATTCTCAGAAACTTCTTTGTAATGTTTGCATTCAACTCATAGAGTTGAACATTCCCTTTCATACAGCAGGTTTGAAACACTCTTTTTGTAGTATGTGGAAGTGGACATTTGGAGCGCTTTGAGGCCTACGGTGAAAAAGGAAATATCTTCCCATAAAAACTAGACAGAAGCATTCTCAGAAACTTGTTTGTGACGTGTGTATTCAACTAACAGAGTTGAACCTTTCTTTTTACAGAGCAGCTTTGAAACCCTGTTTCTGTGGAATCTGCAATTGGAAATTTCGATAGTTCTGAGGATTTCGTTGGAAACGGGATTACAAATAGAAAGTAGACAGCAGCATTCTCAGAAACTGCTTTGTGATGTTTGCATTCAAGTCACATAGGTGAACATTCCCTTTCATAGAGCAGGTTTGAATCACTGTTTCTGTAGTATCTGGAAGTGGGTATTTCGAGCGCTTTCAGGCCTAAGGTGAGAAAGGAAATGTCTTCAAATAAGAACTAGACAGAAGCATTCTCAGAAACTTATTTGTGATGTGTGTCCTCAACTAACAGAGATGAACCTTTGTTTTGATACAGCAGTTTGGAAACACTCTTTTTGTAGAATCTACAAGAGGATATTTTGAGAGCATTGAAAATTTCGTTGGAAGCGGGAAAACCTTCATATAAAATCTAGACAGCAGCATTCTCAGAAACTTCTTTGTGATGTTTGCATTCAACTCATAGAGTTGAACATTCCCATTCATACAGCAGGTTTGAGACACTCTTTGTATAGCATGTGGAAATGGATATTTGGAGCGCTTTGAGGCCTATGGTGAAGAAGGAAATATCTTCCCAAAAAAACTAGACGAAAGCATTCTCGGAATCTTGTTTGCCATGTGTGTACTCAACTAACAGAGTTGAACCTATCTTTTGACAGAGCAGTTTTGAAACACTCTTTTTGTGGAATCTGCAAGTGGATATTTGGATAGCTTCGAGGATTTCGTTGGAAACGGGAATATCCTCATTTAAAATCTAGACGGGAAGCATTCTCAGAACCTGCTTTGTGATGTTTGCATTCAACTCACAGAGCTGAACATTCCCGTTCATAGAGCAGGTTTGAAACACTCTTTCTGTACTATCTGGAAGTGGACATTTCGAGCGCTTTCAGGCCTATGGTGAAAAAGGAAACATCTTCAAATAAAAACTAGACAGAAGCATTCTCAGAAACTTATTTGTGATGTGTGTCCTCAACTCACAGAGTTCAACCTTTGTTTTGATACAGCAGTTTGGAAACACTCTTTTTGTAGAATCTACAAATGGATATTTGGAGACCTTTGAAAATTTCGTTGGACACGGGAATATCTTCATATAAAATCTAGACAAAAGCATTCTCAGAATCTTCTTTGTGATGTTTGCATTCAACTCATAGAGTTGAACATTCCCTTTCATACAGCACGTTTGAAACACACTTTGTGGAGTATGTGGAAATGGACATTTCGAGCACTCTTAGGCCTAAGGTGAAAAGGGAAATATCTTCAAATAAAAACTAGTCAGCAGCATTCTCAGAAACCTCTTTGTGATGTGTGTACTCAACTAACAGAGTTGAACCTTCCTTTTCACAGAGCAGTTTGGAAACACTCTTTTTGTGGCATTTGCAAGTGGATATTTGGATAGCTTTGAGGATTTCGTTGGAAACGGGAATATTTTCATATAAAATCTAGACAGAAGCATTCTCAGAATCTTCTTTGTGATGTATGCCCTCAATTCACAGAGTTGAACCTTTGTTTGGATACAGCATTTTGGAAACATTCCGTTTGTAGAATCTGCAAGTTGATATTTGGATAGCTTTGAGGATTTCGTTGGAAACGGGAATATCTACATATAAAATCTAGACAGAAGCATTCTCAGAAACCTCTTTGTAATGCTTGCATTCAACTCATAGGTTTCAACATTCCCTATCATAGATCAGGTTTGAAACACTCTTTTTGTAGTATGTGGAAGTGGACATTTGGAGCGCTTTGAGGCCTACGGTGAAAAAGGAAATATCTTCCCATAAAAACTAGACAGAAGCATTCTCAGAAACTTGTTTCTGCCGTGTATTCAACTAACAGAGTTGAACCTTTCTTTTTACAGAGCCGCTTTGAAACACTCTTTTTGTGGAATCTGCAATTGGAAATTTCGATAGTTCTGAGGATTTCGTTGGAAAGGGGATTACAAATAGAAAGTCGACAGCAGCATTCTCAGAAACTGCTTTGTGATGTTTGCATTCAAGTCACATAGTTGAACATTCCCTTTCATAGAGCAGGTTTGAATCACTGTCTCTGCAGTATCTAGAAGTGGATATTTCGAGCGCTTTCAGGCCTAAGGTGAGAAAGGAAATGTCTTCAAATAAGAACTAGACAGAAGCATTCTCAGAAACTTATTTGTGATGTGTGTCCTCAACTAACAGAGTTGAATCTTTGTTTTGATACAGCAGTTTGGAAACACTCTTTTTGTAGAATCTACAAGTGGATATTTTGAGAGCATTGAAAATTTCGTTGGAAGCGGGAAAACCTTCATATAAAATCTAGACAGAAGCATTCTAAGAAACTACTTTGTAATGTTTGCATTCAACTCATAGAGTTGAACATTCCGTTTCATACAGCAGGTTTGAAACACTCTTTTTGTAGTATGTGGAAATGGACATTTGGAGCCCTTTGAGGCCTACGGTGAAAAAGGAAATATCTTCCCATAAAAACTAGACAGAAGCATTCTCAGAAACTTGTTTGTGACGTGTGTATTCAACTAACAGAGTTGAACCTTTCTTTTTACAGGGCAGCTTTGAAACACTCTTTTTGTGGAATCTGCAATTGAAAATTTCGATAGTTCTGAGGATTTCATTGGAAACGGGATTACAAATAGAAAGTAGACAGCAGCATTCTCAGAAACTTATTTGTGATGTGTGTCCTCCAATAACAGAGTAGAACCGTTGGTTTGATACAGAAGTTTAGAAGAACTCTTTTTGTAGAACCTGCAAGTGGATATATGGATAGCTCCGAGGATTTCATTGGAAACGGGAATATCTTCGTATAAAATCAAGACAGAAGGATTCTCAGTAACTTCTTTGTGATGTTTGCATTCAACTCATAGATTTCAACATTCCCTATCATAGCGCAGGTTTGAAACTCTCCTTTTGTAGTATGTGGAAGTGGACATTTGGAGCGCTTTGAGGCCTACGGCGAAAAAGGAAATATCTTCCCATAAAAACTAGACAGAAGCATTCTCAGAAACTTGTTTGTGACGTGTGTATTCAACTAACAGAGTTGAACCTTTCTTTTTACAGAGCAGCTTTGAAACACTCTTTTTGTGGAATCTGCAAGTGGAAATTTCGATAGTTCTGAGGATTTCGTTGGAAACGGGATTACATATAAAAAGTACACAGCAGCATTCTCAGAAACTGCTTTGTGGTGTTTGCATTCAAGTCACATAGTTGAACATTCCCTTTCATAGAGCAGGTTTGAATCACTGTTTCTGTAGTATCTGGAAGTGGATATTTCGTGCGCTTTCAGGCCTAAGGTGAGAAAGGAAATGTTTTCAAATAAAAACTAGACAGACGCATTCTCAGAAACTTATTTGTGATGTGTGTCCTCAACTGAGTTGAACCTTTGTTTTGATACAGCAGTTTGGAAACACTATTTTTGTAGAATCTACAAGTGGATAATTGGAGAGCATTGAAAATTTCGTTGGAAGCGGGAAAACCTTCATATGAAATCTAGACAGAAGCATTCTCAGAAACTTCTTTGTCATGTTTGCATTCGACTCATAGAGTTGAACATTCCCTTTCATACAGCAGGTTTGAAACACTCTTTTTGTAGTATGTGGAAGTGGACATTTGGAGCGCTTTGAGGCCTACGGTGAAAAAGGAAATATCTTCCCATAAAAACTAGACAGAAGCATTCTCAGAAACTTGTTTGTGACGTGTGTATTCAACTAACAGAGTTGAACCTTTCTTTTTACAGAGCAGCTTTGAAACCCTGTTTCTGTGGAATCTGCAATTGGAAATTTCGATAGTTCTGAGGATTTCGTTGGAAACGGGATTACAAATAGAAAGTAGACAGCAGCATTCTCAGAAACTGCTTTGTGATGTTTGCATTCAAGTCACATAGTTGAACATTCCCTTTCATAGAGCAGGTTTGAATCACTGTTTCTGTAGTATCTGGAAGTGGGTATTTCGAGCACTTTCAGGCCTAAGGTGAGAAAGGAAATGTCTTCAAATAAGAACTAGACAGAAGCATTCTCAGAAACTTATTTGTGATGTGTGTCCTCAACTAACAGAGATGAACCTTTGTTTTGATACAGCAGTTTGGAAACACTCTTTTTGTAGAATCTACAAGAGGATATTTTGAGAGCATTGAAAATTTCGTTGGAAGAGGGAAAGCCTTCATATAAAATCTAGACAGCAGCATTCTCAGAAACTTCTTTGTGATGTTTGCATTCAACTCATAGAGTTGAACATTCCCATTCATACAGCAGGTTTGAGACACTCTTTGTATAGCATGTGGAAATGGATATTTGGAGCGCTTTGAGGCCTATGGTGAAGAAGGAAATATCTTCCCAAAAAAACTAGACGAAAGCATTCTCGGAATCTTGTTTGCCATGTGTGTACTCAACTAACAGAGTTGAACCTATCTTTTGACAGAGCAGTTTTGAAACACTCTTTTTGTGGAATCTGCAAGTGGATATTTGGATAGCTTCGAGGATTTCGTTGGAAACGGGAATATCCTCATTTAAAATCTAGACGGAAGCATTCTCAGAACCTGCTTTGTGATGTTTGCATTCAACTCACAGAGCTGAACATTCCCGTTCATAGAGCAGGTTTGAAACACTCTTTCTGTACTATCTGGAAGTGGACATTTCGAGCGCTTTCAGGCCTATGGTGAAAAAGGAAACATCTTCAAATAAAAACTAGACAGAAGCATTCTCAGAAACTTATTTGTGTTGTGTGTCCTCAACTCACAGAGTTCAACCTTTGTTTTGATACAGCAGTTTGGAAACACTCTTTTTGTAGAATCTACAAATGGATATTTGGAGACCTTTGAAAATTTCGTTGGACACGGGAATATCTTCATATAAAATCTAGACAAAAGCATTCTCAGAATCTTCTTTGTGATGTTTGCATTCAACTCATAGAGTTGAACATTCCCTTTCATACAGCACGTTTGAAACACACTTTGTGGAGTATGTGGAAATGGACATTTCGAGCACTCTTAGGCCTAAGGTGAAAAGGGAAATATCTTCAAATAAAAACTAGTCAGCAGCATTCTCAGAAACCTCTTTGTGATGTGTGTACTCAACTAACAGAGTTGAACCTTCCTTTTCACAGAGCAGTTTGGAAACACTCTTTTTGTGGCATTTGCAAGTGGATATTTGGATAGCTTTGAGGATTTCGTTGGAAACGGGAATATTTTCATATAAAATCTAGACAGGAAAGCATTCTCAGAATCTTCTTTGTGATGTATGCCCTCAATTCACAGAGTTGAACCTTTGTTTGGATACAGCATTTTGGAAACATTCCTTTTGTAGAATCTGCAAGTTGATATTTGGATAGCTTTGAGGATTTCATTGGAAACGGGAATATCTACATATAAAATCTAGACAGAAGCATTCTCAGAAACCTCTTTGTAATGCTTGCATTCAACTCATAGGTTTCAACATTCCCTATCATAGAGCAGGTTTGAAACACTCTTTTTGTAGTATGTGGAAGTGGACATTTGGAGCGCTTTGAGGCCTACCGTGAAAAAGGAAATATCTTCCCATAAAAACTAGACAGAAGCATTCTCAGAAACTTGTTTGTGACGTGTGTATTCAACTAACAGAGTTGAACCTTTCTTTTTACAGAGCAGCTTTGAAACACGCTTTTTGTGGAATCTGCAATTGGAAATTTCGATAGTTCTGAGGATTTCGTTGGAAACGGGATTACAAATAGAAAGTAGACAGCAGCATTCTCAGAAACTGCTTTGTGATGTTTGCATTCAAGTCACCTAGTTGAACATTCCCTTTCATAGAGCAGGTTTGAATCACTGTTTCTGTCGTATCTGGAAGTGGATATTTCGAGCGTTTTCAGGCCTAAGGTGAGAAAGGAAATGTCTTCAAATAAGAACTAGACAGAAGCATTCTCAGAAACTTATTTGTGATGTGTGTCCTCAACTAACAGAGTTGAACTTTTCTTTTGACACAGCAGTTTGGAAACACTCTTTTTGTAGAATCTACAAGTGGATATTTTGAGAGCATTGAAAATTTCGTTGGAAACGGGAAAACCTTCATATAAAATCTAGACAGAAGCATTCTCAGAAACTTCTTTGTAATGTTTGCATTCAACTCATAGAGTTGAACATTCCCTTTCATACAGCAGGTTTGAAACACTCTTTTTGTAGTATGTGGAAGTGGACACTTGGAGCGCTTTGAGGCCTACGGTGAAAAAGGAAATATCTTCCCATAAAAACTAGACAGAAGCATTCTCAGAAACTTGTTTGTGACGTGTGTATTCAACTAACAGAGTTGAACCTTTCTTTTTACAGAGCAGCTTTGAAACCCTGTTTCTGTGGAATCTGCAATTGGAAATTTCGATAGTTCTGAGGATTTCGTTGGAAACGGGATTACAAATAGAAAGTAGACAGCAGCATTCTCAGAAACTGCTTTGTGATGTTTGCATTCAAGTCACATAGTTGAACATTCCCTTTCATAGAGCAGGTTTGAATCACTGTTTCTGTAGTATCTGGAAGTGGGTATTTCGAGCGCTTTCAGGCCTAAGGTGAGAAAGGAAATGTCTTCAAATAAGAACTAGACAGAAGCATTCTCAGAAACTTATTTGTGATGTGTGTCCTCAACTAACAGAGATGAACCTTTGTTTTGATACAGCAGTTTGGAAACACTCTTTTTGTAGAATCTACAAGAGGATATTTTGAGAGCATTGAAAATTTCGTTGGAAGCGGGAAAACCTTCATATAAAATCTAGACAGCAGCATTCTCAGAAACTTCTTTGTGATGTTTGCATTCAACTCATAGAGTTGAACATTCCCATTCATACAGCAGGTTTGAGACACTCTTTGTATAGCATGTGGAAATGGATATTTGGAGCGCTTTGAGGCCTATGGTGAAGAAGGAAATATCTTCCCAAAAAAACTAGACGAAAGCATTCTCGCAATCTTGTTTGCCATGTGTGTACTCAACTAACAGAGTTGAACCTATCTTTTGACAGAGCAGTTTTGAAACACTCTTTTTGTGGAATCTGCAAGTGGATATTTGGATAGCTTCGAGGATTTCGTTGGAAACGGGAATATCCTCATTTAAAATACTAGACGGAGCATTCTCGGAACCTGCTTTGTGATGTTTGCATTCAACTCACAGAGCTGAACATTCCCGTTCATAGAGCAGGTTTGAAACACTCTTTCTGTACTATCTGGAAGTGGACATTTCGAGCGCTTTCAGGCCTATGGTGAAAAAGGAAACATCTTCAAATAAAAACTAGACAGAAGCATTCTCAGAAACTTATTTGTGATGTGTGTCCTCAACTCACAGAGTTCAACCTTTGTTTTGATACAGCAGTTTGGAAACACTCTTTTTGTAGAATCTACAAATGGATATTTGGAGACCTTTGAAAATTTCGTTGGACACGGGAATATCTTCATATAAAATCTAGACAAAAGCATTCTCAGAATCTTCTTTGTGATGTTTGCATTCAACTCATAGAGTTGAACATTCCCTTTCATACAGCACGTTTGAAACACACTTTGTGGAGTATGTGGAAATGGACATTTCGAGCACTCTTAGGCCTAAGGTGAAAAGGGAAATATCTTCAAATAAAAACTAGTCAGCAGCATTCTCAGAAACCTCTTTGTGATGTGTGTACTCAACTAACAGAGTTGAACCTTCCTTTTCACAGAGCAGTTTGGAAACACTCTTTTTGTGGCATTTGCAAGTGGATATTTGGATAGCTTTGAGGATTTCGTTGGAAACGGGAATATTTTCATATAAAATCTAGACAGAAGCATTCTCAGAATCTTCTTTGTGATGTATGCCCTCAATTCACAGAGTTGAACCTTTGTTTGGATACAGCATTTTGGAAACATTCCTTTTGCAGAATCTGCAAGTTGATATTTGGATAGCTTTGAGGATTTCGTTGGAAACGGGAATATCTACATATAAAATCTAGACAGAAGCATTCTCAGAAACCTCTTTGTAATGCTTGCATTCAACTCATAGGTTTCAACATTCCCTATCATAGAGCAGGTTTGAAACACTCTTTTTGTAGTATGTGGAAGTGGACATTTGGAGCGCTTTGAGGCCTACCGTGAAAAAGGAAATATCTTCCCATAAAAACTAGACAGAAGCATTCTCAGAACTTGTTTGTGACGTGTGTATTCAACTAACAGAGTTGAACCTTTCTTTTTACAGAGCAGCTTTGAAACCCTGTTTCTGTGGAATCTGCAATTGGAAATTTCGATAGTTCTGAGGATTTCGTTGGAAACGGGATTACAAATAGAAAGTAGACAGCAGCATTCTCAGAAACTGCTTTGTGATGTTTGCATTCAAGTCACATAGTTGAACATTCCCTTTCATAGAGCAGGTTTGAATCACTGTTTCTGTAGTATCTGGAAGTGGGTATTTCGAGCGCTTTCAGGCCTAAGGTGAGAAAGGAAATGTCTTCAAATAAGAACTAGACAGAAGCATTCTCAGAAACTTATTTGTGATGTGTGTCCTCAACTAACAGAGATGAACCTTTGTTTTGATACAGCAGTTTGGAAACACTCTTTTTGTAGAATCTACAAGAGGATATTTTGAGAGCATTGAAAATTTCGTTGGAAGCGGGAAAACCTTCATATAAAATCTAGACAGCAGCATTCTCAGAAACTTCTTTGTGATGTTTGCATTCAACTCATAGAGTTGAACATTCCCATTCATACAGCAGGTTTGAGACACTCTTTGTATAGCATGTGGAAATGGATATTTGGAGCGCTTTGAGGCCTATGGTGAAGAAGGAATTATCTTCCCAAAAAAACTAGACGAAAGCATTCTCGGAATCTTGTTTGCCATGTGTGTACTCAACTAACAGAGTTGAACGTATCCTTTGACAAAGCAGTTTTGAAACACTCTTTTTGTGGAATCTGCAAGTGGATATTTGGATAGCTTCGAGGATTTCGTTGGAAACGGGAATATCCTCATTTAAAATCTAGACGGAAGCATTCTCAGAACCTGCTTTGTGATGTTTGCATTCAACTCACAGAGCTGAACATTCCCGTTCATAGAGCAGGTTTGAAACACTCTTTCTGTACTATCTGGAAGTGGACATTTCGAGCGCTTTCAGGCCTATGGTGAAAAAGGAAACATCTTCAAATAAAAACTAGACAGGAAGCATTCTCAGAAACTTATTTGTGATGTGTGTCCTCAACTCACAGAGTTCAACCTTTGTTTTGATACAGCAGTTTGGAAACACTCTTTTTGTAGAATCTACAAATGGATATTTGGAGACCTTTGAAAATTTCGTTGGACACGGGAATATCTTCATATAAAATCTAGACAAAAGCATTCTCAGAATCTTCTTTGTGATGTTTGCATTCAACTCATAGAGTTGAACATTCCCTTTCATACAGCACGTTTGAAACACACTTTGTGGAGTATGTGGAAATGGACATTTCGAGCACTCTTAGGCCTAAGGTGAAAAGGGAAATATCTTCAAATAAAAACTAGTCAGCAGCATTCTCAGAAACCTCTTTGTGATGTGTGTACTCAACTAACAGAGTTGAACCTTCCTTTTCACAGAGCAGTTTGGAAACACTCTTTTTGTGGCATTTGCAAGTGGATATTTGGATAGCTTTGAGGATTTCGTTGGAAACGGGAATATTTTCATATAAAATCTAGACAGGAAGCATTCTCAGAATCTTCTTTGTGATGTATGCCCTCAATTCACAGAGTTGAACCTTTGTTTGGATACAGCATTTTGGAAACATTCCTTTTGTAGAATCTGCAAGTTGATATTTGGATAGCTTTGAGGATTTCGTTGGAAACGGGAATATCTACATATAAAATCTAGACAGAAGCATTCTCAGAAACCTCTTTGTAATGTTTGCATTCAACTCATAGGTTTCAACATTCCCTATCATAGAGCAGGTTTGAAACACTCTTTTTGTAGTATGTGGAAGTGGACATTTGGAGCGCTTTGAGGCCTACGGTGAAAAAGGAAATATCTTCCCATAAAAACTAGACAGAAGCATTCTCAGAAACTTGTTTGTGACGTGTGTATTCAACTAACAGAGTTGAACCTTTCTTTTTACACAGCAGCTTTGAAACACGCTTTTTGTGGAATCTGCAATTGGAAATTTCGATAGTTCTGAGGATTTCGTTGGAAACGGGATTACAAATAGAAAGTAGACAGCAGCATTCTCAGAAACTGCTTTGTGATGTTTGCATTCAAGTCACCTAGTTGAACATTCCCTTTCATAGAGCTGGTTTGAATCACTGTTTCTGTCGTATCTGGAAGTGGATATTTCGAGCGTTTTCAGGCCTAAGGTGAGAAAGGAAATGTCTTCAAATAAGAACTAGACAGAAGCATTCTCAGAAACTTATTTGTGATGTGTGTCCTCAACTAACAGAGTTGAACCTTTCTTTTGACACAGCAGTTTGGAAACACTCTTTTTGTAGAATCTACAAGTGGATATTTTGAGAGCATTGAAAATTTCGTTGGAAACGGGAAAACCTTCATATAAAATCTAGACAGAAGCATTCTCAGAAACTTCTTTGTAATGTTTGCATTCAACTCATAGAGTTGAACATTCCCTTTCATACAGCAGGTTTGAAACACTCTTTTTGTAGTATGTGGAAGTGGACATTTGGAGCGCTTTGAGGCCTATGGTGAAAAAGGAAATATCTTCCCATAAAAACTAGACAGAAGCATTCTCAGAAACTTGTTTGTGACGTGTGTATTCAACTAACAGAGTTGAACCTTTCTTTTTACAGAGCAGCTTTGAAACCCTGTTTCTGTGGAATCTGCAATTGGAAATTTCGATAGTTCTGAGGATTTCGTTGGAAACGGGATTACAAATTGAAAGTAGACAGCAGCATTCTCAGAAACTGCTTTGTGATGTTTGCATTCAAGTCACATAGTTGAACATTCCCTTTCATAGAGCAGGTTTGAATCACTGTTTCTGTAGTATCTGGAAGTGGGTATTTCGAGCGCTTTCAGGCCTAAGGTGAGAAAAGAAATGTCTTCAAATAAGAACTAGACAGAAGCATTCTCAGAAACTTATTTGTGATGTGTGTCCTCACCTAACAGAGATGAACCTTTGTTT
Source organism: Homo sapiens (assembly GCF_000001405.40). Taxonomy (NCBI): domain Eukaryota; kingdom Metazoa; phylum Chordata; class Mammalia; order Primates; family Hominidae; genus Homo; species Homo sapiens. The sequence continues at coordinate 18,920,200 of NC_000015.10, forward strand.
TGATACAGCAGTTTGGAAACACTCTTTTTGTAGAATCTACAAGAGGATATTTTGAGAGCATTGAAAATTTCGTTGGAAGCGGGAAAACCTTCATATAAAATCTAGACAGCAGCATTCTCAGAAACTTCTTTGTGATGTTTGCATTCAACTCATAGAGTTGAACATTCCCATTCATACAGCAGGTTTGAGACACTCTTTGTATAGCATGTGGAAATGGATATTTGGAGCGCTTTGAGGCCTATGGTGAAGAAGGAAATATCTTCCCAAAAAAACTAGACGAAAGCATTCTCGGAATCTTGTTTGCCATGTGTGTACTCAACTAACAGAGTTGAACCTATCTTTTGACAGAGCAGTTTTGAAACACTCTTTCTGTGGAATCTGCAAGTGGATATTTGGATAGCTTCGAGGATTTCGTTGGAAACGGGAATATCCTCATTTAAAATCTAGACGGAAGCATTCTCAGAACCTGCTTTGTGATGTTTGCATTCAACTCACAGAGCTGAACATTCCTGTTCATAGAGCAGGTTTGAAACACTCTTTCTGTACTATCTGGAAGTGGACATTTCGAGCGCTTTCAGGCCTATGGTGAAAAAGGAAACATCTTCAAATAAAAACTAGACAGAAGCATTCTCAGAAACTTATTTGTGATGTGTGTCCTCAACTCACAGAGTTCAACCTTTGTTTTGATACAGCAGTTTGGAAACACTCTTTTTGTAGAATCTGCAAATGGATATTTGGAGACCTTTGAAAATTTCGTTTGACACGGGAATATCTTCATATAAAATCTAGACAAAAGCATTCTCAGAATCTTCTTTGTGATGTTTGCATTCAACTCATAGAGTTGAACATTCCCTTTCATACAGCACGTTTGAAACACACTTTGTGGAGTATGTGGAAATGGACATTTCGAGCACTCTTAGGCCTAAGGTGAAAAGGGAAATATCTTCAAATAAAAACTAGTCAGCAGCATTCTCAGAAACCTCTTTGTGATGTGTGTACTCAACTAACAGAGTTGAACCTTCCTTTTCACAGAGCAGTTTGGAAACACTCTTTTTGTGGCATTTGCAAGTGGATATTTGGATAGCTTTGAGGATTTCGTTGGAAACGGGAATATTTTCATATAAAATCTAGACAGAAGCATTCTCAGAATCTTCTTTGTGATGTATGCCCTCAATTCACAGAGTTGAACCTTTGTTTGGATACAGCATTTTGGAAACATTCCTTTTGTAGAATCTGCAAGTTGATATTTGGATAGTTTGAGGATTTCGTTGGAAACGGGAATATCTACATATAAAATCTAGACAGAAGCATTCTCAGAAACCTCTTTGGAATGCTTGCATTCAACTCATAGGTTTCAACATTCCCTATCATAGAGCAGGTTTGAAACACTCTTTTTGTAGTATGTGGAAGTGGACATTTGGAGCGCTTTGAGGCCTACGGTGAAAAAGGAAATATCTTCCCATAAAAACTAGACAGAAGCATTCTCAGAAACTTGTTTGTGACGTGTGTATTCAACTAACAGAGTTGAACCTTTCTTTTTACAGAGCAGCTTTGAAACACGCTTTTTGTGGAATCTGCAATTGGAAATTTCGATAGTTCTGAGGATTTCGTTGGAAACGGGATTACAAATAGAAAGTAGACAGCAGCATTCTCAGAAACTGCTTTGTGATGTTTGCATTCAAGTCACCTAGTTGAACATTCCCTTTCAGAGAGCAGGTTTGAATCACTGTTTCTGTCGTATCTGGAAGTGGATATTTCGAGCGTTTTCAGGCCTAAGGTGAGAAAGGAAATGTCTTCAAATAAGAACTAGACAGAAGCATTCTCAGAAACTTATTTGTGATGTGTGTCCTCAACTAACAGAGTTGAACCTTTCTTTTGACACAGCAGTTTGGAAACACTCTTTTTGTAGAATCTACAAGTGGATATTTTGAGAGCATTGAAAATTTCGTTGGAAACGGGAAAACCTTCATATAAAATCTAGACAGAAGCATTCTCAGAAACTTCTTTGTAATGTTTGCATTCAACTCATAGAGTTGAACATTCCCTTTCATACAGCAGGTTTGAAACACTCTTTTTGTAGTATGTGGACGTGGACATTTGGAGCGCTTTGAGGCCTACGGTGAAAAAGGAAATATCTTCCCATAAAAACTAGACAGAAGCATTCTCAGAAACTTGTTTGTGACGTGTGTATTCAACTAACAGAGTTGAACCTTTCTTTTTACAGAGCAGCTTTGAAACCCTGTTTCTGTGGAATCTGCAATTGGAAATTTCGATAGTTCTGAGGATTTCGTTGGAAACGGGATTACAAATAGAAAGTAGACAGCAGCATTCTCAGAAACTGCTTTGTGATGTTTGCATTCAAGTCACCTAGTTGAACATTCCCTTTCATAGAGCAGGTTTGAATCACTGTTTCTGTAGTATCTGGAAGTGGGTATTTCGAGCGCTTTCAGGCCTAAGGTGAGAAAGGAAATGTCTTCAAATAAGAACTAGACAGAAGCATTCTCAGAAACTTATTTGTGATGTGTGTCCTCAACTAACAGAGATGAACCTTTGTTTTGATACAGCAGTTTGGAAACACTCTTTTTGTAGAATCTACAAGAGGATATTTTGAGAGCGTTGAAAATTTCGTTGGAAGCGGGAAAACCTTCATATAAAATCTAGACAGCAGCATTCTCAGAAACTTCTTTGTGATGTTTGCATTCAACTCATAGAGTTGAACATTCCCATTCATACAGCAGGTTTGAGACACTCTTTGTATAGCATGTGGAAATGGATATTTGGAGCGCTTTGAGGCCTATGGTGAAGAAGGAAATATCTTCCCAAAAAAACTAGACGAAAGCATTCTCGGAATCTTGTTTGCCATGTGTGTACTCAACTAACAGAGTTGAACCTATCTTTTGACAGAGCAGTTTTGAAACACTCTTTTTGTGGAATCTGCAAGTGGATATTTGGATAGCTTCGAGGATTTCGTTGGAAACGGGAATATCCTCATTTAAAATCTAGACGGAAGCATTCTCAGAACCTGCTTTGTGATGTTTGCATTCAACTCACAGAGCTGAACATTCCCGTTCATAGAGCAGGTTTGAAACACTCTTTCTGTACTATCTGGAAGTGGACATTTCGAGCGCTTTCAGGCCTATGGTGAAAAAGGAAACATCTTCAAATAAAAACTAGACAGAAGCATTCTCAGAAACTTATTTGTGATGTGTGTCCTCAACTCACAGAGTTCAACCTTTGTTTTGATACAGCAGTTTGGAAACACTCTTTTTGTAGAATCTACAAATGGATATTTGGAGACCTTTGAAAATTTCGTTGGACACGGGAATATCTTCATATAAAATCTAGACAAAAGCATTCTCAGAATCTTCTTTGTGATGTTTGCATTCAACTCATAGAGTTGAACATTCCCTTTCATACAGCACGTTTGAAACACACTTTGTGGAGTATGTGGAAATGGACATTTCGAGCACTCTTAGGCCTAAGGTGAAAAGGGAAATATCTTCAAATAAAAACTAGTCAGCAGCATTCTCAGAAACCTCTTTGTGATGTGTGTACTCAACTAACAGAGTTGAACCTTCCTTTTCACAGAGCAGTTTGGAAACACTCTTTTTGTGGCATTTGCAAGTGGATATTTGGATAGCTTTGAGGATTTCGTTGGAAACGGGAATATTTTCATATAAAATCTAGACAGAAGCATTCTCAGAATCTTCTTTGTGATGTATGCCCTCAATTCACAGAGTTGAACCTTTGTTTGGATACAGCATTTTGGAAACATTCCTTTTGCAGAATCTGCAAGCTGATATTTGGATAGCTTTGAGGATTTCGTTGGAAACGGGAATATCTACATATAAAATCTAGACAGAAGCATTCTCAGAAACCTCTTTGTAATGCTTGCATTCAACTCATAGGTTTCAACATTCCCTATCATAGAGCAGGTTTGAAACACTCTTTTTGTAGTATGTGGAAGTGGACATTTGGAGCGCTTTGAGGCCTACGGTGAAAAAGGAAATATCTTCCCATAAAAACTAGACAGAAGCATTCTCAGAAACTTGTTTGTGACGTGTGTATTCAACTAACAGAGTTGAACCTTTCTTTTTACAGAGCAGCTTTGAAACACGCTTTTTGTGGAATCTGCAATTGGAAATTTCGATAGTTCTGAGGATTTCGTTGGAAACGGGATTACAAATAGAAAGTAGACAGCAGCATTCTCAAAAACTGCTTTGTGATGTTTGCATTCAAGTCACCTAGTTGAACATTCTCTTTCATAGAGCAGGTTTGAATCACTGTTTCTGTCGTATCTGGAAGTGGATATTTCGAGCGTTTTCAGGCCTAAGGTGAGAAAGGAAATGTCTTCAAATAAGAACTAGACAGAAGCATTCTCAGAAACTTATTTGTGATGTGTGTCCTCAACTAACAGAGTTGAACCTTTCTTTTGACACAGCAGTTTGGAAACACTCTTTTTGTAGAATCTACAAGTGGATATTTTGAGAGCATTGAAAATTTCGTTGGAAACGGGAAAACCTTCATATAAAATCTAGACAGAAGCATTCTCAGAAACTTCTTTGTGATGTTTGCATTCGACTCATAGAGTTGAACATTCCCTTTCATACAGCAGGTTTGAAACACTCTTTTTGTAGTATGTGGAAGTGGACATTTGGAGCGCTTTGAGGCCTACGGTGAAAAAGGAAATATCTTCCCATAAAAACTAGACAGAAGCATTCTCAGAAACTTGTTTGTGACGTGTGTATTCAACTAACAGAGTTGAACCTTTCTTTTTACAGAGCAGCTTTGAAACCCTGTTTCTGTGGAATCTGCAATTGGAAATTTCGATAGTTCTGAGGATTTCGTTGGAAACGGGATTACAAATAGAAAGTAGACAGCAGTATTCTCAGAAACTGCTTTGTGATGTTTGCATTCAAGTCACCTAGTTGAACATTCCCTTTCATAGAGCAGGTTTGAATCACTGTTTCTGTAGTATCTGGAAGTGGGTATTTCGAGCGCTTTCAGGCCTAAGGTGAGAAAGGAAATGTCTTCAAATAAGAACTAGACAGAAGCATTCTCAGAAACTTATTTGTGATGTGTGTCCTCAACTAACAGAGATGAACCTTTGTTTTGATACAGCAGTTTGGAAACACTCTTTTTGTAGAATCTACAAGAGGATATTTTGAGAGCATTGAAAATTTCGTTGGAAGCGGGAAAACCTTCATATAAAATCTAGACAGCAGCATTCTCAGAAACTTCTTTGTGATGTTTGCATTCAACTCATAGAGTTGAACATTCCCATTCATACAGCAGGTTTGAGACACTCTTTGTATAGCATGTGGAAATGGATATTTGGAGCGCTTTGAGGCCTATGGTGAAGAAGGAAATATCTTCCCAAAAAAACTAGACGAAAGCATTCTCGGAATCTTGTTTGCCATGTGTGTACTCAACTAACAGAGTTGAACCTATCTTTTGAGAGAGCAGTTTTGAAACACTCTTTCTGTGGAATCTGCAAGTGGATATTTGGATAGCTTCGAGGATTTCGTTGGAAACGGGAATATCCTCATTTAAAATCTAGACGGAAGCATTCTCAGAACCTGCTTTGTGATGTTTGCATTCAACTCACGGAGCTGAACATTCCCGTTCATAGAGCAGGTTTGAAACACTCTTTCTGTACTATCTGGAAGTGGACATTTCGAGCGCTTTCAGGCCTATGGTGAAAAAGGAAACATCTTCAAATAAAAACTAGACAGAAGCATTCTCAGAAACTTATTTGTGATGTGTGTCCTCAGCTCACAGAGTTCAACCTTTGTTTTGATACAGCAGTTTGGAAACACTCTTTTTGTAGAATCTACAAATGGATATTTGGAGACCTTTGAAAATTTCGTTGGACACGGGAATATCTTCATATAAAATCTAGACAAAAGCATTCTCAGAATCTTCTTTGTGATGTTTGCATTCAACTCATAGAGTTGAACATTCCCTTTCATACAGCACGTTTGAAACACACTTTGTGGAGTATGTGGAAATGGACATTTCGAGCACTCTTAGGCCTAAGGTGAAAAGGGAAATATCTTCAAATAAAAACTAGTCAGCAGCATTCTCAGAAACCTCTTTGTGATGTGTGTACTCAACTAACAGAGTTGAACCTTCCTTTTCACAGAGCAGTTTGGAAACACTCTTTTTGTGGCATTTGCAAGTGGATATTTGGATAGCTTTGAGGATTTCGTTGGAAGCGGGAATATTTTCATATAAAATCTAGACAGAAGCATTCTCACAATCTTCTTTGTGATGTATGCCCTCAATTCACAGAGTTGAACCTTTGTTTGGATACAGCATTTTGGAAACATTCCTTTTGTAGAATCTGCAAGTTGATATTTGGATAGCTTTGAGGATTTCGTTGGAAACGGGAATATCTACATATAAAATCTAGACAGAAGCATTCTCAGAAACCTCTTTGTAATGTTTGCATTCAACTCATAGGTTTCAACATTCCCTATCATAGAGCAGGTTTGAAACACTCTTTTTGTAGTATGTGGAAGTGGACATTTGGAGCGCTTTGAGGCCTACGGTGAAAAAGGAAATATCTTCCCATAAAAACTAGACAGAAGCATTCTCAGAAACTTGTTTGTGACGTGTGTATTCAACTAACAGAGTTGAACCTTTCTTTTTACAGAGCAGCTTTGAAACACGCTTTTTGTGGAATCTGCAATTGGAAATTTCGATAGTTCTGAGGATTTCGTTGGAAACGGGATTACAAATAGAAAGTAGACAGCAGCATTCTCAGAAACTGCTTTGTGATGTTTGCATTCAAGTCACCTAGTTGAACATTCCCTTTCATAGAGCAGGTTTGAATCACTGTTTCTGTCGTATCTGGAAGTGGATATTTCGAGCGTTTTCAGGCCTAAGGTGAGAAAGGAAATGTCTTCAAATAAGAACTAGACAGAAGCATTCTCAGAAACTTATTTGTGATGTGTGTCCTCAACTAACAGAGATGAACCTTTGTTTTGATACAGCAGTTTGGAAACACTCTTTTTGTAGAATCTACAAGAGGATATTTTGAGAGCATTGAAAATTTCGTTGGAAGCGGGAAAACCTTCATATAAAATCTAGACAGCAGCATTCTCAGAAACTTCTTTGTGATGTTTGCATTCAACTCATAGAGTTGAACATTCCCATTCATACAGCAGGTTTGAGACACTCTTTGTATAGCATGTGGAAATGGATATTTGGAGCGCTTTGAGGCCTATGGTGAAGAAGGAAATATCTTCCCAAAAAAACTAGACGAAAGCATTCTCGGAATCTTGTTTGCCATGTGTGTACTCAACTAACAGAGTTGAACCTATCTTTTGACAGAGCAGTTTTGAAACACTCTTTTTGTGGAATCTGCAAGTGGATATTTGGATAGCTTCGAGGATTTCGTTGGAAACGGGAATATCCTCATTTAAAATCTAGACGGAAGCATTCTCAGAACCTGCTTTGTGATGTTTGCATTCAACTCACAGAGCTGAACATTCCCGTTCATAGAGCAGGTTTGAAACACTCTTTCTGTACTATCTGGAAGTGGACATTTCGAGCGCTTTCAGGCCTATGGTGAAAAAGGAAACATCTTCAAATAAAAACTAGACAGAAGCATTCTCAGAAACTTATTTGTGATGTGTGTCCTCAACTCACAGAGTTCAACCTTTGTTTTGATACAGCAGTTTGGAAACACTCTTTTTGTAGAATCTACAAATGGATATTTGGAGACCTTTGAAAATTTCGTTGGACACGGGAATATCTTCATATAAAATCTAGACAAAAGCATTCTCAGAATCTTCTTTGTGATGTTTGCATTCAACTCATAGAGTTGAACATTACCTTTCATACAGCACGTTTGAAACACACTTTGTGGAGTATGTGGAAATGGACATTTCGAGCACTCTTAGGCCTAAGGTGAAAAGGGAAATATCTTCAAATAAAAACTAGTCAGCAGCATTCTCAGAAACCTCTTTGTGATGTGTGTACTCAACTAACAGAGTTGAACCTTCCTTTTCACAGAGCAGTTTGGAAACACTCTTTTTGTGGCATTTGCAAGTGGATATTTGGATAGCTTTGAGGATTTCGTTGGAAACGGGAATATTTTCATATAAAATCTAGACAGAAGCATTCTCAGACTCTTCTTTGTGATGTATGCCCTCAATTCACAGAGTTGAACCTTTGTTTGGATACAGCATTTTGGAAACATTCCTTTTGTAGAATCTGCAAGTTGATATTTGGATAGCTTTGAGGATTTCGTTGGAAACGGGAATATCTACATATAAAATCTAGACAGAAGCATTCTCAGAAACCTCTTTGTAATGTTTGCATTCAACTCATAGGTTTCAACATTCCCTATCATAGAGCAGGTTTGAAACACTCTTTTTGTAGTATGTGGAAGTGGACATTTGGAGCGCTTTGAGGCCTACGGTGAAAAAGGAAATATCTTCCCATAAAAACTAGACAGAAGCATTCTCAGAAACTTGTTTGTGACGTGTGTATTCAACTAACAGAGTTGAACCTTTCTTTTTACAGAGCAGCTTTGAAACACGCTTTTTGTGGAATCTGCAATTGGAAATTTCGATAGTTCTGAGGATTTCGTTGGAAACGGGATTACAAATAGAAAGTAGACAGCAGCATTCTCAGAAACTGCTTTGTGATGTTTGCATTCAAGTCACCTAGTAGAACATTCCCTTTCATAGAGCAGGTTTGAATCACTGTTTCTGTCGTATCTGGAAGTGGATATTTCGAGCGTTTTCAGGCCTAAGGTGAGAAAGGAAATGTCTTCAAATAAGAACTAGACAGAAGCATTCTCAGAAACTTATTTGTGATGTGTGTCCTCAACTAACAGAGTTGAACCTTTCTTTTGACACAGCAGTTTGGAAACACTCTTTTTGTAGAATCTACAAGAGGATATTTTGAGAGCATTGAAAATTTCGTTGGAAACGGGAAAACCTTCATATAAAATCTAGACAGAAGCATTCTCAGAAACTTCTTTGTAATGTTTGCATTCAACTCATAGAGTTGAACATTCCCTTTCATACAGCAGGTTTGAAACACTCTTTTTGTAGTATGTGGAAGTGGACATTTGGAGCGCTTTGAGGCCTACGGTGAAAAAGGAAATATCTTCCCATAAAAACTAGACAGAAGCATTCTCAGAAACTTGTTTGTGACGTGTGTATTCAACTAACAGAGTTGAACCTTTCTTTTTACAGAGCAGCTTTGAAACCCTGTTTCTGTGGAATCTGCAATTGGAAATTTCGATAGTTCTGAGGATTTCGTTGGAAACGGGATTACAAATAGAAAGTAGACAGCAGCATTCTCAGAAACTGCTTTGTGATGTTTGCATTCAAGTCACATATTTGAACATTCCCTTTCATAGAGCAGGTTTGAATCACTGTTTCTGTAGTATCTGGAAGTGGGTATTTCGAGCGCTTTCAGGCCTAAGGTGAGAAAGGAAATGTCTTCAAATAAGAACTAGACAGAAGCATTCTCAGAAACTTATTTGTGATGTGTGTCCTCAACTAACAGAGTTGAACCTTTGTTTTGACACAGCAGTTTGGAAACACTCTTTTTGTAGAATCTACAAGAGGATATTTTGAGAGCATTGAAAATTTCGTTGGAAGCAGGAAAACCTTCATATAAAATCTAGACAGAAGCATTCTCAGAAACTTCTTTGTAATGTTTGCATTCAACTCATAGAGTTGAACATTCCCTTTCATACAGCAGGTTTGAAACACTCTTTTTGTAGTATGTGGAAGTGGACATTTGGAGCGCTTTGAGGCCTACGGTGAAAAAGGAAATATCTTCCCATAAAAACTAGACAGAAGCATTCTCAGAAACTTGTTTGTGACGTGTGTATTCAACTAACAGAGTTGAACCTTTCTTTTTACAGAGCAGCTTTGAAACCCTGTTTCTGTGGAATCTGCAATTGGAAATTTCGATAGTTCTGAGGATTTCGTTGCAAACGGGATTACAAATAGAAAGTAGACAGCAGCATTCTCAGAAACTGCTTTGTGATGTTTGCATTCAAGTCACCTAGTTGAACATTCCCTTTCATAGAGCAGGTTTGAATCACTGTTTCTGTAGTATCTGGAAGTGGGTATTTCGAGCGCTTTCAGGCCTAAGGTGAGAAAGGAAATGTCTTCAAATAAGAACTAGACAGAAGCATTCTCAGAAACTTATTTGTGATGTGTGTCCTCAACTAACAGAGATGAACCTTTGTTTTGATACAGCAGTTTGGAAACACTCTTTTTGTAGAATCTACAAGAGGATATTTTGAGAGCATTGAAAATTTCGTTGGAAGCGGGAAAACCTTCATATAAAATCTAGACAGCAGCATTCTCAGAAACTTCTTTGTGATGTTTGCATTCAACTCATAGAGTTGAACATTCCCATTCATACAGCAGGTTTGAGACACTCTTTGTATAGCATGTGGAAATGGATATTTGGAGCGCTTTGAGGCCTATGGTGAAGAAGGAAATATCTTCCCAAAAAAACTAGACGAAAGCATTCTCGGAATCTTGTTTGCCATGTGTGTACTCAACTAACAGAGTTGAACCTATCTTTTGACAGAGCAGTTTTGAAACACTCTTTTTGTGGAATCTGCAAGTGGATATTTGGATAGCTTCGAGGATTTCGTTGGAAACGGGAATATCCTCATTTAAAATCTAGACGGAAGCATTCTCAGAACCTGCTTTGTGATGTTTGCATTCAACTCACAGAGCTGAACATTCCCGTTCATAGAGCAGGTTTGAAACACTCTTTCTGCACTATCTGGAAGTGGACATTTCGAGCGCTTTCAGGCCTATGGTGAAAAAGGAAACATCTTCAAATAAAAACTAGACAGAAGCATTCTCAGAAACTTATTTGTGATGTGTGTCCTCAACTCACAGAGTTCAACCTTTGTTTTGATACAGCAGTTTGGAAACACTCTTTTTGTAGAATCTACAAATGGATATTTGGAGACCTTTGAAAATTTCGTTGGACACGGGAATATCTTCATATAAAATCTAGACAAAAGCATTCTCAGAATCTTCTTTGTGATGTTTGCATTCAACTCATAGAGTTGAACATTCCCTTTCATACAGCACGTTTGAAACACACTTTGTGGAGTATGTGGAAATGGACATTTCGAGCACTCTTAGGCCTAAGGTGAAAAGGGAAATATCTTCAAATAAAAACTAGTCAGCAGCATTCTCAGAAACCTCTTTGTGATGTGTGTACTCAACTAACAGAGTTGAACCTTCCTTTTCACAGAGCAGTTTGGAAACACTCTTTTTGTGGCATTTGCAAGTGGATATTTGGATAGCTTTGAGGATTTCGTTGGAAACGGGAATATTTTCATATAAAATCTAGACAGAAGCATTCTCAGAATCTTCTTTGTGATGTATTCCCTCAATTCACAGAGTTGAACCTTTGTTTGGATACAGCATTTTGGAAACATTCCTTTTGTAGAATCTGCAAGTTGATATTTGGATAGCTTTGAGGATTTCGTTGGAAACGGGAATATCTACATATAAAATCTAGACAGAAGCATTCTCAGAAACCTCTTTGTAATGTTTGCATTCAACTCATAGGTTTCAACATTCCCTATCATAGAGCAGGTTTGAAACACTCTTTTTGTAGTATGTGGAAGTGGACATTTGGAGCGCTTTGAGGCCTACGGTGAAAAAGGAAATATCTTCCCATAAAAACTAGACAGAAGCATTCTCAGAAACTTGTTTGTGACGTGTGTATTCAACTAACAGAGTTGAACCTTTCTTTTTACAGAGCAGCTTTGAAACACGCTTTTTGTGGAATCTGCAATTGGAAATTTCTATAGTTCTGAGGATTTCGTTGGAAACGGGATTACAAATAGAAAGTAGACAGCAGCATTCTCAGAAACTGCTTTGTGATGTTTGCATTCAAGTCACCTAGTTGAACATTCCCTTTCATAGAGCAGGTTTGAATCACTGTTTCTGTCGTATCTGGAAGTGGATATTTCGAGCGTTTTCAGGCCTAAGGTGAGAAAGGAAATGTCTTCAAATAAGAACTAGACAGAAGCATTCTCAGAAACTTATTTGTGATGTGTGTCCTCAACTAACAGAGTTGAACCTTTCTTTTGACACAGCAGTTTGGAAACACTCTTTTTGTAGAATCTACAAGTGGATATTTTGAGAGCATTGAAAATTTCGTTGGAAACGGGAAAACCTTCATATAAAATCTAGACAGAAGCATTCTCAGAAACTTCTTTGTAATGTTTGCATTCAACTCATAGAGTTGAACATTCCCTTTCATACAGCAGGTTTGAAACACTCTTTTTGTAGTATGTGGAAGCGGACATTTGGAGCGCTTTGAGGCCTACGGTGAAAAAGGAAATATCTTCCCATAAAAACTAGACAGAAGCAATCTCAGAAACTTGTTTGTGACGTGTGTATTCAACTAACAGAGTTGAACCTATCTTTTGACAGAGCAGTTTTGAAACACTCTTTTTGTGGAATCTGCAAGTGGATATTTGGATAGCTTCGAGGATTTCTTTGGAAACGGGAATATCCTCATTTAAAATCTAGACGGAAGCATTCTCAGAACCTGCTTTGTGATGTTTGCATTCAACTCACAGAGCTGAACATTCCCGTTCATAGAGCAGGTTTGAAACACTCTTTCTGTACTATCTGGAAGTGGACATTTCGAGCGCTTTCAGGCCTATGGTGAAAAAGGAAACATCTTCAAATAAAAACTAGACAGAAGCATTCTCAGAAACTTATTTGTGATGTGTGTCCTCAACTCACAGAGTTCAACCTTTGTTTTGATACAGCAGTTTGGAAACACTCTTTTTGTAGAATCTACAAATGGATATTTGGAGACCTTTGAAAATTTCGTTGGACACGGGAATATCTTCATATAAAATCTAGACAAAAGCATTCTCAGAATCTTCTTTGTGATGTTTGCATTCAACTCATAGAGTTGAACATTCCCTTTCATACAGCACGTTTGAAACACACTTTGTGGAGTATGTGGAAATGGACATTTCGAGCACTCTTAGGCCTAAGGTGAAAAGGGAAATATCTTCAAATAAAAACTAGTCAGCAGCATTCTCAGAAACCTCTTTGTGATGTGTGTACTCAACTAACAGAGTTGAACCTTCCTTTTCACAGAGCAGTTTGGAAACACTCTTTTTGTGGCATTTGCAAGTGGATATTTGGATAGCTTTGAGGATTTCGTTGGAAACGGGAATATTTTCATATAAAATCTAGACAGAAGCATTCTCAGAATCTTCTTTGTGATGTATGCCCTCAATTCACAGAGTTGAACCTTTGTTTGGATACAGCATTTTGGAAACATTCCTTTTGTAGAATCTGCAAGTTGATATTTGGATAGCTTTGAGGATTTCGTTGGAAACGGGAATATCTACATATAAAATCTAGACAGAAGCATTCTCAGAAACCTCTTTGTAATGCTTGCATTCAACTCATAGGTTTCAACATTCCCTATCATAGAGCAGGTTTGAAACACTCTTTTTGTAGTATGTGGAAGTGGACATTTGGAGCACTTTGAGGCCTACGGTGAAAAAGGAAATATCTTCCCATAAAAACTAGACAGAAGCATTCTCAGAAACTTGTTTGTGACGTGTGTATTCAACTAACAGAGTTGAACCTTTCTTTTTACAGAGCAGCTTTGAAACACGCTTTTTGTGGAATCTGCAATTGGAAATTTCGATAGTTCTGAGGATTTCGTTGGAAACGGGATTACAAATAGAAAGTAGACAGCAGCATTCTCAGAAACTGCTTTGTGATGTTTGCATTCAAGTCACCTAGTTGAACATTCCCTTTCATAGAGCAGGTTTGAATCACTGTTTCTGTCGTATCTGGAAGTGGATATTTCGAGCGTTTTCAGGCCTAAGGTGAGAAAGGAAATGTCTTCAAATAAGAACTAGACAGAAGCATTCTCAGAAACTTATTTGTGATGTGTGTCCTCAACTAACAGAGTTGAACCTTTCTTTTGACACAGCAGTTTGGAAACACTCTTTTTGTAGAATCTACAAGTGGATATTTTGAGAGCATTGAAAATTTCGTTGGAAACGGGAAAACCTTCATATAAAATCTAGACAGAAGCATTCTCAGAAACTTCTTTGTAATGTTTGCATTCAACTCACAGAGTTGAACATTCCCTTTCATACAGCAGGTTTGAAACACTCTTTTTCTAGTATGTGGAAGTGGACATTTGGAGCGCTTTGAGGCCTACGGTGAAAAAGGAAATATCTTCCCATAAAAACTAGACAGAAGCATTCTCAGAAACTTGTTTGTGACGTGTGTATTCAACTAACAGAGTTGAACCTTTCTTTTTACAGAGCAGCTTTGAAACCCTGTTTCTGTGGAATCTGCAATTGGAAATTTCGATAGTTCTGAGGATTTCGTTGCAAACGGGATTACAAATAGAAAGTAGACAGCAGCATTCTCAGAAACTGCTTTGTGATGTTTGCATTCAAGTCACCTAGTTGAACATTCCCTTTCATAGAGCAGGTTTGAATCACTGTTTCTGTCGTATCTGGAAGTGGATATTTCGAGCGTTTTCAGGCCTAAGGTGAGAAAGGAAATGTCTTCAAATAAGAACTAGACAGAAGCATTCTCAGAAACTTATTTGTGATGTGTGTCTTCAACTAACAGAGTTGAACCTTTCTTTTGACACAGCAGTTTGGAAACACTCTTTTTGTAGAATCTACAAGTGGATATTTTGAGAGCATTGAAAATTTCGTTGGAAACGGGAAAACCTTCATATAAAATCTAGACAGAAGCATTCTCAGAAACCTCTTTGTAATGCTTGCATTCAACTCATAGGTTTCAACATTCCCTATCATAGAGCAGGTTTGAAACACTCTTTTTGTAATATGTGGAAGTGGACATTTGGAGCGCTTTGAGGCCTACGGTGAAAAAGGAAATATCTTCCCATAAAAACTAGACAGAAGCATTCTCAGAAACTTGTTTGTGACGTGTGTATTCAACTAACAGAGTTGAACCTTTCTTTTTACAGAGCAGCTTTGAAACCCTGTTTCTGTGGAATCTGCAATTGGAAATTTCGATAGTTCTGAGGATTTCGTTGGAAACGGGATTACAAATAGAAAGTAGACAGCAGCATTCTCAGAAACTGCTTTGTGATGTTTGCATTCAAGTCACCTAGTTGAACATTCCCTTTCATAGAGCAGGTTTGAATCACTGTTTCTGTAGTATCTGGAAGTGGGTATTTCGAGCGCTTTCAGGCCTAAGGTGAGAAAGGAAATGTCTTCAAATAAGAACTAGACAGAAGCATTCTCAGAAACTTATTTGTGATGTGTGTCCTCAACTAACAGAGATGAACCTTTGTTTTGATACAGCAGTTTGGAAACACTCTTTTTGTAGAATCTACAAGAGGATATTTTGAGAGCATCGAAAATTTCGTTGGAAGCGGGAAAACCTTCATATAAAATCTAGACAGCAGCATTCTCAGAAACTTCTTTGTGATGTTTGCATTCAACTCATAGAGTTGAACATTCCCATTCATACAGCAGGTTTGAGACACTCTTTGTATAGCATGTGGAAATGGATATTTGGAGCGCTTTGAGGCCTATGGTGAAGAAGGAAATATCTTCCCCAAAAAACTAGTCGAAAGCATTCTCGGAATCTTGTTTGCCATGTGTGTACTCAACTAACAGAGTTGAACCTATCTTTTGACAGAGCAGTTTTGAAACACTCTTTTTGTGGAATCTGCAAGTGGATATTTGGATAGCTTCGAGGATTTCGTTGGAAACGGGAATATCCTCATTTAAAATCTAGACGGAAGCATTCTCAGAACCTGCTTTGTGATGTTTGCATTCAACTCACAGAGCTGAACATTCCCGTTCATAGAGCAGGTTTGAAACACTCTTTCTGTACTATCTGGAAGTGGACATTTCGAGCGCTTTCAGGCCTATGGTGAAAAAGGAAACATCTTCAAATAAAAACTAGACAGAAGCATTCTCAGAAACTTATTTGTGATGTGTGTCCTCAACTCACAGAGTTCAACCTTTGTTTTGATACAGCAGTTTGGAAACACTCTTTTTGTAGAATCTACAAATGGATATTTGGAGACCTTTGAAAATTTCGTTGGACACGGGAATATCTTCATATAAAATCTAGACAAAAGCATTCTCAGAATCTTCTTTGTGATGTTTGCATTCAACTCATAGAGTTGAACATTCCCTTTCATACAGCACGTTTGAAACACACTTTGTGGAGTATGTGGAAATGGACATTTCGAGCACTCTTAGGCCTAAGGTGAAAAGGGAAATATCTTCAAATAAAAACTAGTCAGCAGCATTCTCAGAAACCTCTTTCTGATGTGTGTACTCAACTAACAGAGTTGAACCTTCCTTTTCACAGAGCAGTTTGGAAACACTCTTTTTGTGGCATTTGCAAGTGGATATTTGGATAGCTTTGAGGATTTCGTTGGAAACGGGAATATTTTCATATAAAATCTAGACAGAAGCATTCTCAGAATCTTCTTTGTGATGTATGCCCTCAATTCACAGAGTTGAACCTTTGTTTGGATACAGCATTTTGGAAACATTCCTTTTGTAGAATCTGCAAGTTGATATTTGGATAGCTTTGAGGATTTCGTTGGAAACCGGAATATCTACATATAAAATCTAGACAGAAGCATTCTCAGAAACCTCTTTGTAATGTTTGCATTCAACTCATAGGTTTCAACATTCCCTATCATAGAGCAGGTTTGAAACACTCTTTTTGTAGTATGTGGAAGTGGACATTTGGAGCGCTTTGAGGCCTACGGTGAAAAAGGAAATATGCTTCCCATAAAAACTAGACAGAAGCATTCTCAGAAACTTGTTTGTGACGTGTGTATTCAACTAACAGAGTTGAACCTTTCTTTTTACAGAGCAGCTTTGAAACCCTGTTTCTGTGGAATCTGCAATTGGAAATTTCGATAGTTGCTGAGGATTTCGTTGGAAACGGGATTACAAATAGAAAGTAGACAGCAAGCATTCTCAGAAACTGCTTTGTGATGTTTGCATTCAAGTCACCTAGTTGAACATTCCCTTTCATAGAGCAGGTTTGAATCACTGTTTCTGTAGTATCTGGAAGTGGGTATTTCGAGCGCTTTCAGGCCTAAGGTGAGAAAGGAAATGTCTTCAAATAAGAACTAGACAGAAGCATTCTCAGAAACTTATTTGTGATGTGTGTCCTCAACTAACAGAGATGAACCTTTGTTTTGATACAGCAGTTTGGAAACACTCTTTTTGTAGAATCTACAAGAGGATATTTTGAGAGCATTGAAAATTTCGTTGGAAGCGGGAAAACCTTCATATAAAATCTAGACAGCAGCATTCTCAGAAACTTCTTTGTGATGTTTGCATTCAACTCATAGAGTTGAACATTCCCATTCATACAGCAGGTTTGAGACACTCTTTGTATAGCATGTGGAAATGGATATTTGGAGCGCTTTGAGGCCTATGGTGAAGAAGGAAATATCTTCCCAAAAAAACTAGACGAAAGCATTCTCGCAATCTTGTTTGCCATGTGTGTACTCAACTAACAGAGTTGAACCTATCTTTTGACAGAGCAGTTTTGAAACACTCTTTTTGTGGAATCTGCAAGTGGATATTTGGATAGCTTCGAGGATTTCGTTGGAAACGGGATTACAAATAGAAAGTAGACAGCAGCATTCTCAGAAACTGCTTTGTGATGTTTGCATTCAAGTCACCTAGTTGAACATTCCCTTTCATAGAGCAGGTTTGAATCACTGTTTCTGTCGTATCTGGAAGTGGATATTTCGAGCGTTTTCAGGCCTAAGGTGAGAAAGGAAATGTCTTCAAATAAGAACTAGACAGAAGCATTCTCAGAAACTTATTTGTGATGTGTGTCCTCAACTAACAGAGTTGAACCTTTCTTTTGACACAGCAGTTTGGAAACACTCTTTTTGTAGAATCTACAAGTGGATATTTTGAGAGCATTGAAAATTTCGTTGGAAACGGGAAAACCTTCATATAAAATCTAGACAGAAGCATTCTCAGAAACTTCTTTGTAATGTTTGCATTCAACTCATAGAGTTGAACATTCCCTTTCATACAGCAGGTTTGAAACACTCTTTTTGTAGTATGTGGACGTGGACATTTGGAGCGCTTTGAGGCCTACGGTGAAAAAGGAAATATCTTCCCATAAAAACTAGACAGAAGCATTCTCAGAAACTTGTTTGTGACGTGTGTATTCAACTAACAGAGTTGAACCTTTCTTTTTACAGAGCAGCTTTGAAACCCTGTTTCTGTGGAATCTGCAATTGGAAATTTCGATAGTTCTGAGGATTTCGTTGGAAACGGGATTACAAATAGAAAGTAGACAGCAGCATTCTCAGAAACTGCTTTGTGATGTTTGCATTCAAGTCACCTAGTTGAACATTCCCTTTCATAGAGCTGGTTTGAATCACTGTTTCTGTAGTATCTGGAAGTGGGTATTTCGAGCGCTTTCAGGCCTAAGGTGAGAAAGGAAATGTCTTCAAATAAGAACTAGACAGAAGCATTCTCAGAAACTTATTTGTGATGTGTGTCCTCAACTAACAGAGATGAACCTTTGTTTTGATACAGCAGTTTGGAAACACTCTTTTTGTAGAATCTACAAGAGGATATTTTGAGAGCATTGAAAATTTCGTTGGAAGCGGGAAAACCTTCATATAAAATCTAGACAGCAGCATTCTCAGAAACTTCTTTGTGATGTTTGCATTCAACTCATAGAGGTGAACATTCCCATTCATACAGCAGGTTTGAGACACTCTTTGTATAGCATGTGGAAATGGATATTTGGAGCGCTTTGAGGCCTATGGTGAAGAAGGAAATATCTTCCCAAAAAAACTAGACGAAAGCATTCTCGCAATCTTGTTTGCCATGTGTGTACTCAACTAACAGAGTTGAACCTATCTTTTGACAGAGCAGTTTTGAAACACTCTTTTTGTGGAATCTGCAAGTGGATATTTGGATAGCTTCGAGGATTTCGTTGGAAACGGGAATATCCTCATTTAAAATCTAGACGGAAGCATTCTCAGAACCTGCTTTGTGATGTTTGCATTCAACTCACAGAGCTGAACATTCCCGTTCATAGAGCAGGTTTGAAACACTCTTTCTGTACTATCTGGAAGTGGACATTTCGAGCGCTTTCAGGCCTATGGTGAAAAAGGAAACATCTTCAAATAAAAACTAGACAGAAGCATTCTCAGAAACTTATTTGTGATGTGTGTCCTCAACTCACAGAGTTCAACCTTTGTTTTGATACAGCAGTTTGGAAACAATCTTTATTTGGAGACCTTTGAAAATTTCGTTGGACACGGGAATATCTTCATATAAAATCTAGACAAAAGCATTCTCAGAATCTTCTTTGTGATGTTTGCATTCAACTCATAGAGTTGAACATTCCCTTTCATACAGCACGTTTGAAACACACTTTGTGGAGTATGTGGAAATGGACATTTCGAGCACTCTTAGGCCTAAGGTGAAAAGGGAAATATCTTCAAATAAAAACTAGTCAGCAGCATTCTCAGAAACCTCTTTGTGATGTGTGTACTCAACTAACAGAGTTGAACCTTCCTTTTCACAGAGCAGTTTGGAAACACTCTTTTTGTGGCATTTGCAAGTGGATATTTGGATAGCTTTGAGGATTTCGTTGGAAACGGGAATATTTTCATATAAAATCTAGACAGAAGCATTCTCAGAATCTTCTTTGTGATGTATGCCCTCAATTCACAGAGTTGAACCTTTGTTTGGATACAGCATTTTGGAAACATTCCTTTTGTAGAATCTGCAGGTTGATATTTGGATAGCTTTGAGGATTTCGTTGGAAACGGGAATATCTACATATAAAATCTAGACAGAAGCATTCTCAGAAACCTCTTTGTAATGCTTGCATTCAACTCATAGGTTTCAACATTCCCTATCATAGAGCAGGTTTGAAACACTCTTTTTGTAGTATGTGGAAGTGGACATTTGGAGCACTTTGAGGCCTACGGTGAAAAAGGAAATATCTTCCCATAAAAACTAGACAGAAGCATTCTCAGAAACTTGTTTGTGACGTGTGTATTCAACTAACAGAGTTGAACCTTTCTTTTTACAGAGCAGCTTTGAAACACGCTTTTTGTGGAATCTGCAATTGGAAATTTCGATAGTTCTGAGGATTTCGTTGGAAACGGGATTACAAATAGAAAGTAGACAGCAGCATTCTCAGAAACTGCTTTGTGATGTTTGCATTCAAGTCACCTAGTTGAACATTCCCTTTCATAGAGCAGGTTTGAATCACTGTTTCTGTAGTATCTGGAAGTGGGTATTTCGAGCGCTTTCAGGCCTAAGGTGAGAAAGGAAATGTCTTCAAATAAGAACTAGACAGAAGCATTCTCAGAAACTTATTTGTGATGTGTGTCCTCAACTAACAGAGATGAACCTTTGTTTTGATACAGCAGTTTGGAAACACTCTTTTTGTAGAATCTACAAGAGGATATTTTGAGAGCATTGAAAATTTCGTTGGAAGCGGGAAAACCTTCATATAAAATCTAGACAGCAGCATTCTCAGAAACTTCTTTGTGATGTTTGCATTCAACTCATAGAGTTGAACATTCCCATTCATACAGCAGGTTTGAGACACTCTTTGTATAGCATGTGGAAATGGATATTTGGAGCGCTTTGAGGCCTATGGTGAAGAAGGAAATATCTTCCCAAAAAAACTAGACGAAAGCATTCTCGCAATCTTGTTTGCCATGTGTGTACTCAACTAACAGAGTTGAACCTATCTTTTGACAGAGCAGTTTTGAAACACTCTTTTTGTGGAATCTGCAAGTGGATATTTGGATAGCTTCGAGGATTTCGTTGGAAACGGGAATATCCTCATTTAAAATCTAGACGGAAGCATTCTCAGAACCTGCTTTGTGATGTTTGCATTCAACTCACAGAGCTGAACATTCCCGTTCATAGAGCAGGTTTGAAACACTCTTTCTGTACTATCTGGAAGTGGACATTTCGAGCGCTTTCAGGCCTATGGTGAAAAAGGAAACATCTTCAAATAAAAACTAGACAGAAGCATTCTCAGAAACTTATTTGTGATGTGTGTCCTCAACTCACAGAGTTCAACCTTTGTTTTGATACAGCAGTTTGGAAACACTCTTTTTGTAGAATCTACAAATGGATATTTGGAGACCTTTGAAAATTTCGTTGGACACGGGAATATCTTCATATAAAATCTAGACAAAAGCATTCTCAGAATCTTCTTTGTGATGTTTGCATTCAACTCATAGAGTTGAACATTCCCTTTCATACAGCACGTTTGAAACACACTTTGTGGAGTATGTGGAAATGGACATTTCGAGCACTCTTAGGCCTAAGGTGAAAAGGGAAATATCTTCAAATAAAAACTAGTCAGCAGCATTCTCAGAAACCTCTTTGTGATGTGTGTACTCAACTAACAGAGTTGAACCTTCCTTTTCACAGAGCAGTTTGGAAACACTCTTTTTGTGGCATTTGCAAGTGGATATTTGGATAGCTTTGAGGATTTCGTTGGAAACGGGAATATTTTCATATAAAATCTAGACAGAAGCATTCTCAGAATCTTCTTTGTGATGTATGCCCTCAATTCACAGAGTTGAACCTTTGTTTGGATACAGCATTTTGGAAACATTCCTTTTGTAGAATCTGCAAGTTGATATTTGGATAGCTTTGAGGATTTCGTTGGAAACGGGAATATCTACATATAAAATCTAGACAGAAGCATTCTCAGAAACCTCTTTGTAATGCTTGCATTCAACTCATAGGTTTCAACATTCCCTATCATAGAGCAGGTTTGAAACACTCTTTTTGTAGTATGTGGAAGTGGACATTTGGAGCGCTTTGAGGCCTACCGTGAAAAAGGAAATATCTTCCCATAAAAACTAGACAGAAGCATTCTCAGAAACTTGTTTGTGACGTGTGTATTCAACTAACAGAGTTGAACCTTTCTTTTTACAGAGCAGCTTTGAAACCCTGTTTCTGTGGAATCTGCAATTGGAAATTTCGATAGTTCTGAGGATTTCGTTGGAAACGGGATTACAAATAGAAAGTAGACAGCAGCATTCTCAGAAACTGCTTTGTGATGTTTGCATTCAAGTCACCTAGTTGAACATTCCCTTTCATAGAGCAGGTTTGAATCACTGTTTCTGTCGTATCTGGAAGTGGGTATTTCGAGCGCTTTCAGGCCTAAGGTGAGAAAGGAAATGTCTTCAAATAAGAACTAGACAGAAGCATTCTCAGAAACTTATTTGTGATGTGTGTCCTCAACTAACAGAGATGAACCTTTGTTTTGATACAGCAGTTTGGAAACACTCTTTTTGTAGAATCTACAAGAGGATATTTTGAGAGCATTGAAAATTTCGTTGGAAGCGGGAAAACCTTCATATAAAATCTAGACAGCAGCATTCTCAGAAACTTCTTTGTGATGTTTGCATTCAACTCATAGAGTTGAACATTCCCATTCATACAGCAGGTTTGAGACACTCTTTGTATAGCATGTGGAAATGGATATTTGGAGCGCTTTGAGGCCTATGGTGAAGAAGGAAATATCTTCCCAAAAAAACTAGACGAAAGCATTCTCGGAATCTTGTTTGCCATGTGTGTACTCAACTAACAGAGTTGAACCTATCTTTTGACAGAGCAGTTTTGAAACACTCTTTTTGTGGAATCTGCAAGTGGATATTTGGATAGCTTCGAGGATTTCGTTGGAAACGGGAATATCCTCATTTAAAATCTAGACGGAAGCATTCTCAGAACCTGCTTTGTGATGTTTGCATTCAACTCACAGAGCTGAACATTCCCGTTCATAGAGCAGGTTTGAAACACTCTTTCTGTACTATCTGGAAGTGGACATTTCGAGCGCTTTCAGGCCTATGGTGAAAAAGGAAACATCTTCAAATAAAAACTAGACAGAAGCATTCTCAGAAACTTATTTGTGATGTGTGTCCTCAACTCACAGAGTTCAACCTTTGTTTTGATACAGCAGTTTGGAAACACTCTTTTTGTAGAATCTACAAATGGATATTTGGAGAACTTTGAAAATTTCGTTGGACACGGGAATATCTTCATATAAAATCTAGACAAAAGCATTCTCAGAATCTTCTTTGTGATGTTTGCATTCAACTCATAGAGTTGAACATTCCCTTTCATACAGCACGTTTGAAACACACTTTGTGGAGTATGTGGAAATGGACATTTCGAGCACTCTTAGGCCTAAGGTGAAAAGGGAAATATCTTCAAATAAAAACTAGTCAGCAGCATTCTCAGAAACCTCTTTGTGATGTGTGTACTCAACTAACAGAGTTGAACCTTCCTTTTCACAGAGCAGTTTGGAAACACTCTTTTTGTGGCATTTGCAAGTGGATATTTGGATAGCTTTGAGGATTTCGTTGGAAACGGGAATATTTTCATATAAAATCTAGACAGAAGCATTCTCAGAATCTTCTTTGTGATGTATGCCCTCAATTCACAGAGTTGAACCTTTGTTTGGATACAGCATTTTGGAAACATTCCTTTTGTAGAATCTGCAAGTTGATATTTGGATAGCTTTGAGGATTTCGTTGGAAACGGGAATATCTACATATAAAATCTAGACAGAAGCATTCTCAGAAACCTCTTTGTAATGCTTGCATTCAACTCATAGGTTTCAACATTCCCTATCATAGAGCAGGTTTGAAACACTCTTTTTGTAGTATGTGGAAGTGGACATTTGGAGCGCTTTGAGGCCTACGGTGAAAAAGGAAATATCTTCCCATAAAAACTAGACAGAAGCATTCTCAGAAACTTGTTTGTGACGTGTGTATTCAACTAACAGAGTTGAACCTTTCTTTTTACAGAGCAGCTTTGAAACACGCTTTTTGTGGAATCTGCAATTGGAAATTTTGATAGTTCTGAGGATTTCGTTGGAAACGGGATTACAAATAGAAAGTAGACAGCAGCATTCTCAGAAACTGCTTTGTGATGTTTGCATTCAAGTCACCTAGTTGAACATTCCCTTTCATAGAGCAGGTTTGAATCACTGTTTCTGTCGTATCTGGAAGTGGATATTTCGAGCGTTTTCAGGCCTAAGGTGAGAAAGGAAATGTCTTCAAATAAGAACTAGACAGAAGCATTCTCAGAAACTTATTTGTGATGTGTGTCCTCAACTAACAGAGTTGAACCTTTGTTTTGACACAGCAGTTTGGAAACACTCTTTTTGTAGAATCTACAAGTGGATATTTTGAGAGCATTGAAAATTTCGTTGGAAGCAGGAAAACCTTCATATAAAATTCTAGACAGAAGCATTCTCAGAAACTCCTTTGTAATGTTTGCATTCAACTCATAGAGTTGAACATTCCCTTTCATACAGCAGGTTTGAAACACTCTTTTTGTAGTATGTGGACGTGGACATTTGGAGCCGCTTTGAGGCCTACGGTGAAAAAGGAAATATCTTCCCATAAAAACTAGACAGAAGCATTCTCAGTAAACCTCTTTGTGATGTGTGTACTCAACTAACAGAGTTGAACCTTCCTTTTCACAGAGCAGTTTGGAAACACTCTTTTTGTGGCATTTGCAAGTGGATATTTGGATAGCTTTGAGGATTTCATTGGAAACGGGAATATTTTCATATAAAATCTAGACAGAAGCATTCTCAGAATCTTCTTTGTGATATATGCCCTCAATTCACAGAGTTGAACCTTTGTTTGGATACAGCATTTTGGAAACATTCCTTTTGTAGAATCTGCTAGATGATATTTGGATAGCTTTGAGGATTTCGTTGGAAACGGGAATATCTACATATAAAATCTAGACAGAAGCATTCTCAGAAACCTCTTTGTAATGCTTGCATTCAACTCATAGGTTTCAACATTCCCTATCATAGAGCAGGTTTGAAACACTCTTTTTGTAGTATGTGGAAGTGGACATTTGGAGCGCTTTGAGGCCTACGGTGAAAAAGGAAATATCTTCCCATAAAAACTAGACAGAAGCATTCTCAGAAACTTGTTTGTGACGTGTGTATTCAACTAACAGAGTTGAACCTTTCTTTTTACAGAGCAGCTTTGAAACACGCTTTTTGTGGAATCTGCAATTGGAAATTTCGATAGTTCTGAGGATTTCGTTGGAAACGGGATTACAAATAGAAAGTAGACAGCAGCATTCTCAGAAACTGCTTTGTGATGTTTGCATTCAAGTCACCTAGTTGAACATTCCCTTTCATAGAGCAGGTTTGAATCACTGTTTCTGTCGTATCTGGAAGTGGATATTTCGAGCGTTTTCAGGCCTAAGGTGAGAAAGGAAATGTCTTCAAATAAGAACTAGACAGAAGCATTCTCAGAAACTTATTTGTGATGTGTGTCCTCAACTAACAGAGTTGAACCTTTCTTTTGACACAGCAGTTAGGAAACACTCTTTTTGTAGAATCTACAAGTGGATATTTTGAGAGCATTGAAAATTTCGTTGGAAACGGGAAAACCTTCATATAAAATCTAGACAGAAGCATTCTCAGAAACTTCTTTGTAATGTTTGCATTCAACTCATAGAGTTGAACATTCCCTTTCATACAGCAGGTTTGAAACACTCTTTTTGTAGTATGTGGAAGTGGACATTTGGAGCGCTTTGAGGCCTACGGTGAAAAAGGAAATATCTTCCCATAAAAACTAGACAGAAGCATTCTCAGAAACTTGTTTGTGACGTGTGTATTCAACTAACAGAGTTGAACCTTTCTTTTTACAGAGCAGCTTTGAAACACGCTTTTTGTGGAATCTGCAATTGGAAATTTCGATAGTTCTGAGGATTTCGTTGGAAACGGGATTACAAATACAAAGTAGACAGCAGCATTCTCAGAAACTGCTTTGTGATGTTTGCATTCAAGTCACATAGCTGAACATTCCCTTTCATAGAGCAGGTTTGAATCACTGTTTCTGTAGTATCTGGAAGTGGGTATTTCGAGCGCTTTCAGGCCTAAGGTGAGAAAGGAAATGTCTTCAAATAAGAACTAGACAGAAGCATTCTCAGAAACTTATTTGTGATGTGTGTCCTCAACTAACAGAGATGAACCTTTGTTTTGATACAGCAGTTTGGAAACACTCTTTTTGTAGAATCTACAAGAGGATATTTTGAGAGCATTGAAAATTTCGTTGGAAGCGGGAAAACCTTCATATAAAATCTAGACAGCAGCATTCTCAGAAACTTCTTTGTGATGTTTGCATTCAACTCATAGAGTTGAACATTCCCATTCATACAGCAGGTTTGAGACACTCTTTGTATAGCATGTGGAAATGGATATTTGGAGCGTTTTGAGGCCTATGGTGAAGAAGGAAATATCTTCCCAAAAAAACTAGACGAAAGCATTCTCGGAATCTTGTTTGCCATGTGTGTACTCAACTAACAGAGTTGAACCTATCTTTTGACAGAGCAGTTTTGAAACACTCTTTTTGTGGAATCTGCAAGTGGATATTTGGATAGCTTCGAGGATTTCGTTGGAAACGGGAATATCCTCATTTAAAATCTAGACGGAAGCATTCTCAGAACCTGCTTTGTGATGTTTGCATTCAACTCACAGAGCTGAACATTCCCGTTCATAGAGCAGGTTTGAAACACTCTTTCTGTACTATCTGGAAGTGGACATTTCGAGCGCTTTCAGGCCTATGGTGAAAAAGGAAACATCTTCAAATAAAAACTAGACAGAAGCATTCTCAGAAACTTATTTGTGATGTGTGTCCTCAACTCACAGAGTTCAACCTTTGTTTTGATACAGCAGTTTGGAAACACTCTTTTTGTAGAATCTACAAATGGATATTTGGAGACCTTTGAAAATTTCGTTGGACACGGGAATATCTTCATATAAAATCTAGACAAAAGCATTCTCAGAGTCTTCTTTGTGATGTTTGCATTCAACTCATAGAGTTGAACATTCCCTTTCATACAGCACGTTTGAAACACACTTTGTGGAGTATGTGGAAATGGACATTTCGAGCACTCTTAGGCCTAAGGTGAAAAGGGAAATATCTTCAAATAAAAACTAGTCAGCAGCATTCTCAGAAACCTCTTTGTGATGTGTGTACTCAACTAACAGAGTTGAACCTTCCTTTTCACAGAGCAGTTTGGAAACACTCTTTTTGTGGCATTTGCAAGTGGATATTTGGATAGCTTTGAGGATTTCGTTGGAAACGGGAATATTTTCATATAAAATCTAGACAGAAGCATTCTCAGAATCTTCTTTGTGATGTATGCCCTCAATTCACAGAGTTGAACCTTTGTTTGGATACAGCATTTTGGAAACATTCCTTTTGTAGAATCTGCAAGTTGATATTTGGATAGCTTTGAGGATTTCGTTGGAAACGGGAATATCTACATATAAAATCTAGACAGAAGCATTCTCAGAAACCTCTTTGTAATGCTTGCATTCAACTCATAGGTTTCAACATTCCCTATCATAGAGCAGGTTTGAAACACTCTTTTTGTAGTATGTGGAAGTGGACATTTGGAGCGCTTTGAGGCCTACGGTGAAAAAGGAAATATCTTCCCATAAAAACTAGACAGAAGCATTCTCAGAAACTTGTTTGTGACGTGTGTATTCAACTAACAGAGTTGAACCTTTCTTTTTACAGAGCAGCTTTGAAACACGCTTTTTGTGGAATCTGCAATTGGAAATTTCGATAGTTCTGAGGATTTCGTTGGAAACGGGATTACAAATAGAAAGTAGACAGCAGCATTCTCAGAAACTGCTTTGTGATGTTTGCATTCAAGTCACCTAGTTGAACATTCCCTTTCATAGAGCAGGTTTGAATCACTGTTTCTGTCGTATCTGGAAGTGGATATTTCGAGCGTTTTCAGGCCTAAGGTGAGAAAGGAAATGTCTTCAAATAAGAACTAGACAGAAGCATTCTCAGAAACTTATTTGTGATGTGTGTCCTCAACTAACAGAGTTGAACCTTTCTTTTGACACAGCAGTTTGGAAACACTCTTTTTGTAGAATCTACAAGTGGATATTTTCAGAGCATTGAAAATTTCATTGGAAACGGGAAAACCTTCATATAAAATCTAGACAGAAGCATTCTCAGAAACTTCTTTGTAATGTTTGCATTCAACTCATAGAGTTGAACATTCCCTTTCATACAGCAGGTTTGAAACACTCTTTTTGTAGTATGTGGACGTGGACATTTGGAGCGCTTTGAGGCCTACGGTGAAAAAGGAAATATCTTCCCATAAAAACTAGACAGAAGCATTCTCAGAAACTTGTTTGTGACGTGTGTATTCAACTACCAGAGTTGAACCTTTCTTTTTACAGAGCAGCTTTGAAACCCTGTTTCTGTGGAATCTGCAATTGGAAATTTCGATAGTTCTGAGGATTTCGTTGGAAACGGGATTACAAATAGAAAGTAGACAGCCAGCATTCTCAGAAACTGCTTTGTGATGTTTGCATTCAAGTCACATAGTTGAACATTCCCTTTCATAGAGCAGGTTTGAATCACTGTTTCTGTAGTATCTGGAAGTGGGTATTTCGAGCGCTTTCAGGCCTAAGGTGAGAAAGGAAATGTCTTCAAATAAGAACTAGACAGAGCATTCTCAGAAACTTATTTGTGATGTGTGTCCTCAACTAACAGAGATGAACCTTTGTTTTGATACAGCAGTCTGGAAACACTCTTTTTGTAGAAACTACAAGAGGATATTTTGAGAGCATTGAAAATTTCGTTGGAAGCGGGAAAACCTTCATATAAAATCTAGACAGCAGCATTCTCAGAAACTTCTTTGTGATGTTTGCATTCAACTCATAGAGTTGAACATTCCCATTCATACAGCAGGTTTGAGACACTCTTTGTATAGCATGTGGAAATGGATATTTGGAGCGCTTTGAGGCCTATGGTGAAGAAGGAAATATCTTCCCAAAAAAACTAGACGAAAGCATTCTCGGAATCTTGTTTGCCATGTGGGTACTCAACTAACAGAGTTGAACCTATCTTTTGAGAGAGCAGTTTTGAAACACTCTTTCTGTGGAATCTGCAAGTGGATATTTGGATAGCTTCGAGGATTTCGTTGGAAACGGGAATATCCTCATTTAAAATCTAGACGGAAAGCATTCTCAGCAACCTGCTTTGTGATGTTTGCATTCAACTCACAGAGCTGAACATTCCCGTTCATAGAGCAGGTTTGAAACACTCTTTCTGTACTATCTGGAAGTGGACATTTCGAGCGCTTTCAGGCCTATGGTGAAAAAGGAAACATCTTCAAATAAAAACTAGACAGAAGCATTCTCAGAAACTTATTTGTGATGTGTGTCCTCAACTCACAGAGTTCAACCTTTGTTTTGATACAGCAGTTTGGAAACACTCTTTTTGTAGAATCTACAAATGGATATTTGGAGACCTTTGAAAATTTCGTTGGACACGGGAATATCTTCATATAAAATCTAGACAAAAGCATTCTCAGAATCTTCTTTGTGATGTTTGCATTCAACTCATAGAGTTGAACATTCCCTTTCATACAGCACGTTTGAAACACACTTTGTGGAGTATGTGGAAATGGACATTTCGAGCACTCTTAGGCCTAAGGTGAAAAGGGAAATATCTTCAAATAAAAACTAGTCAGCAGCATTCTCAGAAACCTCTTTGTGATGTGTGTACTCAACTAACAGAGTTGAACCTTCCTTTTCACAGAGCAGTTTGGAAACACTCTTTTTGTGGCATTTGCAAGTGGATATTTGGATAGCTTTGAGGATTTCGTTGGAAACGGGAATATTTTCATATAAAATCTAGACAGAAGCATTCTCAGAATCTTCTTTGTGATGTATGCCCTCAATTCACAGAGTTGAACCTTTGTTTGGATACAGCATTTTGGAAACATTCCTTTTGCAGAATCTGCAAGTTGATATTTGGATAGCTTTGAGGATTTCGTTGGAAACGGGAATATCTACATATAAAATCTAGACAGAAGCATTCTCAGAAACCTCTTTGTAATGCTTGCATTCAACTCATAGGTTTCAACATTCCCTATCATAGAGCAGGTTTGAAACACTCTTTTTGTAGTATGTGGAAGTGGACATTTGGAGCGCTTTGAGGCCTATGGTGAAAAAGGAAATATCTTCCCATAAAAACTAGACAGAAGCATTCTCAGAAACTTGTTTGTGACGTGTGTATTCAACTAACAGAGTTGAACCTTTCTTTTTACAGAGCAGCTTTGAAACCCTGTTTCTGTGGAATCTGCAATTGGAAATTTCGATAGTTCTGAGGATTTCGTTGGAAACGGGATTACAAATAGAAAGTAGACAGCAGCATTCTCAGAAACTGCTTTGTGATGTTTGCATTCAAGTCACCTAGTTGAACATTCCCTTTCATAGAGCAGGTTTGAATCACTGTTTCTGTCGTATCTGGAAGTGGATATTTCGAGCGTTTTCAGGCCTAAGGTGAGAAAGGAAATGTCTTCAAATAAGAACTAGACAGAAGCATTCTCAGAAACTTATTTGTGATGTGTGTCCTCAACTAACAGAGTTGAACCTTTCTTTTGACACAGCAGTTTGGAAACACTCTTTTTGTAGAATCTACAAGTGGATATTTTGAGAGCATTGAAAATTTCGTTGGAAACGGGAAAATCTTCATATAAAATCTAGACAGAAGCATTCTCAGAAACTTCTTTGTAATGTTTGCATTCAACTCATAGAGTTGAACATTCCCTTTCATACAGCAGGTTTGAAACACTCTTTTTGTAGTATGTGGAACTGGACATTTGGAGCGCTTTGAGGCCTACGGTGAAAAAGGAAATATCTTCCCATGAAAACTAGACAGAAGCATTCTCAGAAACTTGTTTGTGACGTGTGTATTCAACTAACAGAGTTGAACCTTTCTTTTTACAGAGCAGCTTTGAAACCCTGTTTCTGTGGAATCTGCAATTGGAAATTTCGATAGTTCTGAGGATTTCGTTGGAAACGGGATTACAAATAGAAAGTAGACAGCAGCATTCTCAGCAAACTGCTTTGTGATGTTTGCATTCAAGTCACATAGTTGAACATTCCCTTTCATAGAGCAGGTTTGAATCACTGTTTCTGTAGTATCTGGAAGTGTGTATTTCGAGCGCTTTCAGGCCTAAGGTGAGAAAGGAAATGTCTTCAAATAAGAACTAGACAGAAGCATTCTCAGAAACTTATTTGTGATGTGTGTCCTCAACTAACAGAGATGAACCTTTGTTTTGATACAGCAGTTTGGAAACACTCTTTTTGTAGAATCTACAAGAGGATATTTTGAGAGCATTGAAAATTTCGTTGGAAGCGGGAAAACCTTCATATAAAATCTAGACAGCAGCATTCTCAGAAACTTCTTTGTGATGTTTGCATTCAACTCATAGAGTTGAACATTCCCATTCATACAGCAGGTTTGAGACACTCTTTGTATAGCATGTGGAAATGGATATTTGGAGCGCTTTGAGGCCTATGGTGAAGAAGGAAATATCTTCCCTAAAAAACTAGACGAAAGCATTCTCGCAATCTTGTTTGCCATGTGTGTACTCAACTAACAGAGTTGAACCTATCTTTTGACAGAGCAGTTTTGAAACACTCTTTTTGTGGAATCTGCAAGTGGATATTTGGATAGCTTCGAGGATTTCGTTGGAAACGGGAATATCCTCATTTAAAATCTAGACGGAAGCATTCTCAGAACCTGCTTTGTGATGTTTGCATTCAACTCACAGAGCTGAACATTCCCGTTCATAGAGCAGGTTTGAAACACTCTTTCTGTACTATCTGGAAGTGGACATTTCGAGCGCTTTCAGGCCTATGGTGAAAAAGGAAACATCTTCAAATAAAAACTAGACAGAAGCATTCTCAGAAACTTATTTGTGATGTGTGTCCTCAACTCACAGAGTTCAACCTTTGTTTTGATACAGCAGTTTGGAAACACTCTTTTTGTAGAATCTACAAATGGATATTTGGAGACCTTTGAAAATTTCGTTGGACACGGGAATATCTTCATATAAAATCTAGACAAAAGCATTCTCAGAATCTTCTTTGTGATGTTTGCATTCAACTCATAGAGTTGAACATTCCCTTTCATACAGCACGTTTGAAACACACTTTGTGGAGTATGTGGAAATGGACATTTCGAGCACTCTTAGGCCTAAGGTGAAAAGGGAAATATCTTCAAATAAAAACTAGTCAGCAGCATTCTCAGAAACCTCTTTGTGATGTGTGTACTCAACTAACAGAGTTGAACCTTCCTTTTCACAGAGCAGTTTGGAAACACTCTTTTTGTGGCATTTGCAAGTGGATATTTGGATAGCTTTGAGGATTTCGTTGGAAACGGGAATATTTTCATATAAAATCTAGACAGAAGCATTCTCAGAATCTTCTTTGTGATGTATGCCCTCAATTCACAGAGTTGAACCTTTGTTTGGATACAGCATTTTGGAAACATTCCTTTTGCAGAATCTGCAAGTTGATATTTGGATAGCTTTGAGGATTTCGTTGGAAACGGGAATATCTACATATAAAATCTAGACAGAAGCATTCTCAGAAACCTCTTTGTAATGCTTGCATTCAACTCATAGGTTTCAACATTCCCTATCATAGAGCAGGTTTGAAACACTCTTTTTGTAGTATGTGGAAGTGGACATTTGGAGGGCTTTGAGGCCTACGGTGAAAAAGGAAATATCTTCCCATAAAAACTAGACAGAAGCATTCTCAGAAACTTGTTTGTGACGTGTGTATTCAACTAACAGAGTTGAACCTTTCTTTTTACAGAGCAGCTTTGAAACACGCTTTTTGTGGAATCTGCAATTGGAAATTTCGATAGTTCTGAGGATTTCGTTGGAAACGGGATTACAAATAGAAAGTAGACAGCAGCATTCTCAGAAACTGCTTTCTGATGTTTGCATTCAAGTCACCTAGTTGAACATTCCCTTTCATAGAGCAGGTTTGAATCACTGTTTCTGTCGTATCTGGAAGTGGATATTTCGAGCGTTTTCAGGCCTAAGGTGAGAAAGGAAATGTCTTCAAATAAGAACTAGACAGAAGCATTCTCAGAAACTTATTTGTGATGTGTGTCCTCAACTAACAGAGATGAACCTTTGTTTTGATACAGCAGTTTGGAAACACTCTTTTTGTAGAATCTACAAGAGGATATTTTGAGAGCATTGAAAATTTCGTTGGAAGCGGGAAAACCTTCATATAAAATCTAGACAGCAGCATTCTCAGAAACTTCTTTGTGATGTTTGCATTCAACTCATAGAGTTGAACATTCCCATTCATACAGCAGGTTTGAGACACTCTTTGTATAGCATGTGGAAATGGATATTTGGAGCGCTTTGAGGTCTATGGTGAAGAAGGAAATATCTTCCCAAAAAAACTAGACGAAAGCATTCTCGGAATCTTGTTTGCCATGTGTGTACTCAACTAACAGAGTTGAACCTATCTTTTGACAGAGCAGTTTTGAAACACTCTTTTTGTGGAATCTGCAAGTGGATATTTGGATAGCTTCGAGGATTTCGTTGGAAACGGGAATATCCTCATTTAAAATCTAGACGGAAGCATTCTCAGAACCTGCTTTGTGATGTTTGCATTCAACTCACAGAGCTGAACATTCCCGTTCATAGAGCAGGTTTGAAACACTCTTTCTGTACTATCTGGAAGTGGACATTTCGAGCGCTTTCAGGCCTATGGTGAAAAAGGAAACATCTTCAAATAAAAACTAGACAGAAGCATTCTCAGAAACTTATTTGTGATGTGTGTCCTCAACTCACAGAGTTCAACCTTTGTTTTGATACAGCAGTTTGGAAACACTCTTTTTGTAGAATCTACAAATGGATATTTGGAGACCTTTGAAAATTTCGTTGGACACGGGAATATCTTCATATAAAATCTAGACAAAAGCATTCTCAGAATCTTCTTTGTGATGTTTGCATTCAACTCATAGAGTTGAACATTCCCTTTCATACAGCACGTTTGAAACACACTTTGTGGAGTATGTGGAAATGGACATTTCGAGCACTCTTAGGCCTAAGGTGAAAAAGGAAATATCTTCAAATAAAAACTAGTCAGCAGCATTCTCAGAAACCTCTTTGTGATGTGTGTACTCAACTAACAGAGTTGAACCTTCCTTTTCACAGAGCAGTTTGGAAACACTCTTTTTGTGGCATTTGCAAGTGGATATTTGGATAGCTTTGAGGATTTCGTTGGAAACGGGAATATTTTCATATAAAATCTAGACAGAAGCATTCTCAGAATCTTCTTTGTGATGTATGCCCTCAATTCACAGAGTTGAACCTTTGTTTGGATACAGCATTTTGGAAACATTCCTTTTGTAGAATCTGCAAGTTGATATTTGGATAGCTTTGAGGATTTCGTTGGAAACGGGAATATCTACATATAAAATCTAGACAGAAGCATTCTCAGAAACCTCTTTGTAATGCTTGCATTCAACTCATAGGTTTCAACATTCCCTATCATAGAGCAGGTTTGAAACACTCTTTTTGTAGTATGTGGAAGTGGACATTTGGAGCGCTTTGAGGCCTACGGTGAAAAAGGAAATATCTTCCCATAAAAACTAGACAGAAGCATTCTCAGAAACTTGTTTGTGACGTGTGTATTCAACTAACAGAGTTGAAACTTTCTTTTTACAGAGCAGCTTTGAAACACGCTTTTTGTGGAATCTGCAATTGGAAATTTCGATAGTTCTGAGGATTTCGTTGGAAACGGGATTACAAATAGAAAGTAGACAGCAGCATTCTCAGAAACTGCTTTGTGATGTTTGCATTCAAGTCACCTAGTTGAACATTCCCTTTCATAGAGCAGGTTTGAATCACTGTTTCTGTCGTATCTGGAAGTGGATATTTCGAGCGTTTTCAGGCCTAAGGTGAGAAAGGAAATGTCTTCAAATAAGAACTAGACAGAAGCATTCTCAGAAACTTATTTGTGATGTGTGTCCTCAACTAACAGAGTTGAACCTTTCTTTTGACACAGCAGTTTGGAAACACTCTTTTTGTAGAATCTACAAGTGGATATTTTGAGAGCATTGAAAATTTCGTTGGAAACGGGAAAACCTTCATATAAAATCTAGACAGAAGCATTCTCAGAAACTTCTTTGTAATGTTTGCATTCAACTCATAGAGTTGAACATTCCCTTTCATACAGCAGGTTTGAAACACTCTTTTTGTAGTATGTGGACGTGGACATTTGGAGCGCTTTGAGGCCTACGGTGAAAAAGGAAATATCTTCCCATAAAAACTAGACAGAAGCATTCTCAGAAACTTGTTTGTGACGTGTGTATTCAACTAACAGAGTTGAACCTTTCTTTTTACAGAGCAGCTTTGAAACCCTGTTTCTGTGGAATCTGCAATTGGAAATTTCGATAGTTCTGAGGATTTCGTTGGAAACGGGATTACAAATAGAAAGTAGACAGCAGCATTCTCAGAAACTGCTTTCTGATGTTTGCATTCAAGTCACCTAGTTGAACATTCCCTTTCATAGAGCAGGTTTGAATCACAGTTTCTGTCGTATCTGGAAGTGGATATTTCGAGCGTTTTCAGGCCTAAGGTGAGAAAGGAAATGTCTTCAAATAAGAACTAGACAGAAGCATTCTCAGAAACTTATTTGTGATGTGTGTCCTCAACTAACAGAGATGAACCTTTGTTTTGATACAGCAGTTTGGAAACACTCTTTTTGTAGAATCTACAAGAGGATATTTTGAGAGCATTGAAAATTTCGTTGGAAGCGGGAAAACCTTCATATAAAATCTAGACAGCAGCATTCTCAGAAACTTCTTTGTGATGTTTGCATTCAACTCATAGAGTTGAACATTCCCATTCATACAGCAGGTTTGAGACACTCTTTGTATAGCATGTGGAAATGGATATTTGGAGCGCTTTGAGGCCTATGGTGAAGAAGGAAATATCTTCCCAAAAAAACTAGACGAAAGCATTCTCGGAATCTTGTTTGCCATGTGTGTACTCAACTAACAGAGTTGAACCTATCTTTTGACAGAGCAGTTTTGAAACACTGTTTTTGTGGAATCTGCAAGTGGATATTTGGATAGCTTCGAGGATTTCGTTGGAAACGGGAATATCCTCATTTAAAATCTAGACGGAAGCATTCTCGGAACCTGCTTTGTGATGTTTGCATTCAACTCACAGAGCTGAACATTCCCGTTCATAGAGCAGGTTTGAAACACTCTTTCTGTACTATCTGGAAGGGGACATTTCGAGCGCTTTCAGGCCTATGGTGAAAAAGGAAACATCTTCAAATAAAAACTAGACAGAAGCATTCTCAGAAACTTATTTGTGATGTGTGTCCTCAACTCACAGAGTTCAACCTTTGTTTTGATACAGCAGTTTGGAAACACTCTTTTTGTAGAATCTACAAATGGATATTTGGAGACCTTTGAAAATTTCGTTGGACACGGGAATATCTTCATATAAAATCTAGACAAAAGCATTCTCAGAATCTTCTTTGTGATGTTTGCATTCAACTCATAGATTTGAACGTTCCCTTTCATACAGCACGTTTGAAACACACTTTGTGGAGTATGTGGAAATGGACATTTCGAGCACTCTTAGGCCTAAGGTGAAAAGGGAAATATCTTCAAATAAAAACTAGTCAGCAGCATTCTCAGAAACCTCTTTGTGATGTGTGTACTCAACTAACAGAGTTGAACCTTCCTTTTCACAGAGCAGTTTGGAAACACTCTTTTTGTGGCATTTGCAAGTGGATATTTGGATAGCTTTGAGGATTTCGTTGGAAACGGGAATATTTTCATATAAAATCTAGACAGAAGCATTCTCAGAATCTTCTTTGTGATGTATGCCCTCAATTCACAGAGTTGAACCTTTGTTTGGATACAGCATTTTGGAAACATTCCTTTTGTAGAATCTGCAAGTTGATATTTGGATAGTTTGAGGATTTCGTTGGAAACGGGAATATCTACATATAAAATCTAGACAGAAGCATTCTCAGAAACCTCTTTGTAATGCTTGCATTCAACTCATAGGTTTCAACATTCCCTATCATAGAGCAGGTTTGAAACACTCTTTTTGTAGTATGTGGAAGTGGACATTTGGAGCGCTTTGAGGCCTACGGTGAAAAAGGAAATATCTTCCCATAAAAACTAGACAGAAGCATTCTCAGAAACTTGTTTGTGACGTGTGTATTCAACTAACAGAGTTGAATCTTTCTTTTTACAGAGCAGCTTTGAAACACGCTTTTTGTGGAATCTGCAATTGGAAATTTCGATAGTTCTGAGGATTTCGTTGGAAACGGGATTACAAATAGAAAGTAGACAGCAGCATTCTCAGAAACTTATTTGTGATGTGTGTCCTCAACTAACAGAGTTGAACCTTTCTTTTGACACAGCAGTTTGGAAACACTCTTTTTGTAGAATCTACAAGTGGATATTTTGAGAGCATTGAAAATTTCGTTGGAAACGGGAAAACCTTCATATAAAATCTAGACAGAAGCATTCTCAGAAACTTCTTTGTAATGTTTGCATTCAACTCATAGAGTTGAACATTCCCTTTCATACAGCAGGTTTGAAACACTCTTTTTGTAGTATGTGGAAGTGGACATTTGGAGCGCTTTGAGGCCTACGGTGAAAAAGGAAATATCTTCCCATAAAAACTAGACAGAAGCATTCTCAGAAACTTGTTTGTGACGTGTGTATTCAACTAACAGAGTTGAACCTTTCTTTTTACAGAGCAGCTTTGAAACCCTGTTTCTGTGGAATCTGCAATTGGAAATTTCGATAGTTCTGAGGATTTCGTTGGAAACGGGATTACAAATTGAAAGTAGACAGCAGCATTCTCAGAAACTGCTTTGTGATGTTTGCATTCAAGTCACCTAGTTGAACATTCCCTTTCATAGAGCAGGTTTGAATCACTGTTTCTGTAGTATCTGGAAGTGGGTATTTCGAGCGCTTTCAGGCCTAAGGTGAGAAAGGAAATGTCTTCAAATAAGAACTAGACAGAAGCATTCTCAGAAACTTATTTGTGATGTGTGTCCTCAACTAACAGAGATGAACCTTTGTTTTGATACAGCAGTTTGGAAACACTCTTTTTGTAGAATCTACAAGAGGATATTTTGAGAGCATCGAAAATTTCGTTGGAAGCGGGAAAACCTTCATATAAAATCTAGACAGCAGCATTCTCAGAAACTTCTTTGTGATGTTTGCATTCAACTCATAGAGTTGAACATTCCCATTCATACAGCAGGTTTGAGACACTCTTTGTATAGCATGTGGAAATGGATATTTGGAGCGCTTTGAGGCCTATGGTGAAGAAGGAAATATCTTCCCAAAAAAACTAGACGAAAGCATTCTCGGAATCTTGTTTGCCATGTGTGTACTCAACTAACAGAGTTGAACCTATCTTTTGACAGAGCAGTTTTGAAACACTCTTTTTGTGGAATCTGCAAGTGGATATTTGGATAGCTTCGAGGATTTCGTTGGAAACGGGAATATCCTCATTTAAAATCTAGACGGAAGCATTCTCAGAACCTGCTTTGTGATGTTTGCATTCAACTCACAGAGCTGAACATTCCCGTTCATAGAGCAGGTTTGAAACACTCTTTCTGTACTATCTGGAAGTGGACATTTCGAGCGCTTTCAGGCCTATGGTGAAAAAGGAAACATCTTCAAATAAAAACTAGACAGAAGCATTCTCAGAAACTTATTTGTGATGTGTGTCCTCAACTCACAGAGTTCAACCTTTGTTTTGATACAGCAGTTTGGAAACACTCTTTTTGTAGAATCTACAAATGGATATTTGGAGACCTTTGAAAATTTCGTTGGACACGGGAATATCTTCATATAAAATCTAGACAAAAGCATTCTCAGAATCTTCTTTGTGATGTTTGCATTCAACTCATAGAGTTGAACATTCCCTTTCATACAGCACGTTTGAAACACACTTTGTGGAGTATGTGGAAATGGACATTTCGAGCACTCTTAGGCCTAAGGTGAAAAGGGAAATATCTTCAAATAAAAACTAGTCAGCAGCATTCTCAGAAACCTCTTTGTGATGTGTGTACTCAACTAACAGAGTTGAACCTTCCTTTTCACAGAGCAGTTTGGAAACACTCTTTTTGTGGCATTTGCAAGTGGATATTTGGATAGCTTTGAGGATTTCGTTGGAAACGGGAATATTTTCATATAAAATCTAGACAGAAGCATTCTCAGAATCTTCTTTGTGATGTATGCCCTCAATTCACAGAGTTGAACCTTTGTTTGGATACAGCATTTTGGAAACATTCCTTTTGTAGAATCTGCAAGTTGATATTTGGATAGCTTTGAGGATTTCGTTGGAAACGGGAATATCTACATATAAAATCTAGACAGAAGCATTCTCAGAAACCTCTTTGTAATGCTTGCATTCAACTCATAGGTTTCAACATTCCCTATCATAGAGCAGGTTTGAAACACTCTTTTTGTAGTATGTGGAAGTGGACATTTGGAGCGCTTTGAGGCCTACGGTGAAAAAGGAAATATCTTCCCATAAAAACTAGACAGAAGCATTCTCAGAAACTTGTTTGTGACGTGTGTATTCAATTAACAGAGTTGAACCTTTCTTTTTACAGAGCAGCTTTGAAACACGCTTTTTGTGGAATCTGCAATTGGAAATTTCGATAGTTCTGAGGATTTCGTTGGAAACGGGATTACAAATAGAAAGTAGACAGCAGCATTCTCAGAAACTTATTTGTGATGTGTGTCCTCAACTAACAGAGTTGAACCTTTCTTTTTACACAGCAGTTTGGAAACACTCTTTTTGTAGAATCTACAAGTGGATATTTTGAGAGCATTGAAAATTTCGTTGGAAACGGGAAAATCTTCATATAAAATCTAGACAGAAGCATTCTCAGAAACTTCTTTGTAATGTTTGCATTCAACTCATAGAGTTGAACATTCCCTTTCATACAGCAGGTTTGAAACACTCTTTTTGTAGTATGTGGAAGTGGACATTTGGAGCGCTTTGAGGCCTACGGTGAAAAAGGAAATATCTTCCCATAAAAACTAGACAGAAGCATTCTCAGAAACTTGTTTGTGACGTGTGTATTCAACTAACAGAGTTGAACCTTTCTTTTTACAGAGCAGCTTTGAAACACGCTTTTTGTGGAATCTGCAATTGGAAATTTCGATAGTTCTGAGGATTTCGTTGGAAACGGGATTACAAATAGAAAGTAGACAGCAGCATTCTCAGAAACTGCTTTGTGATGTTTGCATTCAAGTCACCTAGTTGAACATTCCCTTTCATAGAGCAGGTTTGAATCACAGTTTCTGTCGTATCTGGAAGTGGATATTTCGAGCGCTTTCAGGCCTAAGGTGAGAAAGGAAATGTCTTCAAATAAGAACTAGACAGAAGCATTCTCAGAAACTTATTTGTGATGTGTGTCTTCAACTAACAGAGTTGAACCTTTCTTTTGACACAGCAGTTTGGAAACACTCTTTTTGTAGAATCTACAAGTGGATATTTTCAGAGCATTGAAAATTTCGTTGGAAACGGGAAAACCTTCATATAAAATCTAGACAGAAGCATTCTCAGAAACTTCTTTGTAATGTTTGCATTCAACTCATAGAGTTGAACATTCCCTTTCATACAGCAGGTTTGAAACACTCTTTTTGTAGTATGTGGAAGTGGACATTTGGGAGCGCTTTGAGGCCTACGGTGAAAAAGGAAATATCTTCCCATAAAAACTAGACAGAAGCATTCTCAGAAACTTGTTTGTGACGTGTGTATTCAACTAACAGAGTTGAACCTTTCTTTTTACAGAGCAGCTTTGAAACCCTGTTTCTGTGGAATCTGCAATTGGAAATTTCGATAGTTCTGAGGATTTCGTTGGAAACGGGATTACAAATAGAAAGTAGACAGCAGCATTCTCAGAAACTGCTTTGTGATGTTTGCATTCAAGTCACCTAGTTGAACATTCCCTTTCATAGAGCAGGTTTGAATCACTGTTTCTGTAGTATCTGGAAGTGGGTATTTCGAGCGCTTTCAGGCCTAAGGTGAGAAAGGAAATGTCTTCAAATAAGAACTAGACAGAAGCATTCTCAGAAACTTATTTGTGATGTGTGTCCTCAACTAACAGAGATGAACCTTTGTTTTGATACAGCAGTTTGGAAACACTCTTTTTGTAGAATCTACAAGAGGATATTTTGAGAGCATTGAAAATTTCGTTGGAAGCGGGAAAACCT
This sequence comes from Homo sapiens, assembly GCF_000001405.40. Lineage (NCBI taxonomy): Eukaryota > Metazoa > Chordata > Mammalia > Primates > Hominidae > Homo > Homo sapiens. The sequence goes on from NC_000015.10 coordinate 18,961,360, forward strand.
TCATATAAAATCTAGACAGCAGCATTCTCAGAAACTTCTTTGTGATGTTTGCATTCAACTCATAGAGTTGAACATTCCCATTCATACAGCAGGTTTGAGACACTCTTTGTATAGCATGTGGAAATGGATATTTGGAGCGCTTTGAGGCCTATGGTGAAGAAGGAAATATCTTCCCAAAAAAACTAGACGAAAGCATTCTCGGAATCTTGTTTGCCATGTGTGTACTCAACTAACAGAGTTGAACCTATCTTTTGACAGAGCAGTTTTGAAACACTCTTTTTGTGGAATCTGCAAGTGGATATTTGGATAGCTTCGAGGATTTCGTTGGAAACGGGAATATCCTCATTTAAAATCTAGACGGAAGCATTCTCAGAACCTGCTTTGTGATGTTTGCATTCAACTCACAGAGCTGAACATTCCCGTTCATAGAGCAGGTTTGAAACACTCTTTCTGTACTATCTGGAAGTGGACATTTCGAGCGCTTTCAGGCCTATGGTGAAAAAGGAAACATCTTCAAATAAAAACTAGACAGAAGCATTCTCAGAAACTTATTTGTGATGTGTGTCCTCAACTCACAGAGTTCAACCTTTGTTTTGATACAGCAGTTTGGAAACACTCTTTTTGTAGAATCTACAAATGGATATTTGGAGACCTTTGAAAATTTCGTTGGACACGGGAATATCTTCATATAAAATCTAGACAAAAGCATTCTCAGAATCTTCTTTGTGATGTTTGCATTCAACTCATAGAGTTGAACATTCCCTTTCATACAGCACGTTTGAAACACACTTTGTGGAGTATGTGGAAATGGACATTTCGAGCACTCTTAGGCCTAAGGTGAAAAGGGAAATATCTTCAAATAAAAACTAGTCAGCAGCATTCTCAGAAACCTCTTTGTGATGTGTGTACTCAACTAACAGAGTTGAACCTTCCTTTTCACAGAGCAGTTTGGAAACACTCTTTTTGTGGCATTTGCAAGTGGATATTTGGATAGCTTTGAGGATTTCGTTGGAAACGGGAATATTTTCATATAAAATCTAGACAGAAGCATTCTCAGAATCTTCTTTGTGATGTATTCCCTCAATTCACAGAGTTGAACCTTTGTTTGGATACAGCATTTTGGAAACATTCCTTTTGTAGAATCTGCAAGTTGATATTTGGATAGCTTTGAGGATTTCGTTGGAAACGGGAATATCTACATATAAAATCTAGACAGAAGCATTCTCAGAAACCTCTTTGTAATGCTTGCATTCAACTCATAGGTTTCAACATTCCCTATCATAGAGCAGGTTTGAAACACTCTTTTTGTAGTATGTGGAAGTGGACATTTGGAGCGCTTTGAGGCCTACCGTGAAAAAGGAAATATCTTCCCATAAAAACTAGACAGAAGCATTCTCAGAAACTTGTTTGTGACGTGTGTATTCAACTAACAGAGTTGAACCTTTCTTTTTACAGAGCAGCTTTGAAACCCTGTTTCTGTGGAATCTGCAATTGGAAATTTCGATGGTTCTGAGGATTTCGTTGGAAACGGGATTACAAATAGAAAGTAGACAGCAGCATTCTCAGAAACTGCTTTGTGATGTTTGCATTCAAGTCACCTAGTTGAACATTCCCTTTCATAGAGCAGGTTTGAATCACTGTTTCTGTCGTATCTGGAAGTGGATATTTCGAGCGTTTTCAGGCCTAAGGTGAGAAAGGAAATGTCTTCAAATAAGAACTAGACAGAAGCATTCTCAGAAACTTATTTGTGATGTGTGTCCTCAACTAACAGAGTTGAACCTTTCTTTTGACACAGCAGTTTGGAAACACTCTTTTTGTAGAATCTACAAGTGGATATTTTGAGAGCATTGAAAATTTCGTTGGAAACGGGAAAACCTTCATATAAAATCTAGACAGAAGCATTCTCAGAAACTTCTTTGTAATGTTTGCATTCAACTCATAGAGTTGAACATTCCCTTTCATACAGCAGGTTTGAAACACTCTTTTTGTAGTATGTGGAAGTGGACATTTGGAGCGCTTTGAGGCCTACGGTGAAAAAGGAAATATCTTCCCATAAAAACTAGACAGAAGCATTCTCAGAAACTTGTTTGTGACGTGTGTATTCAACTAACAGAGTTGAACCTTTCTTTTTACAGAGCAGCTTTGAAACCCTGTTTCTGTGGAATCTGCAATTGGAAATTTCGATAGTTCTGAGGATTTCGTTGCAAACGGGATTACAAATAGAAAGTAGACAGCAGCATTCTCAGAAACTGCTTTGTGATGTTTGCATTCAAGTCACCTAGTTGAACATTCCCTTTCATAGAGCAGGTTTGAATCACTGTTTCTGTCGTATCTGGAAGTGGATATTTCGAGCGTTTTCAGGCCTAAGGTGAGAAAGGAAATGTCTTCAAATAAGAACTAGACAGAAGCATTCTCAGAAACTTATTTGTGATGTGTGTCTTCAACTAACAGAGTTGAACCTTTCTTTTGACACAGCAGTTTGGAAACACTCTTTTTGTAGAATCTACAAGTGGATATTTTGAGAGCATTGAAAATTTCGTTGGAAACGGGAAAACCTTCATATAAAATCTAGACAGAAAGCATTCTCAGAAACTTCTTTGTAATGTTTGCATTCAACTCATAGGAGTTGAACATTCCCTTTCATACAGCAGGTTTGAAACACTCTTTTTGTAGTATGTGGACGTGGACATTTGGAGCGCTTTGAGGCCTACGGTGAAAAAGGAAATATCTTCCCATAAAAACTAGACAGAAGCATTCTCAGAAACTTGTTTGTGACGTGTGTATTCAACTAACAGAGTTGAACCTTTCTTTTTACAGAGCAGCTTTGAAACCCTGTTTCTGTGGAATCTGCAATTGGAAATTTCGATAGTTCTGAGGATTTCGTTGGAAACGGGATTACAAATAGAAAGTAGACAGCAGCATTCTCAGAAACTGCTTTGTGATGTTTGCATTCAAGTCACATAGTTGAACATTCCCTTTCATAGAGCAGGTTTGAATCCCTGTTTCTGTCGTATCTGGAAGTGGGTATTTCGAGCGTTTTCAGGCCTAAGGTGAGAAAGGAAATGTCTTCAAATAAGAACTAGACAGAAGCATTCTCAGAAACTTATTTGTGATGTGTGTCCTCAACTAACAGAGATGAACCTTTGTTTTGATACAGCAGTTTGGAAACACTCTTTTTGTAGAATCTACAAGAGGATATTTTGAGAGCATTGAAAATTTCGTTGGAAGCGGGAAAACCTTCATATAAAATCTAGACAGCAGCATTCTCAGAAACTTCTTTGTGATGTTTGCATTCAACTCATAGAGTTGAACATTCCCATTCATACAGCAGGTTTGAGACACTCTTTGTATAGCATGTGGAAATGGATATTTGGAGCGCTTTGAGGCCTATGGTGAAGAAGGAAATATCTTCCCAAAAAAACTAGACGAAAGCATTCTCGCAATCTTGTTTGCCATGTGTGTACTCAACTAACAGAGTTGAACCTATCTTTTGACAGAGCAGTTTTGAAACACTCTTTTTGTGGAATCTGCAAGTGGATATTTGGATAGCTTCGAGGATTTCGTTGGAAACGGGATTACAAATAGAAAGTAGACAGCAGCATTCTCAGAACCTGCTTTGTGATGTTTGCATTCAACTCACAGAGCTGAACATTCCCGTTCATAGAGCAGGTTTGAAACACTCTTTCTGTACTATCTGGAAGTGGACATTTCGAGCGCTTTCAGGCCTATGGTGAAAAAGGAAACATCTTCAAATAAAAACTAGACAGAAGCATTCTCAGAAACTTATTTGTGATGTGTGTCCTCAACTCACAGAGTTCAACCTTTGTTTTGATACAGCAGTTTGGAAACACTCTTTTTGTAGAATCTACAAATGGATATTTGGAGACCTTTGAAAATTTCGTTGGACACGGGAATATCTTCATATAAAATCTAGACAAAAGCATTCTCAGAGTCTTCTTTGTGATGTTTGCATTCAACTGATAGAGTTGAACATTCCCTTTCATACAGCACGTTTGAAACACACTTTGTGGAGTATGTGGAAATGGACATTTCGAGCACTCTTAGGCCTAAGGTGAAAAGGGAAATATCTTCAAATAAAAACTAGTCAGCAGCATTCTCAGAAACCTCTTTGTGATGTGTGTACTCAACTAACAGAGTTGAACCTTCCTTTTCACAGAGCAGTTTGGAAACACTCTTTTTGTGGCATTTGCAAGTGGATATTTGGATAGCTTTGAGGATTTCGTTGGAAACGGGAATATTTTCATATAAAATCTAGACAGAAGCATTCTCAGAATCTTCTTTGTGATGTATGCCCTCAATTCACAGAGTTGAACCTTTGTTTGGATACAGCATTTTGGAAACATTCCTTTTGTAGAATCTGCAAGTTGATATTTGGATAGCTTTGAGGATTTCGTTGGAAACGGGAATATCTACATATAAAATCTAGACAGAAGCATTCTCAGAAACCTCTTTGTAATGCTTGCATTCAACTCATAGGTTTCAACATTCCCTATCATAGAGCAGGTTTGAAACACTCTTTTTGTAGTATGTGGAAGTGGACATTTGGAGCGCTTTGAGGCCTACGGTGAATAAAGGAAATATCTTCCCATAAAAACTAGACAGAAGCATTCTCAGAAACTTGTTTGTGACGTGTGTATTCAACTAACAGAGTTGAACCTTTCTTTTTACAGAGCAGCTTTGAAACACGCTTTTTGTGGAATCTGCAATTGGAAATTTCGATAGTTACTGAGGATTTCGTTGGAAACGGGATTACAAATAGAAAGTAGACAGCAAGCATTCTCAGAAACTTATTTGTGATGTGTGTCCTCAACTAACAGAGTTGAACCTTTCTTTTGACACAGCAGTTTGGAAACACTCTTTTTGTAGAATCTACAAGTGGATATTTTGAGAGCATTGAAAATTTCGTTGGAAACGGGAAAACCTTCATATAAAATCTAGACAGAAGCATTCTCAGAAACTTCTTTGTAATGTTTGCATTCAACTCATAGAGTTGAACATTCCCTTTCATACAGCAGGTTTGAAACACTCTTTTTGTAGTATGTGGAAGTGGACATTTGGAGCGCTTTGAGGCCTACGGTGAAAAAGGAAATATCTTCCCATAAAAACTAGACAGAAGCATTCTCAGAAACTTGTTTGTGACGTGTGTATTCAACTAACAGAGTTGAACCTTTCTTTTTACAGAGCAGCTTTGAAACACGCTTTTTGTGGAATCTGCAATTGGAAATTTCGATAGTTCTGAGGATTTCGTTGGAAACGGGATTACAAATAGAAAGTAGACAGCAGCATTCTCAGAAACTGCTTTGTGATGTTTGCATTCAAGTCACCTAGTTGAACATTCCCTTTCATAGAGCAGGTTTGAATCACAGTTTCTGTCGTATCTGGAAGTGGGTATTTCGAGCGTTTTCAGGCCTAAGGTGAGAAAGGAAATGTCTTCAAATAAGAACTAGACAGAAGCATTCTCAGAAACTTATTTGTGATGTGTGTCCTCAACTAACAGAGTTGAACCTTTCTTTTGACACAGCAGTTTGGAAACACTCTTTTTGTAGAATCTACAAGTGGATATTTTGAGAGCATTGAAAATTTCGTTGGAAACGCGAAAACCTTCATATAAAATCTAGACAGAAGCATTCTCAGAAACTTCTTTGTAATGTTTGCATTCAACTCATAGAGTTGAACATTCCCTTTCATACAGCAGGTTTGAAACACTCTTTTTGTAGTATGTGGAAGTGGACATTTGGAGCGCTTTGAGGCCTACGGTGAAAAAGGAAATATCTTCCCATAAAAACTAGACAGAAGCATTCTCAGAAACTTGTTTGTGACGTGTGTATTCAACTAACAGAGTTGAACCTTTCTTTTTACAGAGCAGCTTTGAAACCCTGTTTCTGTGGAATCTGCAATTGGAAATTTCGATAGTTCTGAGGATTTCGTTGGAAACGGGATTACAAATAGAAAGTAGACAGCAGCATTCTCAGAAACTGCTTTGTGATGTTTGCATTCAAGTCACCTAGTTGAACATTCCCTTTCATAGAGCAGGTTTGAATCACAGTTTCTGTCGTATCTGGAAGTGGATATTTCGAGCGTTTTCAGGCCTAAGGTGAGAAAGGAAATGTCTTCAAATAAGAACTAGACAGAAGCATTCTCAGAAACTTATTTGTGATGTGTGTCCTCAACTAACAGAGATGAACCTTTGTTTTGATACAGCAGTTTGGAAACACTCTTTTTGTAGAATCTACAAGAGGATATTTTGAGAGCATTGAAAATTTCGTTGGAAGCGGGAAAACCTTCATATAAAATCTAGACAGCAGCATTCTCAGAAACTTCTTTGTGATGTTTGCATTCAACTCATAGAGTTGAACATTCCCATTCATACAGCAGGTTTGAGACACTCTTTGTATAGCATGTGGAAATGGATATTTGGAGCGTTTTGAGGCCTATGGTGAAGAAGGAAATATCTTCCCAAAAAAACTAGACGAAAGCATTCTCGGAATCTTGTTTGCCATGTGTGTACTCAACTAACAGAGTTGAACCTATCTTTTGACAGAGCAGTTTTGAAACACTCTTTTTGTGGAATCTGCAAGTGGATATTTGGATAGCTTCGAGGATTTCGTTGGAAACGGGAATATCCTCATTTAAAATCTAGACGGAAGCATTCTCAGAACCTGCTTTGTGATGTTTGCATTCAACTCACAGAGCTGAACATTCCCGTTCATAGAGCAGGTTTGAAACACTCTTTCTGTACTATCTGGAAGTGGACATTTCGAGCGCTTTCAGGCCTATGGTGAAAAAGGAAACATCTTCAAATAAAAACTAGACAGAAGCATTCTCAGAAACTTATTTGTGATGTGTGTCCTCAACTCACAGAGTTCAACCTTTGTTTTGATACAGCAGTTTGGAAACACTCTTTTTGTAGAATCTACAAATGGATATTTGGAGACCTTTGAAAATTTCGTTGGACACGGGAATATCTTCATATAAAATCTAGACAAAAGCATTCTCAGAATCTTCTTTGTGATATTTCCATTCAACTCATAGAGTTGAACATTCCCTTTCATACAGCACGTTTGAAACACACTTTGTGGAGTATGTGGAAATGGACATTTCGAGCACTCTTAGGCCTAAGGTGAAAAGGGAAATATCTTCAAATAAAAACTAGTCAGCAGCATTCTCAGAAACCTCTTTGTGATGTGTGTACTCAACTAACAGAGTTGAACCTTCCTTTTCACAGAGCAGTTTGGAAACACTCTTTTTGTGGCATTTGCAAGTGGATATTTGGATAGCTTTGAGGATTTCGTTGGAAACGGGAATATTTTCATATAAAATCTAGACAGAAGCATTCTCAGAATCTTCTTTGTGATGTATGCCCTCAATTCACAGAGTTGAACCTTTGTTTGGATACAGCATTTTGGAAACATTCCTTTTGTAGAATCTGCAAGTTGATATTTGGATAGCTTTGAGGATTTTCGTTGGAAACGGGAATATCTACATATAAAATCTAGACAGAAGCATTCTCTCGAAACCTCTTTGTAATGTTTGCATTCAACTCATAGGTTTCAACATTCCCTATCATAGAGCAGGTTTGATACACTCTTTTTGTAGTATGTGGAAGTGGACATTTGGAGCGCTTTGAGGCCTACGGTGAAAAAGGAAATATCTTCCCATAAAAACTAGACAGAAGCATTCTCAGAAACTTGTTTGTGACGTGTGTATTCAACTAACAGAGTTGAACCTTTCTTTTTACAGAGCAGCTTTGAAACCCTGTTTCTGTGGAATCTGCAATTGGAAATTTCGATAGTTCTGAGGATTTCGTTGGAAACGGGATTACAAATAGAAAGTAGACAGCAGCATTCTCAGAAACTGCTTTGTGATGTTTGCATTCAAGTCACATAGTTGAACATTCCCTTTCATAGAGCAGGTTTGAATCACTGTTTCTGTAGTATCTGGAAGTGGGTATTTCGAGCGCTTTCAGGCCTAAGGTGAGAAAGGAAATGTCTTCAAATAAGAACTAGACAGAAGCATTCTCAGAAACTTATTTGTGATGTGTGTCCTCAACTAACAGAGATGAACCTTTGTTTTGATACAGCAGTTTGGAAACACTCTTTTTGTAGAATCTACAAGAGGATATTTTGAGAGCATTGAAAATTTCGTTGGAAGCGGGAAAACCTTCATATAAAATCTAGACAGCAGCATTCTCAGAAACTTCTTTGTGATGTTTGCATTCAACTCATAGAGTTGAACATTCCCATTCATACAGCAGGTTTGAGACACTCTTTGTATAGCATGTGGAAATGGATATTTGGAGCGCTTTGAGGCCTATGGTGAAGAAGGAAATATCTTCCCAAAAAAACTAGACGAAAGCATTCTCGCAATCTTGTTTGCCATGTGTGTACTCAACTAACAGAGTTGAACCTATCTTTTGACAGAGCAGTTTTGAAACACTCTTTTTGTGGAATCTGCAAGTGGATATTTGGATAGCTTCGAGGATTTCGTTGGAAACGGGAATATCCTCATTTAAAATCTAGACGGAAGCATTCTCGGAACCTGCTTTGTGATGTTTGCATTCAACTCACAGAGCTGAACATTCCCGTTCATAGAGCAGGTTTGAAACACTCTTTCTGTACTATCTGGAAGTGGACATTTCGAGCGCTTTCAGGCCTATGGTGAAAAAGGAAACATCTTCAAATAAAAACTAGACAGAAGCATTCTCAGAAACTTATTTTTGATGTGTGTCCTCAACTCACAGAGTTCAACCTTTGTTTTGATACAGCAGTTTGGAAACACTCTTTTTGTAGAATCTACAAATGGATATTTGGAGACCTTTGAAAATTTCGTTGGACACGGGAATATCTTCATATAAAATCTAGACAAAAGCATTCTCAGAATCTTCTTTGTGATGTTTGCATTCAACTCATAGAGTTGAACATTCCCTTTCATACAGCACGTTTGAAACACACTTTGTGGAGTATGTGGAAATGGACATTTCGAGCACTCTTAGGCCTAAGGTGAAAAGGGAAATATCTTCAAATAAAAACTAGTCAGCAGCATTCTCAGAAACCTCTTTGTGATGTGTGTACTCAACTAACAGAGTTGAACCTTCCTTTTCACAGAGCAGTTTGGAAACACTCTTTTTGTGGCATTTGCAAGTGGATATTTGGATAGCTTTGAGGATTTCGTTGGAAACGGGAATATTTTCATATAAAATCTAGACAGAAGCATTCTCAGAATCTTCTTTGTGATGTATGCCCTCAATTCACAGAGTTGAACCTTTGTTTGGATACAGCATTTTGGAAACATTCCTTTTGTAGAATCTGCAAGTTGATATTTGGATAGCTTTGAGGATTTCGTTGGAAACGTGAATATCTACATATAAAATCTAGACAGAAGCATTCTCAGAAACCTCTTTGTAATGCTTGCATTCAACTCATAGGTTTCAACATTCCCTATCATAGAGCAGGTTTGAAACACTCTTTTTGTAGTATGTGGAAGTGGACATTTGGAGCGCTTTGAGGCCTACGGTGAAAAAGGAAATATCTTCCCATAAAAACTAGACAGAAGCATTCTCAGAAACTTGTTTGTGACGTGTGTATTCAACTAACAGAGTTGAACCTTTCTTTTTACAGAGCAGCTTTGAAACACGCTTTTTGTGGAATCTGCAATTGGAAATTTCGATAGTACTGAGGATTTCGTTGGAAACGGGATTACAAATAGAAAGTAGACAGCAGAATTCTCAGAAACTTATTTGTGATGTGTGTCTTCAACTAACAGAGTTGAACCTTTGTTTTGATACAGCAGTTTGGAAACACTCTTTTTGTAGAATCTACAAGTGGATATTTTGAGAGCATTGAAAATTTCGTTGGAAACGGGAATACCTTCATATAAAATCTAGACAGAAGCATTCTCAGAAACTTATTTGTGATGTGTGTCCTCAACTCACAGAGTTCAACCTTTGTTTTGATACAGCAGTTTGGAAACACTCTTTTTGTAGAATCTACAAATGGATATTTGGAGACCTTTGAAAATTTCGTTGGACACGGGAATATCTTCATATAAAATCTAGACAAAAGCATTCTCAGAATCTTCTTTGTGATGTTTGCATTCAACTCATAGAGTTGAACATTCCCTTTCATACAGCACGTTTGAAACACACTTTGTGGAGTATGTGGAAATGGACATTTCGAGCACTCTTAGGCCTAAGGTGAAAAGGGAAATATCTTCAAATAAAAACTAGTCAGCAGCATTCTCAGAAACCTCTTTGTGATGTGTGTACTCAACTAACAGAGTTGAACCTTCCTTTTCACAGAGCAGTTTGGAAACACTCTTTTTGTGGCATTTGCAAGTGGATATTTGGATAGCTTTGAGGATTTCGTTGGAAACGGGAATATTTTCATATAAAATCTAGACAGAAGCATTCTCAGAATCTTCTTTGTGATGTATGCCCTCAATTCACAGAGTTGAACCTTTGTTTGGATACAGCATTTTGGAAACATTCCTTTTGTAGAATCTGCAAGTTGATATTTGGATAGTTTGAGGATTTCGTTGGAAACGGGAATATCTACATATAAAATCTAGACAGAAGCATTCTCAGAAACCTCTTTGTAATGCTTGCATTCAACTCATAGGTTTCAACATTCCCTATCATAGAGCAGGTTTGAAACACTCTTTTTGTAGTATGTGGAAGTGGACATTTGGAGCGCTTTGAGGCCTACGGTGAAAAAGGAAATATCTTCCCATAAAAACTAGACAGAAGCATTCTCAGAAACTTGTTTGTGACGTGTGTATTCAACTAACAGAGTTGAACCTTTCTTTTTACAGAGCAGCTTTGAAACACGCTTTTTGTGGAATCTGCAATTGGAAATTTCGATAGTTCTGAGGATTTCGTTGGAAACGGGATTACAAATAGAAAGTAGACAGCAGCATTCTCAGAAACTGCTTTGTGATGTTTGCATTCAAGTCACATAGTTGAACATTCCCTTTCATAGAGCAGGTTTGAATCACTGTTTCTGTAGTATCTGGAAGTGGGTATTTCGAGCGCTTTCAGGCCTAAGGTGAGAAAGGAAATGTCTTCAAATAAGAACTAGACAGAAGCATTCTCAGAAACTTATTTGTGATGTGTGTCCTCAACTAACAGAGATGAACCTTTGTTTTGATACAGCAGTTTGGAAACACTCTTTTTGTAGAATCTACAAGAGGATATTTTGAGAGCATTGAAAATTTCGTTGGAAGCGGGAAAACCTTCATATAAAATCTAGACAGAAGCATTCTCAGAAACTTCTTTGTGATGTTTGCATTCAACTCATAGAGTTGAACATTCCCTTTCATACAGCAGGTTTGAAACACTCTTTTTGTAGTATGTGGAAGTGGACATTTGGAGCGCTTTGAGGCCTACGGTGAAAAAGGAAATATCTTCCCATAAAAACTAGACAGAAGCATTCTCAGAAACTTGTTTGTGACGTGTGTATTCAACTAACAGAGTTGAACCTTTCTTTTTACAGAGCAGCTTTGAAACCCTGTTTCTGTGGAATCTGCAATTGGAAATTTCGATAGTTCTGAGGATTTCGTTGGAAACGGGATTACAAATAGAAAGTAGACAGCAGCATTCTCAGAAACTGCTTTGTGATGTTTGCATTCAAGTCACATAGTTGAACATTCCCTTTCATAGAGCAGGTTTGAATCACTGTTTCTGTAGTATCTGGAAGTGGGTATTTCGAGCGCTTTCAGGCCTAAGGTGAGAAAGGAAATGTCTTCAAATAAGAACTAGACAGAAGCATTCTCAGAAACTTATTTGTGATGTGTGTCCTCAACTAACAGAGATGAACCTTTGTTTTGATACAGCAGTTTGGAAACACTCTTTTTGTAGAATCTACAAGAGGATATTTTGAGAGCATTGAAAATTTCGTTGGAAGCGGGAAAACCTTCATATAAAATCTAGACAGCAGCATTCTCAGAAACTTCTTTGTGATGTTTGCATTCAACTCATAGAGTTGAACATTCCCATTTCATACAGCAGGTTTGAGACACTCTTTGTATAGCATGTGGAAATGGATATTTGGAGCGCTTTGAGGCCTATGGTGAAGAAGGAAATATCTTCCCAAAAAAACTAGACGAAAGCATTCTCGGAATCTTGTTTGCCATGTGTGTACCTCAACTAACAGAGTTGAACCTATCTTTTGACAGAGCAGTTTTGAAACACTCTTTTTGTGGAATCTGCAAGTGGATATTTGGATAGCTTCGAGGATTTCGTTGGAAACGGGAATATCCTCATTTAAAATCTAGACGGAAGCATCCTCAGTAACTTCTTTGTGATGTTTGCATTCAACTCATAGGTTTGAACATTCCCTTTCATAGAACAGGTTGGAAACACTCTTTTTGTAGTGTGTGGAAGTGGACATTTGGAGCGCTTTGAGGCCTACGGTGAAAAAGGAAATATCTTCCCATAAAAACTAGACAGAAGCATTCTCAGAAACTTGTTTGTGACGTGTGTATTGAACTAACAGAGTTGAACCTATGTTTTGATACAGCAGTTTGGAAACACTATTTTTGTAGAATCTCCAAATGGATGTTTGGAGACCTTGGAAAATTTCGTAGGACACGGGAATATCTTCATGTAAAATTTAGAGAGAAGCATTCTCAGAGTCTTCTTTGTGATGTTTGCATTCAACTGATAGAGTTGAACATTCCCTTTCATACAGCACGTTTGAAACACACTTTGTGGAGTATGTGGAAATGGACATTTCGAGCACTCTTAGGCCTAAGGTGAAAAGGGAAATATCTTCAAATAAAAACTAGTCAGCAGCATTCTCAGAAACCTCTTTGTGATGTGTGTACTCAACTAACAGAGTTGAACCTTCCTTTTCACAGAGCAGTTTGGAAACACTCTTTTTGTGGCATTTGCAAGTGGATATTTGGATAGCTTTGAGGATTTCGTTGGAAACGGGAATATTTTCATATAAAATCTAGACAGAAGCATTCTCAGAATCTTCTTTGTGATGTATGCCCTCAATTCACAGAGTTGAACCTTTGTTTGGATACAGCATTTTGGAAACATTCCTTTTGTAGAATCTGCAAGTTGATATTTGGATAGCTTTGAGGATTTCGTTGGAAACGGGAATATCTACATATAAAATCTAGACAGAAGCATTCTCAGAAACCTCTTTGTAATGCTTGCATTCAACTCATAGGTTTCAACATTCCCTATCATAGAGCAGGTTTGAAACACTCTTTTTGTAGTATGTGGAAGTGGACATTTGGAGCGCTTTGAGGCCTACGGTGAAAAAGGAAATATCTTCCCATAAAAACTAGACAGAAGCATTCTCAGAAACTTGTTTGTGACGTGTGTATTCAACTAACAGAGTTGAACCTTTCTTTTTACAGAGCAGCTTTGAAACACGCTTTTTGTGGATTCTGCAATTGGAAATTTCGATAGTTCTGAGGATTTCGTTGGAAACGGGATTACAAATAGAAAGTAGACAGCAGCATTCTCAGAAACTGCTTTGTGATGTTTGCATTCAAGTCACCTAGTTGAACATTCCCTTTCATAGAGCAGGTTTGAATCACTGTTTCTGTCGTATCTGGAAGTGGATATTTCGAGCGTTTTCAGGCCTAAGGTGAGAAAGGAAATGTCTTCAAATAAGAACTAGACAGAAGCATTCTCAGAAACTTATTTGTGATGTGTGTCCTCAACTAACAGAGTTGAACCTTTCTTTTGACACAGCAGTTTGGAAACACTCTTTTTGTAGAATCTACAAGTGGATATTTTGAGAGCATTGAAAATTTCGTTGGAAACGGGAAAACCTTCATATAAAATCTAGACAGAAGCATTCTCAGAAACTTCTTTGTAATGTTTGCATTCAACTCATAGAGTTGAACATTCCCTTTCATACAGCAGGTTTGAAACACTCTTTTTGTAGTATGTGGACGTGGACATTTGGAGCGCTTTGAGGCCTACGGTGAAAAAGGAAATATCTTCCCATAAAAACTAGACAGAAGCATTCTCAGAAACTTGTTTGTGACGTGTGTATTCAACTAACAGAGTTGAACCTTTCTTTTTACAGAGCAGCTTTGAAACCCTGTTTCTGTGGAATCTGCAATTGGAAATTTCGATAGTTCTGAGGATTTCGTTGGAAACGGGATTACAAATAGAAAGTAGACAGCAGCATTCTCAGAAACTGCTTTGTGATGTTTGCATTCAAGTCACCTAGTTGAACATTCCCTTTCATAGAGCAGGTTTGAATCACTGTTTCTGTCGTATCTGGAAGTGGATATTTCGAGCGTTTTCAGGCTAAGGTGAGAAAGGAAATGTCTTCAAATAAGAACTAGACAGAAGCATTCTCAGAAACTTATTTGTGATGTGTGTCCTCAACTAACAGAGATGAACCTTTGTTTTGATACAGCAGTTTGGAAACACTCTTTTTGTAGAATCTACAAGAGGATATTTTGAGAGCATTGAAAATTTCGTTGGAAGCGGGAAAACCTTCATATAAAATCTAGACAGCAGCATTCTCAGAAACTTCTTTGTGATGTTTGCATTCAACTCATAGAGTTGAACATTCCCATTCATACAGCAGGTTTGAGACACTCTTTGTATAGCATGTGGAAATGGATATTTGGAGCGCTTTGAGGCCTATGGTGAAGAAGGAAATATCTTCCCAAAAAAACTAGACGAAAGCATTCTCGGAATCTTGTTTGCCATGTGTGTACTCAACTAACAGAGTTGAACCTATCTTTTGACAGAGCAGTTTTGAAACACTCTTTTTGTGGAATCTGCAAGTGGATATTTGGATAGCTTCGAGGATTTCGTTGGAAACGGGAATATCCTCATTTAAAATCTAGACGGAAGCATTCTCAGAACCTGCTTTGTGATGTTTGCATTCAACTCACAGAGCTGAACATTCCCGTTCATAGAGCAGGTTTGAAACACTCTTTCTGTACTATCTGGAAGTGGACATTTCGAGCGCTTTCAGGCCTATGGTGAAAAAGGAAACATCTTCAAATAAAAACTAGACAGAAGCATTCTCAGAAACTTATTTGTGATGTGTGTCCTCAACTCACAGAGTTCAACCTTTGTTTTGATACAGCAGTTTGGAAACACTCTTTTTGTAGAATCTACAAATGGATATTTGGAGACCTTTGAAAATTTCGTTGGACACGGGAATATCTTCATATAAAATCTAGACAAAAGCATTCTCAGAATCTTCTTTGTGATGTTTGCATTCAACTCATAGAGTTGAACATTCCCTTTCATACAGCACGTTTGAAACACACTTTGTGGAGTATGTGGAAATGGACATTTCGAGCACTCTTAGGCCTAAGGTGAAAAGGGAAATATCTTCAAATAAAAACTAGTCAGCAGCATTCTCAGAAACCTCTTTGTGATGTGTGTACTCAACTAACAGAGTTGAACCTTCCTTTTCACAGAGCAGTTTGGAAACACTCTTTTTGTGGCATTTGCAAGTGGATATTTGGATAGCTTTGAGGATTTCGTTGGAAACGGGAATATTTTCATATAAAATCTAGACAGAAGCATTCTCAGAATCTTCTTTGTGATGTATGCCCTCAATTCACAGAGTTGAACCTTTGTTTGGATACAGCATTTTGGAAACATTCCTTTTGTAGAATCTGCAAGTTGATATTTGGATAGCTTTGAGGATTTCATTGGAAACGGGAATATCTACATATAAAATCTAGACAGAAGCATTCTCAGAAACCTCTTTGTAATGCTTGCATTCAACTCATAGGTTTCAACATTCCCTATCATAGAGCAGGTTTGAAACACTCTTTTTGTAGTATGTGGAAGTGGACATTTGGAGCGCTTTGAGGCCTACGGTGAAAAAGGAAATATCTTCCCATAAAAACTAGACAGAAGCATTCTCAGAAACTTGTTTGTGACGTGTGTATTCAACAAACAGAGTTGAACCTTTCTTTTTACAGAGCAGCTTTGAAACACGCTTTTTGTGGAATCTGCAATTGGAAATTTCGATAGTTCTGAGGATTTCGTTGGAAACGGGATTACAAATAGAAAGTAGACAGCAGCATTCTCAGAAACTGCTTTGTGATGTTTGCATTCAAGTCACCTAGTAGAACATTCCCTTTCATAGAGCAGGTTTGAATCACTGTTTCTGTCGTATCTGGAAGTGGATATTTCGAGCGTTTTCAGGCCTAAGGTGAGAAAGGAAATGTCTTCAAATAAGAACTAGACAGAAGCATTCTCAGGAAACTTATTTGTGATGTGTGTCCTCAACTAACAGAGTTGAACCTTTCTTTTGACACAGCAGTTAGGAAACACTCTTTTTGTAGAATCTACAAGTCGATATTTTGAGAGCATTGAAAATTTCGTTGGAAACGGGAAAACCTTCATATAAAATCTAGACAGAAGCATTCTCAGAAACTTCTTTGTAATGTTTGCATTCGACTCATAGAGTTGAACATTCCCTTTCATACAGCAGGTTTGAAACACTCTTTTTGTAGTATGTGGAAGTGGACATTTGGAGCGCTTTGAGGCCTACGGTGAAAAAGGAAATATCTTCCCATAAAAACTAGACAGAAGCATTCTCAGAAACTTGTTTGTGACGTGTGTATTCAACTAACAGAGTTGAACCTTTCTTTTTACAGAGCAGCTTTGAAACCCTGTTTCTGTGGAATCTGCAATTGGAAATTTCGATAGTTCTGAGGATTTCGTTGGAAACGGGATTACAAATAGAAAGTAGACAGCAGCATTCTCAGAAACTGCTTTGTGATGTTTGCATTCAAGTCACATAGTTGAACATTCCCTTTCATAGAGCAGGTTTGAATCACTGTTTCTGTAGTATCTGGAAGTGGGTATTTCGAGCGCTTTCAGGCCTAAGGTGAGAAAGGAAATGTCTTCAAATAAGAACTAGACAGAAGCATTCTCAGAAACTTATTTGTGATGTGTGTCCTCAACTAACAGAGATGAACCTTTGTTTTGATACAGCAGTTTGGAAACACTCTTTTTGTAGAATCTACAAGAGGATATTTTGAGAGCATTGAAAATTTCGTTGGAAGCGGGAAAACCTTCATATAAAATCTAGACAGCAGCATTCTCAGAAACTTCTTTGTGATGTTTGCATTCAACTCATAGAGTTGAACATTCCCATTCATACAGCAGGTTTGAGACACTCTTTGTATAGCATGTGGAAATGGATATTTGGAGCGCTTTGAGGCCTATGGTGAAGAAGGAAATATCTTCCCAAAAAAACTAGACGAAAGCATTCTCGGAATCTTGTTTGCCATGTGTGTACTCAACTAACAGAGTTGAACCTATCTTTTGACAGAGCAGTTTTGAAACACTCTTTTTGTGGAATCTGCAAGTGGATATTTGGATAGCTTCGAGGATTTCGTTGGAAACGGGAATATCCTCATTTAAAATCTAGACGGAAGCATTCTCAGAACCTGCTTTGTGATGTTTGCATTCAACTCACAGAGCTGAACATTCCCGTTCATAGAGCAGGTTTGAAACACTCTTTCTGTACTATCTGGAAGTGGACATTTCGAGCGCTTTCAGGCCTATGGTGAAAAAGGAAACATCTTCAAATAAAAACTAGACAGAAGCATTCTCAGAAACTTATTTGTGATGTGTGTTCTCAACTCACAGAGTTCAACCTTTGTTTTGATACAGCAGTTTGGAAACACTCTTTTTGTAGAATCTACAAATGGATATTTGGAGACCTTTGAAAATTTCGTTGGACACGGGAATATCTTCATATAAAATCTAGACAAAAGCATTCTCAGAATCTTCTTTGTGATGTTTGCATTCAACTCATAGAGTTGAACATTCCCTTTCATACAGCACGTTTGAAACACACTTTGTGGAGTATGTGGAAATGGACATTTCGAGCACTCTTAGGCCTAAGGTGAAAAGGGAAATAACTTCAAATAAAAACTAGTCAGCAGCATTCTCAGAAACCTCTTTGTGATGTGTGTACTCAACTAACAGAGTTGAACCTTCCTTTTCACAGAGCAGTTTGGAAACACTCTTTTTGTGGCATTTGCAAGTGGATATTTGGATAGCTTTCAGGATTTCGTTGGAAACGGGAATATTTTCATATAAAATCTAGACAGATAATCCATTTTGTGTTGCTATAACATACTACCCTAGACTGAGTAATTTATGATGAACAGAAATTTATTTGGCTCACGGTTCTGGAGGCTGGGAAGTCCCACATCAAGTGACAACATCTGTTGAGGGCCTTCTTGCTGTATCATCCCAATGCCTGAAGGGCAAAAGAGCACACAAGAAAGAGGGGAAGGGGGCCAGACTCATCCTTTTGTCAGGAACCGACTCTTGAAATAACTAACCTGCTCTTAAGATAATGACATTAAGGCCAGGCGTGGTGGCTCACTCCTGTAATCCCATCGCTCTGGGAGGCTGAGGGGGGCGGATGACGAGATCAGGAGATCGAGACCATCATGTCTAAGGAAGCGAAACCCTGTCCCTACTAAAACTAAAAATAAA